>NC_000016.10:54259469-54562500 GCF_000001405.40 Homo sapiens
GAGGCTGAAAGCAGAGAAGTAATGATAGGGAAAGGACACTACTCTGATTATATTTTTTCATATTTTCTGACTCTTGGAACCCTGTTAAGATTTCATGTATTCAAAAAGAAAGAAAGAGAGAGAGAAAGAGAGAAAGGAAGGAAGCAGGAAGGAAGGTATGAAGGAAGGAAGGGAAGGAAAAAAGGAAGGGAAAAGACAACAAGGAGGAACAAAAAAAATCTTAAAATGAGATGTAAGTAGAAACAAATGAAGTCAACTGTATTTCAAATGAAACACGCAACCACATTGAAAGGAAGGTGGAGGTGGGAGGGGGATTGAACCAGTGACTGGAACGCAGTGCTTGGAATAAGGACTAAAGAACCCTGAGTTTTGTTTGTTTGTTTTTGTTTTTGTTTTTGTTTTGAGACAGGTTCTCCCTCTGTCACCCAGGCTGGAAGGCAGTGGCGCAGTCACAGCTCACTGCAGCCTCAACCTCCTGGGCTTGAGACATCTTCCCACCTCAGCTTCCCGAGTACCTGGGACTACAGGCACATGCCACCACGCCCAGCTAATTTTTAAATTTTTTTGTAGCGATGGAATCTCGCCATGTTGCCCTGGCAGGTCTCAAACTCCTGGGACTAATGAGTCTTAAATGCTAGATGGGAGGTTTCTTTTTTGCAAACGAATAAATGATGAATTCTGAAAATACTGACTGTATTCTAGGATTAAGCAAAAAGTAAATATATTGTGCATAGTGGGAGCCAGGTTTCTCACTGATGGGAAGAGAGTTACCAATATGGGAAGCAGAAAGATCTAATGAGCTCTGCAGTGTTGAATAGGAACTGTGAGTACCAGTGGTTTTTAATGTGTATGTGTGCATATATATATATATAGAGAGAGAGAGAGAGAGGGAGAGAGGGAGAAAGAGAGAATGTATGTATACCTGTGTATGCATATATTTGTATATATGCATATGTATCTATTTGTAATGCTTGTGTATGTTTATGTACTCATATATATCTGTATCTGTCTATCAATTGAGAGGGAAAGATGATAAAATGTTTACATTTAGGGCATCTGGGTGAAAGGCTTATAGAAATTTTTTTTTTGTTATTAAACTTTAAGTTCTGGGTTACATATGCAGAATGTGCAGGCTTGTTACATAGGTATACACGTGCCATGGTGGTTTGCTGCACCCCTCAACCCGTCTCCTACATTAGGTATTTTTCCAAATGTTATCCCTCCCCTAGCCCCCCACCCCCCGACAGGCCCTGGTGTGTGATATTCCCCACCCTGTGTCCATGTGTTCTCATTGTTCAACTCCCACTTATAAGTGAGAACAAGCAGTATTTGGTTTTCTGATCTTGTGATAGTTTGCTGAGAATGATGGTTTCCAGCTTCATCCATGTCCCTGCAAAGGACATGAACTCATCCTTTTTTATGGATGCATAGTATTCCTTGGTGTATATATACCACATTTTCTTAATCCAGTCTATCATTGATGGACATTTGGGTTGGTTCCAAGTCTTTGCTATTGTGAATAGTGACACAATAAACATACGTGTGCATGTGTCTTTATCATAGAATGATTTATAATCCTTTGGGTATACACCCAGTAATGGTATTGCTGAGTCAAATGGTATTTCTAGTTCTAGATCTTTGAGGAATTGCCACACTGTCTTCCACAATGGTTGAACTAATTTACACTCCAACAGTGTAAAAGTGTTCCTATTTTTCCACAACCTCTGCAGCATCTGTTGTTTCCTGACAAAATTTTTAATGATCGCCATTCTAACTGGCATAAGATGGTATCTCATTGTGGCTTTGATTTGCATTTCTCTAATGAACAGTCATGATGATGAGCCTTTTTTCGTATTTCTGTTGGCTGCATAAATGTCTTCTTTTGAGAAATGTCTGTTCATATCCTTTGCCCATTTTTTGATGGGGTTTTTGTTTTTTTCTTGTAAATTTGTTTAAGTTCTTTGTAGATTCTGGATATTAGCCCTTTGTCAGATGGATAGATTGCAAAAATTTTCTGCCATTCTGTAGGTTTCCTGTTCCCTCTAATGATAATTTCTTTTGCTGTGCAGAAGCTCTTTAGTTTAATTGGATCCCATTTGTCAACTTTGGCTTTTGTTGCCATTGCTTTTGGTGTTTTAGACATGAAGTCTTTGCCCATGTCTATGTCCTGAATGGAGGGATTGCCTAGGTTTTCTTCTAGGATTTTTACGGTCCTAGGTCTTACATTTTAAGTCTTTGATCCATCTTGAGTTGACTTTTGTATAAGGTATAAGGAAAGGGTCCAGTTTCAGTCTTCTGCATATCCCTAGCCAGTTTTCCCAACACCATTTATTAAATAGGGAATCTTTTCCTCATTGCTTGTGTGTGTCAGGTTTGTCAAAGATCAGATGGTTGTAGACGTGTGGTGTTATTTCTGAGGCCTCCCTTCTGTTCCATTGGTCTATATATCTGTTTTGGTACCAGTACCATGCTGTTTTGATTACTGTAGCCTTGTAGTACAGACTGAAGTCAGGTAGCGTGATGCCTCCAGCTTTGGTCTTGTCCAGGATTGTCTTGGCAATGCAGGCTCTTTTTTGGTTCCATATGAACTTTAAAGTAGTTTTTTCCAATTCCGTGAAGAAAGTCAGTGGTAGTTTGACGGGGATAGTATTGAATCTATAAATTACTTCGGGCAGTATGGCCATTTTCACAATATTGATTTTTCCTATTCATGAGCATGGAACGTTTTTCCATTTGTTTGTGTCCTCTCTTATTTCCTTGAGCAGTGGTTTGTAGTTCTCTCTGAAGAGGTCCTTCACATCCCTTGTAAGTCGGATTCCTAGGTATTTTATTCTCTTTGAAGCAATTGTGAATGGGAGTTCACTAATGATTTGGCTCCCTGTTTGTCTGTTATTGGTGTATAGGAATGCTTGTGATGTTTGCACATTGATTTTTTATCCTGAGACTTTGCTGAAGTTGCTTATCAGCTTAAGGAGATTTTGGGGTGAGACGATGGGGTTTTCTAAATATACAATCATGTCATCTGCAAACAGAGGCTATTTGATTTCCTCTCTTTCTATTCAGATACCCTTTATTGCTTTCTCTTGCCTGATTGCCCTGGCCAGAACTTCCAATACTATGTTGAATAGGAGTGGTGAGAGAGGGTATCCTTGTCTTGTGCCAGTTTTCAAAGGGAATGCTTCCAGTTTTTGCCCATTCAGTATGATATTGGCTGTGGGTTTGTCATAAATAGCTCTTATTATTTTGAGATACATTCCACTGATACCGAGTTTATTGAGAATTTTTGGCATGAAGGGGTGTTGGATTTTATTGAAGGCCTTTGCTGCATCTATTGAGATAATCATGTGGTTTTTGTCATTGGTTCTGTTTATGTGATGGATTATGTTTATTGATTTGCATATGTTGAACCAGCCTTGCATCCCAGGGATGAAGCCAACTTGATTGTTGTGGATAAGCTTTTTGATGTGCTGCTGGATTCGGTTTGCTAGTATTTTATCGAGGATTTTGGTATTGATGTTCATGAGGGATATTGGCCTGAAATTTTCTTTTTTTGTTGTGTCTCTGCCAAGTTTTGGTATCAGGGTGATGCTGGCCTCATAAAATGAATTAGCAAGGATTCCGTTTTTCTATTGTTTGGAATAGTTTCAGAAGGAATGGTACTAGCTCCTCTTTGTACCTCTGATAGAATTCAGCTGTGAACCTGTCTGGTCCTGGACTTCCTTTGGTTGGTAGGCTATTAATTACTGCCTCAATTTCAGAACTTGTTATTGGTTTATTCAGGGATTCAACTTCTTCCTGGCTTAGACTTGGGAGGGTGTATGTGTTCAGGAATGTATCCATTTCTTCTATATTTTCTAGTTTATTTGCATAGAGGTGTTTATAGTATTCTCTGATGGTAGTTTGTTTTTCTGTGGGGTCAGTGGTGATATCCCCTATATCATTTTTTATTGCATCTATTTGATTCTTCTCTCTTTTTTTCTTTATTAGTCTGGTTAGCAGCCTATCTATTTTGTTTATTTTTTTCAAAAAACCAGCTCCTGGATTCATTAATTTTTTGAAGGGTTTTTGTGTCTCTATGTCCTTCAGTTCTGCTCTGATCTTAGTTATTTCATGTGTTCTGCTAGCTTTTGAATTTGTTTGCGTTGCTTCTTTAGTTCTTTTAATTTTGATGTTAGGCTGTCAATTTTATATCTTTCCTGCTTTCTTTTGTGGGCATTTAGTGCTATAAATTTCCCTCTAAACACTGCTTTAAATGTGTCCCAGAGATTCTGGTACATTGTGTCTTTGTTCTCATTGCTTTCAAAGAACATCTTTATTTCTGCCTTCATTTCGTTATTTACCCAGTAGTCATTCAGAAGCAGGTTGTTCAGTTTCTATGTAGTTGTAAGGTTTTGAGTGAGTTTCTTAATCCTGAGTTCTAGTTTGATTGCACTGTGGCCTGAGAGACTGTAATGATTTCTATTCTTTTGCATTTGCTGAGGAGTGTTTTACTTCAAATTATGTGGTCAATTTTAGAATAAGTGCAATTAGGTGCTGAGAAGAATGTATATTCTCTTGATTTGGGGTGGAGAGTTCTGTAGATGTCTATTAGGTCCACTTGGTCCAGCGGTGGGTTCAAGTCCTGAATATCCTTGCTAATTTTCTATCTTGTTTATCTGTGTAATACTGACAGTGGGGTGTTAAAGTCTCCCACCATTATTGTGTGGGAGTCTAAGTCTCTTTGTAGATCTCTAAGGACTTGCTTTATGAATCTGGGTGCTCCTGTATTGGGTGCATATATATTTAGGATAGATAGCTCTTCTTGCTGCATTGATCCCTTTACCATTATGTAATGTCCCTCTTTGTCTCTTTTGATCTTTGTTCATTTAAAGTCTGTTTTATCAGAGATTAGGATTGCAACTCCTGCCTTTTTTTGCTTTCCATTTGCCTGGTAAATATTCTTCCATCCTTTTATTTTGAGCCTATATGTGTCTTTGCACATGAGATGAGTCTCCTGAACGCAGCACACTGATGGCTCTTGACTCTTTATCCAATTTGCCAGTCTGTGTCTTTTAATTGGGGCATCCTAGAAATTATTTTTACAATTCTTGCAACTTTTCTGTAGATCTACAATTATGTCAAAATAAAAATAAATAAAAGAAAGAAACCAAAGCGGTGGCCCATTAGAGTTGGTGCTGAGACTTGAGCTAGTCCTTCTGGCCCCAGTCAATGTCCTGCTGCTGCTTCTTTTTTTTTTTTTTTTTTTTTAAGATGGGGTCTTGCTCTGTTGCCCAGGCTGGAGTGCAGAGGTGTAATCACAGCTCACTGCAGCCTCAAACTCCTGGGCTCAAGTGATCCTCCTGACTCAGCCTTTTGAGTAGCTGGGACTACTGGTACATGCCACCATGCCTGGATAATTTTTTAAATTTTATGTTTGTAGAGATGGGATCTCGCTATGCTGACCAGGCTGGTTTCAAACTCCCAGCTTCAAGTGATCCTCCTGCTTCAGCCTCCCCAAGTGCTGGGATTACAGGTGTGAGCCACCGCACCCAGCTGATGTTCTCCTTCTTGTCCCACAGACTTCTCCTCCTGGCTCAGTGTGGATCTACCAGGAAACTTCAGGTTAAATCTACAGTGGGCAAATGTGTTTTCCAAACCTGTTCTTATTAATCTATGGGTAGGATCCCTGAATGGAGTGCAGGGAGAAGGAAAAGAGAAGGAGGCGGCGCCCTTCACAGGAGGACCTTTTGGTTGCTGCTGGAACATGAGGTGAGGGGTTTCTGTCTGTGTTCTGGAGTAGACTAAGGTAAGGAGACCTGGACCAGTCTTTGAGGGGCATCTCTGTAGTCTTATCTTCCTCACTCACTCCTTTTCTGTCTTCCCTAAACATGTGCAGAGAGGTTTTTTTTCAGTGCGATATATCCCTCCTCCAATTTCTTTTCTCTCTGTATCTTGGATGAGGATATTTCTCTTATATGCTTCTCCTATTCAGAAATGTTGCCTCTCAAGAATTTCAACAGTAATTCAATGCTACGGCTGAAGAAAACAAGGAACAAGCTTCTCCCTTCCTCTGCCGTTCCTCCCCTCTTGGCGTGTAAGCCTGTGTTCAGAGCTCTTGCTTTTGAAGCATAAGTGATTACAACTTGGCAATGGTGTCAGGCAGAACTGGGTTCACAACTTCATCTGCCCCCTTGGACCTCAGTTCTCCACCTGCAACGTGGTCGTGATGATGGCATTGACCTCATTGAGTGGTTTTGAGGATGAAATGAGATAAGCGTGTAGGTATTTATCATCGCGCTCAACAAGTGTCAGATGTCACTAGTGGCAGCACAGTCAAGTGTGGTGACAGTGTGCAGCAGCACAAAAGATGAGTCATTGAGCGGGCCACATTGTTTTCCTGAACCCAAACTCATCTGCCCTGGAATTGCGTTTAACCAGTGAGTGCATTTGTTACTTCAGAGGCCCCTCTGAGAAAGATGGATTTATTCTGCTTGGCAAATAGCCTTCCCCCATGTCCCCACACAGTGTATAACTCAGGGCTCCCTGTCATGGCCTGGGTGTGAGCCACAAGGCCTCCATCTTTCCCAGACATGGAACTGAATCACTGCATTGTAATTTCCCAGAGAGTATCTTCTTCCACTCCCTCTCATTGGTTGGTGTTAGGCAGAAGCAGTTTGCTGGTGTGGCAGGGAGATTGTCTGCTTTCTGAGGGGGAAACAGCACCAGGATTTTATAAGCTTCGTGCAGGTGTCTCTTCAAATATTACCGTTGGGAGTCCTATTTCTGTAATGATAGGGATACAGGTACAACTCCTAGAAACTGCCCAAATAAGAAAGTTCTAGAACATAATTATTTGAGGGTACAAAAGCTTCTTATTCTTTTGGGGAGGTAAAATTATATATATTTTCAGCAGGACATCCTATGCCAAAACTATGCAGCAAGAATTCACTCTCCGTGGCCACCCTTGTGAAAAGCATTCACAGCCATTCGTATTGATCAGTTTCTCTTAATTTCTTCTTCTCCTGTTTGTGTCTGCTTGGGGTGTGTGTGTGCACGCACTCATGCACACTCATGTCTGCATTTTTAAACAGCTTGTTTGTGTATTGGCCAATGTGGCACATCTAGTGACTTTCCCAGGATAGAATTAACATATTATGCAATTCACCCATTTAAAGTGTACAAGTTGTGCAACCATCAGCACAGTCAATATTAGAACATTTTCATCACTCTAAAAAGAAACTCTGTACCCATTAGCAGTCGCCCTCATTTCCTCCCAGTCCCTGTGACCCTAGGCAACCACTAATCTTTCTGTCTCTGTGGATTTGCCTATTCTGGACATTTCACATAAACAGCATCATATAACATGTGATCTTTTGCAACTGGCTTCTTTCATTTAGCATGGTTTCAGAGTTCACTCATGCTGGAGTATGGATTGGTGCTTCATTCCTTTTTATGGTTAAATAGCATTCCACTGGATGGCTATACCAACATTGCTTATCTATTCATCAGTTGATAAACATATGGGTTGTTTCCACTTTTGGCTATTATGAATAATGCTGCTATAAATATTTATGTACAAGTTTTTTTATGTGGACATATTTTTATTCATTTGGATATATATGTAGAAGTGGAATTTCTGGGTCATAAGGAAACTATGCTTAATTTTTTTAAATAACTGTCAAACTGCTTTTCAGAGGCATTATATTATTTTGCATTCCCATCAACATTGTATGAGGGTGACAATTTCTCCATATTCTTGCCAACGCTTGTTATTTTTCATTTTAAAAATTATAGCCATCCTAGCGGGTGCGAAGTAGCATCTTATTGTGGTTTTGATTTGCATTTCTCTGATGGCTAATGTTGTTGGACATCTTTTTACATGTTTCCTGGCCATTTGTATGTTATCTTTGGAGAAATGTCTATTGAGATCGTTTGCCATTTTCACATTTGTTTGTCTTTTATTTCTGAGCTGTAGTAGTTCTTTCTGCATTCAAGATATGATTCCCTTATCAGATATATAACTTGCCAATATTTCCCTTCATTTTGTTGGTTATCTTTCTGCTTTCTTGGTGCTAGCATTTGCACACAAGTTTTGTATTTTGATCTATTTCTTCTCAGGTTTCTTGTGTTTTTGGTGTCTAAGAAGGCTTTCCTTGGCCCAAAGATTCTAAAGATTTTATAGTTTTAGCTCTTATCATTAAGTCTATGGTACATTCTGAGTTAATTTTTGCATATGGTGTGAAGGGATGCAACTTCATTGTTTCATATGTGGTTATTCAGTTGGCTCTGTTTTTATTTTTAAATTATTTTTATTTTATTTTTTTTACTTTTGAGACAGAGTCTCGCTCTGTCACCCAGGCTGAAGTGTAGTGGCAAGATCTCAGCTCACTGCAACCTCCGTCTCCCAGGCTCAAGTGATTATCCTGCCTCAGCCTCCCTAGTAGCTGGGATTACATGTGAGTGCTACCACACCTGGCTAATTTTTGTATTTTTAGTAAGACAGGGTTTCACCATGTTGGCCTGGCTGGTCTCAAACTCCTGACCTCAAGTGATCCGCTTGCCTCGGCCTCCCAAAGTATTGGGATTACAGGCGTAAGCCACCGTGTCTGGCCTCTCTGTTTTTAAAATAAAGAAATAGTTCCATGTCAGTTGGTAAATAGCACTGCCCTGAGATCCACAAGTGTCCCCTCTTCTGCCCTGGCTCTTCCCTGGGACCTCCTGGAGATTCCCATGACTCATAAGCCAACCTGTCAATGCCAGGCACAGGAGAATGTCTCAGAACCTTGCCCCCTTGGTTCTGATTGCTGGTTGGTTGCTGGTTCTGATGCAGCTGAGGCCCCAGTCACTAAATATTTCCCATGTCACATCTATGCATTGGTGTGTGTTAGGACACATTCTCAGGGTTGGAAATAGTCATAGCAATTCAGAGATACCCCAAAACTTGTCATTAATAATCATTTATTCTATATTGTACGTTGATGGGGCATTGTTCGAGCAAAGACGAATGCCAGCTTTTCTGTAACTATCACACCAGTGAGGACTGGCACAAGAGTGTCACGTGACCTGAAATGAGCTTAGCAGTTGCACAAAAGCCTCTGGGTCAAAGATCTCAGCAAATATTCCGCTGTAGTTTCTCCACAGATGAGCTTGTAGCCCACCTTTTGTTCCCATCCCCTCTGAGGATCAGGGAGGTTAGTTTTGCCTAACACGGACTGGGCAGAGGAGAGCTGGGTGGGTTGCTCCTCTGCTTCTGTTTGGGGAAGACGGCCTGATTCTTCCATTGCAAAGTGACCATTCACAATTTTGCAGGATGGAAAGGGCTTCTCTCTTTCCAGAAAGGTTAGAGAGTCAAGCCAACTTCCTTAGAAGCTTCTAGTTTGCAGATCCATCTTCCTTGGTGCCTGGGGCCTCTTATTCCCCAGCCGCAGCTCACTGGGCCACTGAGAAGGACTCTATCCGTCCCTCAGGACCAGCCCTACTTCCTCTAGCCTCTCTGTCCCTCCCCCACTGTCCCTGCTCAGTCCCCTCTGCTGCATTGTCTCGGTTCCACATTTCTGGGTAATTATATTTTTGGCAGTGGCCCTTGTGCGTGCTGTGGAGCAAGCAGTTGAGTCTGTGGTCTTTTCCCAAGTACTGTGTCCAGCAGGGCCATGCCATCCTGTTCTTCTGCTGTATTCCAGGACACAAAAGGTCAGGGGCACTGCCAGAAGAACAGAGCCTGGTGTGGAGACCTCTTGGCCTGATCGTTATGTAGGCAAAAAAGGAGCATCTTAGGAGAATCAGTGAGAGTATATAACAGGGCACCCCAGTCCCAGCCTTGCTGGCTGACCCCATAAATAATCTCAATCGTGCCTGGTTTTGTTTGTTTGTTTCTGAGACAAGTCTTGCTCTGTCGCCTAGACTGGAGTGCAGCGGCGAGATCTCGGCTCACTGCAACCTCCGCCTCCCGTGTTCAATCTATTCTCCTGCCTCAGCCTCCCGAGTAGCTGGGACTGCAGGCATGCACCACTACGCCTGGCTAATTTTTTTGTATTTTAGTAGAGATGGGGTTTCACTATGTTACCCAGGCTGGTCTCCAATCCTTGAGCTCAGGTAATCCACCTGCCTTGGCCTCCCAAAAGGCTAGACAATTGTGACTTAATATTTGGGTAGGAGTCAGGAGGAGCTGGATCTATATTTAGGGCACTCAGTTGTGGCAAGGAGAGGATATAGGACAATTAAAAATAGAGGGACTGCTGTCTTCAAATCATACTCTCATACTGACCTCATATAGGAAAACACAATGCCAAGTCTGTCACATGGAAAAGCTGAACAAAGGACAACTCTTACCATCTTTCATAATTGCTAAATTTTATAATTGTATATAAACAGTTACAATATTTGATAATTATTAGAATATTTTTACAAAATTATATTTTTTATGAGTGTAGTTGATGATTTATTCTTATTTTATGAAATATTTGCAAAGTGATTTTCGTAAAGACCTAAAAGACATCTTTAGGAAACACCTAACTTTATTGCTGAATTCTGAAGCAGCAATGCATTTGGTAAATATCTATTGAGTACTTATTAATACTGGGTCCTGGGATGTACTCAGCACCACGATAGTCTCTCAGCCCCGAGATGCATGCCCCCGCAGCTCCGGTTCAAGTGTGAATGAAGGACAGGGATGGAGGGTCAATGAAGAGAAGGGGGAATGTCAAGCTGGCTCTGGGCAAAGTATGAATCCCCCAGGAGTGTCCCATATCAATGCCATCCTTCTGCCCTTTGCCACACTCCATGCCATTGGGGTCTGGATTTGCCAACCATATGTGCCCAAGCTTCTTGAATCAGGGTACGGAGAGCTCTATGGTACCCAGCAGCATCCCAGCAGCTACCAAGGCCACAGGGTGAATATAGGCCCTGAATTAACCATTTTATTTGAAGATCTTTACAGGATAAACTACCTTTATAACAAGACACACAGGAAAATATCATGGAGTGTGATGCAAACTCCTATATGTTTAAGATAAAAAGTGAGACCAAAAAGAACCTTTCTGCCAGTGAGGGGCTACTTTGTGTCTTACCTCAGATTCTTCAGGCCAGAAGTTCACCCACCCCTTTTCCTAGGGAAAGCTTGAGAAGTTGTGGCATCTTCCATGCCCATTTCCAATACAGGATCAGATGGAGACTGCTAGGCCTGGAGGGCTTGAGAAGGGCTGAGAGGTAGTCCAACCTTGATTTCAGCCTGTGCTCAGTCCCAGCCCTGCAGACTGGCCTTTGGAAAAATGACTGATTGCTTTCCCTTCTTAACTCCTCCCAAACCTCTTCACAGATCTTCTTCCTCTAAATCTCCTGTACTCTCCTCCTTCAGTGATTGTGTCTGCCTGATCTACTCTCCCCCACCCCTTTTTATGATAGAATCACCCCTAGTTTCTCCAAGGAACTGCCACTTCCTGCCACTCCCTCTGGCCATTGTGGTTGGCCCAGTAATGAACACATGACCAAAGCTGAGCCAATCAGAAGTTTTCCTTGGGATTTTACGACTGAAACTAGGCAAGAGAAACCATTTCTTTCCCTTTGGATCAGCAACTCTCAGGCCACAGCCACTGGGTTAATGACGACTGTATACCTGCCACCTGAAGGAGTCTAAGAGAAGATCAGCACTGGGACAGAAGCCGAAATGAAAAAAGAAGGTACCAGTGCTTTCAAATCCCTGGATTGCTTCCTGCTTTACATTCAGTACCTAGCTCATAAGGTCTTTATAAGGATTAGGTGAGTTAAAACATGTGCTGAGCATGTAATATGTGCTCAGTAAATGTCAGATATTATTTTTCCACCTTTGTTTTCCTCAGCTACATGAACCAATAAAACCAACAAAACCATCCTTTTAAAAGGAGGGTTTGAATCAGGTTTCTGTCCTGGGCTCTTAGGCACCCTGTCTTTTGAAATTCCAGAAGTATGTTTTCCTAGAAAGGAAAGCAGGAACTAAATTAAGCTACATAGATTATCAGTGACAAGTAGCCAGCCTCCAAGATGGCCCCAATGACCCCTGCCTCTTGGCATTAGTGCCCTTGTCTAGTTTTCTCCCATATTGAATAGGGCTGATTTGTGTAACCACAGTAGGATATTGCAGAAATGACAGAATGAGACTTCCAAAGCTAGGTCATAAGAGACGCTGTGGCTTCTATCTTGTTCTCTCTTGGATCACTGGCTCTGCCATGTTGTGTGGACACTCAAGCAGCTCTGTGGAGAGGTCCACGTGGTAATGATCAGAAACCTCCTTCCCACAACTGTGTGAGTGAGCCATCTTGGAAGTGGATGTCCCAGTCTCAGTCAAGCCTCCAGATGACTGTAACCCTGTGTGACATCATGACTGCCACCTCATGAGAAAGCCCAAGCCAGAACCACCCAGCTAAGCTGCTCCTGAATTTCTGAGGCACAGGAACTGTGAGATAATAAATGTTTGTTGTTTTATGCTACCAGGCTTTGGGATAATTGGTTATGCAGCAATGGATAATTGATACAGTGCCTTAATGTGTAACTCCCACCAAAGCAGGTCAGTGCTTTGCACAGCATCATTTGACTATTTTTTTTTTTTTTTTTTTTAGTAAACAGTCCTTTGTTAAATAATATCAACTATCACTTATGGAGCTTACTGATATGGTGTCTGTTGCTATACTAAAGGCTTTGCATACATCATTGCCTCAGTGAAATTCTCCGTAGAAATCCCGTGTAACAGGTACTATTGCTGTGTTCATGGCAGTATAGTGATTTTTGTAATAGAGTCTTGGGAACCAGACTACCTGGGTTCAATTATGCCTCCTCCCATTTCCTGGGGCTGTGGCTTTGGGTGAATTATATCTCCCTGAGCCGCCGTTTCTCCAGCTGCAAAATGGAGGTAATTGTAGTACCTACCTCATAGGACCTTGTAAAGATTGGATACACTGCTATACGTGCTTAACACATACAAGCTACACAATAAATGCTAGATATGATTATTTACAGAGGACAGCACTGAGGCTTAGTGTGGCTGAGCTAATTTGCTGAAGGTGCCTTAACTGGTAAGCAGTGGTGCTGGAATGTGGACTCCTGCATCTCAGTCTTTTGAGGTCAGTGCTGGCCACTAGAAACACAACATGTGCCATGTACGTCATTTAAAAATTTCTGGACGGGGGCTGTGGCTCATGCCTGTAATCCCAGCACTCTGAGATAACAAGGTGGGCAGCTCACCTGAGGTCAGGCATTTGAGACCAGCCTGGTCAACATGGTGAAACCCCATCTCTACTAAAAATACAAAAATTAGCCGGGTGTGGTGGCTCACACTTGTAATCCCAGCTACTCAAGAGGCTGAGGCAGGAGAATCACTTGAGAGAATCTTGGGAGGTGGAGGTTGCAGTGAGCTGAGATTGTGCCATTGTACTCCAGCCTGGGCAACAGAGTCTCAAAAAAAATTCTAATAATTGCATTTAAAAAGTATAAAGACACAGATAAAATTAATTTAAATAATAGTCAGTTCCAAACTTACGATGGTTCAACTTACGATTTTTTGGCTTCACAATGGTGCAAAACCATTGCAAGGTAATAATTTCTCAGGCTGGAAATATGCAGTATGAGAGATAGTCAATACTTTATTATAAAACAGGTGTTGTGGCCGGGCGTGTTGGCTCACGCTTGTAATCCCAAGACAGGCAGATAACTTGATATCAGGAGTTTGAGACCAGCCTGGCCATCACGGTGAAACCCCATCTCTATTAAAAATATAAGAATTAGCCAGGCGTGGCGGTGCATGTCTGTAGTCCCAGCTACTCGGGAGGCTGAGGCAGGAGAATCGCTTGAACCTGGGAGGTGGAGGTTTGCAGCGAGCCAAGATCGTGCCACTGCACTCCAGCCTGGGTAACGGAACGAGACTCTGTCTCAGAAATAAAATAAAATAAAATAAATAAATAAATAAAACAGACTTTGTGTTAGATGATTTTGCCTAACTGTAGGCAAACGCAAGCGTTCTGAGCATGTTGAAGGCAGGCTAGGCTGAGCTATGGTATTCGGTAGCCTAGGTATATTAAATGCATTTTTGACTTATGACATTTTCAACTTATAATGCGTTTATTGGGTCATAACTCCATAGTAAGTTGAGGCGCATTGTATATCTTATTTAACCCTGTATGTTCAAAATACTGTCATTTCAATATGTAAAAACACAAAATCATTGTGATGCTTTCCATTCTTTTTTCTTTTAATATCTGGAGCCTTTGAATTCCAGAGTGTATTTTGATGGCACAGCTCGGTTAGGACCAGCTGCATTTCCAGTGCTCAGTAGCCATGTGTGGGCAGCGGCTGCCATGTTGGATGGCGCAGGTCCAGGGCCTTCCTCTTCCTCTTTCCCATTGTGCTGCAGGCCTCCTTTGTGTCTCCAGGCCCATGAATGCATAAATCCTTCCCCATCCCAAACTAGGCTAAGTCCTCTTCATCATGCACACTTACAGCATCTTGTTCTTATCCCTCATATTCCAGCAAACACATTATTGCTGTTATTTTTATAAAACCACTTCCAGTAGACTGAAGGCACCAGGAAAGCAGGGACTTTGTTCACATGTTGTCTCCCTGTGTGATATTGTTGAATAAATGAATGAATGAATGAAAAGATGTGAATGAGGCCTGGCGCAGTGGTTCATGCCTGGGAACCCAGCACTTTGGGAGGCCAAGGTGGGAGGATCACCTGAGGTCAGGAGTTCGAGACCAGCCTGGCCATCATGGTGAAACCCTGTCTCTACTAAAAGTACAAAAATTAGCCAGGCATGGTGGTGGATGCCTGTAATCCCAGCTACTCGGGAGGCTGAGGCAGGAGAATTGCTTGAGCCTAGGGGGCGGAGTTTGCAGTGAGCTGAGATCACAGTACTGCAGTCCAGCCTGGGTGACAGAGTGAGACTGTGTCTCAAAAAGAAAAAGTGAATGACACAGTCCTTGCCCTCAAGGGCTCCTACCAGTTTCGTGCCTATCCAGGATGACCTTCCTTCCTTCCTTCTTTCTTTTCTTCCTTCCTCTCTCTTATTCTCTCTTTTCTTTTCTCTTCATGAGACGTACCCAAGTTTAGTGGGGATCAGCTGTGATCTTCGATGCGTAAGAAATCGGCTGCTATTAATAAAGTCCTAAGTTTGTCTAATTAGGTCTCCTCCCTGTCACTATGCTGTGAAGTATCTGGAAGGCCATGTGGGCAGAGGCTATGGCTATGGAAAGCCCAGTGTTACTCACAGCCAATCATGAACATGTTTAAAGGCAGAGAAAGAGGCCGAATCCATCTTCCATCTTGGTGTAATCAGCCCCGGGTTGGTGCTTGGCTCCTTCCCCTTTGACCTCTCTCAGTCTTTCCTTTCCTGCCTCCCTCCTTGGTCTCCCCCACAGCATCCCAGCCCCATTCTGCATTTCCCATGGAAATCCAAGTCTCAGAGACTGTTCCAGCTCCATCCTGGTGGGGCCCCAGGTTTTACTGAGGAGTATCTAGACCAGTATTTCTCACCTTTTAATATGCAACACGCAGCAGGGCACAATGGCTCATTTCTGTAATCCCAGCACTTTTGGAGGCTGAGACTGGAAGATTGCTTGAGGCCAGTAGTTTGAGACCAGCCTGACCCCTTTTCTACAAAAAATTTAGAAAAAAAAATTAGCCAGGTATGGTGCTGTGTGCCTATAGTCCCAGCAACTCAGGAGGCTGAGGGGGGAGGATTGCTTGAGCTCAGGAGTTCCAGGCTGCAGTGAGTTATAATCATATCACTGCATTCCAGCCTGGGTGACAGAGCGAGACCCTATCTCAAAAAAAAAAAAAAAAAAATAGCACTTGCATCACATAGATACTCCTAGGAAAATGCAAATTCTGATTGAGTGGACCTGGAAGGGGTCTGAGAATTCACATTTCTAACCAGTTCCCAGGCTGATGCTGTGGGTGCTGGTCCAGGGATCACACATCGAGGAGCGAAGATCTAGAAAGAAGGCAAGCCTTTTTCCTGCTAATGTGGATGGCCTCTCACAGCAAAACTTTGATGTGCAATTACCCCCAAAGCCTCCTTCCACCAGGAGTGAAGCTGAGAAGGAATCAAAGGAGTGGACAGAGATCTTCGTCCTGTCCTATACCTACTGAAAAAATAAATGAGAGGGCCAGGTGCAGTGGCTCAAGCCTATAATCCCAGCACTTTGGGAGGCTGAGGCTGAGCAGATCACCTGAGGTCAGGAGTTTAAGACCAGCCTGGCCAACATGGTGAAACCCCATCTCTATTAAAAATACAAAAATTAGCTGGGTATGGTGGCAGGTGCCTGTCATACCAGCTACTCAAGAGGCTGAGGCAGGAGAATTGCTTGAACCTGGGAGACAGAGGTTGCAGTGAGCCAAGATCATGTCCCTGCACTCCAGCCTGGACTATAGAGGGAGACTCCATTTCAAAAAAGAAAAAAAAAAAAAGAGAGGGAGGACAACAGATTCCAGGGTATTCCTCTGACACAGCTCTCAGATGCCCTTGCATTCTGTCTTCCACAGTGGAGGCAGGTGGATGCGATGTGCCAGGGCTGCACGTGACCCTGGCCCATCCAAGACAGTGTCATGCCCGTGAACATCAGGTAGGTCAAGTAGAGGGATAGCATGGGATTAAAGTGGGCTCACAGCTGCAGAACACTCCACTCCAAATCTTGATGCATGAACTAGTGTAGATTCTAGCACAGACGAATGCATGCCTGTGCCTTCTGGAGTCAGAAAGGCCTGAATCAGTGCCAGCTCCACCCTTGATTGGCCATGCTGAACAAGTGGCTGAGCTTGGATTTACCTACGTATAAAATGGGGACAATTACGCCTATGGCCTAGGGTGGTTGTTATAATTAATAAAAATAACATTTGCAATGTATTAGTTAATGATTATGCATGAGGCCAATCATTATGCCTGATGCATTGCTTTTGGCATGAATTCATTCACTTCATTTTCTCAGCAGCCTATGAGAAAGGTAATATAATTATTATTTCTGTTTTAGGAGGGAGCCAAGCTCAAAGAGGTGCAGTTGGTACCCCAAGGTCCCACAGTTAGAGAGTGATGGAGCTGGATTTGAACAAAGGCAGTCTGATTCCGGGGCCCATCTTCTGGAGCACCACACCTGAGGTGCATGTTCCTACACAGGTGCTTTGTGAGTATCTGTGGTGTCCAATGAGTGAGTCATTTTCAACTTTGCTGAGAGATCCAGGGAAGGTGGTTTGTTGCCTTTCTCTTTCTTTCTCTCTCCTCCCCCACATGCATTTTAGTTATTTTAAAACAAACAAAATAGGCCAGGCACGGTGGCTCATGCCTGTAATCATAGCACTTTGGGAGGCCAAGGCGGGAGGATTGCTTGAATCCAGCAGTTAAAGATCAGCCTGGGCAACATGGTGAAATCTCGTCTCTACAAAAAATAGAAAATTTAGCCGGGCATGGTGGTGTGCGTGTGGTTTCGCCATGTTGGCCAGGCTGGTCTCAAACTCCTGACCTCAGGTGATCCGCCCACCTTGGTTTCCCAAAGTGCTGGGATTACAGGCCTGAGCCACCACGCTCAGCTCATTTTATTTTTTAAAACAGGCCAAAGAAGTGAGCACTGAAACGGCCTCCACTCTGCGCAGGCCACTGGGGCCAAAGCCAGCTCCTGGAGGTGACAAGATTTCCTGTTGGTGTTTGTCCACAGATAACAAGCCATTCACCCTAAAGACAGGAAGGGAGGAAGGAAGGGGCAAACAAAAATATGGACAAAGAAAACTTTAAAGCCACTCTAAGAAATAGAAACAGAGGCCCCCGGACACCCAACAGTCCAGGCCAGCTCTCCCGCTCCATGGGCCTCACCAGCACTGAGGTGGACGCCATCTGGCTTCAGACACTTTTCCTCAGCGTCCCAGCATCAAGCAAAGTGGGGCGGTGGAGAGAAATCAGTGGGGCTGGTTCACATGGAGCCTCCAGCTTCCATGCTCCAGTGATAAATAATGTACCAAACCCAGAAAACCCCGCTATGTGGAGCCTGGGCCTCTTATTCCAGAGGTGTGAGGAAGGGAGACAAGCACTTCTGCTCAGTTTGTGGAGCTGTGGATTCTAGGGGCACAGCAGGGGCCTCGGGTGGCCAGACCAGTCCACTGCCAGCCTGTGGGCCAGCCAGGCTCCTGCGGGCCTCAGGCTTGACTAGGGTGCACCCACCATCCAGGCAGGAGGAGTCTGTCTCCTACTATTCTGAATCTATTTCTCCCCTCCTGGTCATCAAAGTCCTTTAAAACACACACACACACACACACACACACACACACACACACACACACAAATAGTAGTAACATTTTAATCTATATGCATTTTTATCATCATTTAAAAGATTTTTTCACATTACCTCTGGAAACTCTTGCTATCTAATAAATATCAGGAAAAAAAGAGGAAAGGGAGAGGAGAGGAGAGAGAGACCAGCAAGAGGCAGGGCTCTGCTTTGTCAGGGAGAAGAAAATAAAGAGAAATCAGCCCAGCTTCAAAGGGCGCATTTCCATAATTGCCCTGTAACTTTGGCAAAATAAATCTGAGCGGCGGGGAAAAGCACAATCTCTCAGATGAGTGCACTCCAAAGGCCCTGGAGGGCTGCGGGCCCACTTGTTAGCGGCCTGGTGCAGTGAGAGAGTGCAGGCTCGCCTCCCAGTACAAAAGCCATGAAATCACAGCCTTCCCGTCCTGGCCGGCCAGGCCCCAGAGTGTGAACTTACCCTTCCTTTGTCTCCCTCCTGCACCCTGACACGGGACACACACAAACACACACACACGAGTGCACACACACACACACACACGGAAAATAAGCAAGTAAATAAATATACCCGTACAAGGCAAAAACCACACTAGTTAAGTTTTCATCTGCTAGAATCTTCTAGTAACCTGCACCTGACATTAAGATTCAAGGAAGACAGGCCCCAGCTTTCCAGACACACATCTCGTTGGGGGTGACTCCCACTCTTTCACCCCAGAAGGTTTTGCCTCCAGCCGCTCCAGCCTTGGGCACCAGGCTGAGTTGAAACCCACTCTTTTCTTTTCCCCAGGCTCACACAATTTCCTGTTTGCTTTCTCTCTCACCTGACTTCCCCGTTCCAGGGCCAAAAGCTGTTAAAGAACAAAAACGCTCTGCTTAGCACCCTGTTTTAATGTTTCTCTCAACAAAGCTGTGGCTGTGGGAGAAAATACTTACTGTGGCTGCCTTAGACACCTCTCCCTGCGTCAGCTCTGTGTTTCTCAACCTCAGCACTACTGAAATTTGGGGCTGGATAACTCTTTGTAGTGGAGGATTTTTCTGCAGCACCCCTGACCACTACCTATGAGATGCCAATAGCACCTTTACCCTCGTTCTGATGATCAAAAATTACTCCAGACATTGTCAGATGTCCCCAGGGAGGGGGCAAGGGAAAAACACAATTGCCTGGTTGAGGACAACTGCTCCACTCTTAAGACCCTTTCCAGTCATGCCTTTACCACGAGAAGAGATGCCTTCATGGTAGTTTTCCATTCAGACCATTGGGATGGCCTTCGGAGGGGCCAGAGCCCCCTCAGAGGGGAGCAGCAACTGCATCAAAGCTAGGTTGTTCACACACTAGATGGGCATTTTTTTTAACAGAATCTCACTCTGTCACCAGGCTGGAGTGCAGTGGCACGATCTCGGCTCACTGCAACCTCCGACTCCCTGGTTCAAGCGATTCTCCTACCTCAGCCTCCCAAGTAGCTGGAATTACAGGCACGTGCCACCACGCCCAGCTAATTTTTGTATTTTTAGTAGATACGGGGTTTCACCATTTTGGCCAGGATGGTCTTGATCTCTTGACCTCGTGATCTGCCTGCCTCGGCCTCTCAAGGTGCTGGGATTACAGATATGAGCCACTACGCCAGACAGGCATTTTTAATTGGTCAAGTTGGCTGGCTGAATCCAAGGACAGCAGCGAATTAGGATCAAGAGGCAGTATCCAGAGAGGTCAAAGGGCCCCCTCACCCCCAACGATTATCTTTGAACTCATAGTTCTTTCCTTTATGCCTAATCCTAGACAACACTGGATTTGGAAGAAAGCTTGGATAAATTCATCTAATCCAAACCCTCCATTGCACAGATGTCAAAAGTGGGCCTAGAGAGAGTATGAGACCTGCCCCCACTCAAGCTGGTGTTAGTTCATCACAGACACAATTTTTACAAACAATTGTCCATTTTCACTCGAAGTGGGTGAAGGGTACCTGCAACCAGAAATTGTAGGATCCAGAGGACATTTCTAGAAGGATACAAACAATTAGGCCCAAAGCAAGTCCCCGGCAAAAACTCCCAATAAAACTAAAACAGAAAATGTCTGACATCCAATTCTTACCCAAGCATTCAATCCCTATGGCCAACCTTGCAAAACTCAGGCAGTGGAGTCTCTGAGCCCGGCTGTCCTCAGTGTGCTCAGAGAACACCCACCTGGTAGGTGGGGACCCTGCCTTGTCCTCATTCCTCACCTGGGACAGGTGAGTGACTTCCGTTGCGCCTGCCCTCTGGTCCTTCCATGTTGTTTTCTAGGTAGACCCCACCTCCCCCTTCCTGTATTCCCCTAGAAAGAGATTCAATTGGAAACCATTAATATGCTGGTCCCAGAGGTGGACAATCACTTAGGGAGATAATTTCATTCTCCTCCGGCTCCCTGGCTCCGGGATGCTCCCCCGCTCCCCAGCTCCACGCAGATAATGAGGGAAGCAGTGCCACACTTTCCCTCCTCTGACCTAATTGATTATCCCCACACACCTTGGAGTGCTTTGCATAACCAGCCCCGACAGCAGGAACCCCTTCCAGGAGGAGTGATTGACATATTTTATTTCTAATTGAAGCTTAATCAGAACCAGGGATGAGATTCCCATAGTCTCTCTCCTTCTCTCCTTCCTGGTTTCCCTTTAAGATTTTAAGGACAGACAATAAGGGATGGAGGCATTCCAGGGACCCCTGAGAGGAGGGAGATGAGGGGAGGGCTTAGGGAGGAGGTTCTGGGAGGAAGAGAAGAGATGGGAACTCAGTCAAGTGAAAGAGATGCCAAGAGGACTATCTCCTCTTCCCTCTTTCAGCTGAGAAGCTGAGATTCTTTTATTGTTGTTGTTTTGATTAGGTTATCTTATTGGGGTCAACTTAGGACCAGTTGAGGGCTCATGTGTTCTATGGGATAAGAGAAAATACGGATGCATGGGGACTGCTCCTAGGTTTATGCCAAGTCTCCTCTGGTACCTAAATATACTGCTTTATCAGTGGGGACAGAAGGTGGCTCATGCAAGGACCATTATCCCTGGGATGTGGCCTGAGAAGCTGACCTTACTTCACGGTCTCCACCAGAGAAAGACCTAGAGACCCACACTCAGGCATCTTCAAGCCCCGCCTGCTTCTCCATACCATCTGGCTGTGAGCAGATCCCCTGCCTCCTCTTGGGTGATGTTCAGTGTAGTGAGGCCACCTAACCTCTGCTGTCACCTCCCTCTCTGCTGTGCCCCTGCCTGGGAAGTTCCCCTCTCTTGCTTAGCTGAGCTGGAGTTGCAAAGGATCCTGGGATGCCTGAATGCAGACACCTCACTTTTATGACTAATGAAAGGGGTGGAGTGGAATACTGCTGGGAGTTTAAGAAGCGAAATGGGAGATTCTGACATGTAATTTTAATAGTAAAATGACCAGGTTCTGAGGATCAAGCCTGTAATCCCAGTGCTTTGGGAGGCTGAGGTGGGAGGATTGCTTGAGGCCAGGAGTTCAAGATCAGCCTGAGCAACATAGAGAGACCCTGTCTCTAAAAAATAAAAAAAATAGCTGGGCGTGGTGGTGTGTGCCTGTAGTTCCGGTGAATAGAAGGCTGACACGGGAGGATCATTTGAGCCCAGAAGTTTGAAGTTGCAGTGAGCTATGATTGTACCAGCTGGGGCAACAGGCTGGGCAATACTCCAGCCTGGGCAGCAGAGTGAGATCCTGTCTCTAAATTAAAGAAAAAAAGAGTAAGATTGCTTCTGCCTACCTACCTCGTGTCAGCCCTGGACATGCTTCCTCTCAGCCTAAAAACTGCCCCCTTCGCCCTCATTATTTCCATTTTGCAGATGAGGAGATAAGGGCTCAGAGAAGTGAATTGTCTGCCTCGGGTTTCACAGGGGGTAAGTGGGAGTAGAGTCGGTGCCACAGCTAAGCTTGTGAGGCGTGAGCTGTTGAGGTGTCGGAGTGCTCTCCTTGTAAAGTCATTCAATGTTCCGGCCTCAGGTCCAAGTCCGCGAGGATGGGCGGGCTCCACGTCTGGGGGCGCTGTGAGCAGGGCCAGAGCGAAACCTCAGTCTGAGTTTACGAACTGGGAAGGAGCCTGAACCCCAGAAACACCGTTAACAAAGAGGGCGAACGCTAGGGAGCCGAGGAGACGTCTCCTTGGCCTCTGGGGAAGGGGCTGGAGGAGCGAGCCAGCTGAGAAGCGGCTTTGCCGGGTGTCCACTAGCGGTTCGCCAGCCCTCTGTGCGCCCGCAGAGTGACGCAGAGGCCGACACAGTCCCCTCCCCACTCGCCCCTGGGGCGCCGCCGCACCTTGATCACCCCCTTCGCGGAGGGAACTCCCAAGGCGCGGCGCTGGCCGCTGGGTCCGCATGGCCCAGTCCTGTCGGGCTCCGCTCTGCTGCCGCCGAGCTTCGAAGGTGTGCAGTGTTGAGCCGTGTCTTGTTCCGTGGCTTCGAGGGGTGTGCGCGCTTCCTATACCTCCCCGGAACGCGCGAGATAGTCACACGCGCCACTTTGAGGGTCAAACACCCCGCATCTGGCCACACTGTACCTTTACTAACGTGGGGAGGGGGCAAAAAAATGTGTCTCTCCTTCTTACCCCGAGGTGTCACTCGCCCAAACACTCCCTACAACTTCTTCAAGTCAAACTTGGGCAAGGTTGGCTGGCTGACTGCGAGAGGAAAAAGAGGGCGCGGAGGGGGCGCGGCGCGCGGCCGGGTGTAGAGGCCACGGAGGCGAGGCGCCGAGCGTCCCCTTTGTCCTGTAGAGGGAGCTCCAGCCCCAAATTTCCCTGCTGCCTCCCCCGGCCCGCCCACCCCAGGCCCGCCTGGAGCCGGAATCCCGGCTGGAAAGGTGCGGCGGTCTGACACCCCCGCAACCCCCGCGCCGGGGCCTTAGCAGGATGCCTCTTCTAGGGCACGTGGGAAAACCCACCAGGGTGCCAAGACGCACAGATGCTCCCAGGACCCGGGCTCCCCAACTCTCAACTAGAGCTGGGCAGTCACACATCATCTAGAGGATTATGTACCCCTAGGCGACCCTCTTCTCCATATCCGCCTCCACCGTCACCCCACACCCTGGCATCTATAAAGAGGGAAGGGGGGCAACCGGGTTGGAAGGAGGATGGAATCTGGGCTTGCACAGCCTCTTATAGGTAACAGTGAGAAAGCCTCAACTGTGTCGATCAAAGAATGGGGACGAAGGGAGTGATGAGAACACGACCCCGCCACCCGCGCAGGCTAACCCCGTTGTGTCCAGACCCTTCTCTAAATCTCTTGGCAAGGTCACCAGAGAAGGATCCAAGCCCCCGCGGTTGCTCCCGTAGACAAGCGGGTCGGGCCCAGATTCCCGGCTCTCAGCAAAGAAGCTTGCCGGGGTCTCCCACCTGTCTCCTGCTCCCGTTTTCTCGGCCGCCCCAGGTACTTTTCCAGCCACCTCTCCTGCTGCGGCGCCCCCAGCCCCGCCACTTCTGCGCCTCCTCAGCTATTGCTGTCCTTTGACTACTCGGTCCCGATTCGTCTCTCGTCCTTTCCCGCGAATTCTTCAAACAACCGAGGGGAGAAAAAACCCAAAAAACAAAAAACCACCAAACAGATCCGTCGAGGGGGCAGACAGGCGGGTTATAGTCAAAGTGGCAGCAGCTCATTTATTTAGCCAAAAATAGATACTTTCTCGTACAATTTGGTTCACACATATGTACATTTCTCTGTATATATACACACACACAAAGGCAGACACGTTTATTCTCACTGAAACTCCACCCCCCAAAATCAACCGGACAAACAAACCTCACAGCGAATGCGGGGTGCCACAGAAGCGACTTGGGGAGGGCTGAGGAGGACTGGTTTTATTTCTTTTTCTTACTTTCTTTGTTTAGTTTTGCTTTTAGGTATTTATACACGGACATGCTTACAAGTTGTAACTATACAGAGCGATTTTTTTTATACAATTATTACAACGATTAAAAAAAGTTTTTTTTGTTTTTTTGTTTTTTTTAAAGAACTAGGATGAGGAGAGAGCCGATAAGACCAGGGCGGCGTCCAGATGGTTCTGGGGCCTGGAAGAGAGAGACAGTAGTAGCAAAAGAGGTGAGATTCAGGAGCGCAGAGGCTGCCTAGGGCGGGGAGATCCTACTTGGATTGGGGCCGATCGTCAGGAAGGTGTCGCAATGTAAAATTATGTCCAGTTGTAGATGTGTGTGTTGGGGTTTAACTGTAGGGTGGGCACGAGGCGTCAGGACCCGAGGTCTGGGGCTGGAAAGAGGTGGGCGTCAGAGAACCGCCACCCGCCCCAGGGGCCTGTGGGCCCAGCCACGCAAGGCTTCCCCTAGAAGGTACAAGCGCTGTACCCTCCGGCCGCGCCTGGGGTGCCTGGGCTGGACCTGGAGAGCTGTCGCAGGGCCGACAGGGGCGACTGAAAAAGTGACTTTCGTCCCCTTTTACAAAATGCGTCCCAGCAGGGTTCCCCCCTACCCCGGGGCAAAAGGCCGTGCGTGGTGCTCGGCGTCCTCTCCTTTCCCCGCCAGCCAGTCCCCCTGGCCCCTCAACCTCGGGGTTTCTTACCGCCTGGGCACGGGCTGGAAAGCTGTCTTGAGTAACTTTTTCTCCACTTCCAAGGCACTACAGCGATCTAAGGGAAGCGGGGGAAGAAAAAGGAGGGCCTTTAGAGCGCTCGGTGCCGGCGCCCAGGGCCGCAGAAAGCAGGAGTGGAGAGGGACGCGCGCCCTGCGCCCCCCGGGCCCTGCCCCTCCCGGCCAGCTCCGGCACTACCCGCAGAGCCCGCCCCCGCTCCGCGCCCAGCGCTCAGCAGTCACCTGTTCCGCCTTCGGGCTCCGCTGGCCGAGCGAAGGCGGCGGCGGCAGCCGGGTGGCCCGCGGCTCCGGGAAGTCCCAGCAGGTGCGGAGGGGCAGAGCCCAGCAGGGAGAGCGGGTGCAGGCGGGGGCCGGGCGGTGGGCCTGGAAACGGCCGGTTGGTCCAAGCCGGGAACTTGCCCAGCGGCGCTGAGACCAGTCTGTGAGCGGCGGCGGCGGCGGCGGCCGGAGAGAGCTGCAGGGCGGAAGGCGCGACCGCTGCCCCCGGTGGAGACCCCCCCGCGCCGGGAGGCGAGCGGCGCGGGTTGTCCGGGCTTGTGGCAGTCTCCGCGAGGGACCAGATCTTGGGCTTCTGCAGGGCGGAGGCGGGGGCTGGTGCGGGAGCGCAGGGGTCCAGGCTCACGGGGGGCGACGGCAGAGACGGCGAGGCCACGGCCACTGGTGGTGGCGCTGGAGCCAGACTCAGGACCGGTAGTGGCCGGTCCTCTAAGCCCTCAGAGCTATCTTCCGAGTCGCTATTTTTGGAGTCCGAAATGGGTCCCAGGCCTAGGTCGCCATCCCTGCGCGCCGCCCCAGCCAGGGACAGCTCAGGCTCGGTGGCCGCGCCGTCTAAGTTCTCCAAATCGATCTCCTCGTCCTCGTCGTCGTCAGCCAGGCCCTCGCCCCCCGTGTCCTCCTCCTCCCCCCCGAGCTCCTCCTCCTCCAGCTCTAGCTCGCGTTTGCCGTCCTCCTCGTCCTCCTCTTCGTCTTCCTCCTCGCGCTCGCTCCCATAAGCGTTTCCCTCCTCGTCAGTGCGGCTGCGAGGCGCCCAAGTCATCTTATTCTCCTTCTTGAGGCGCCGGCGCGCGTTGGCGAACCAGGTGGACACCTGGGTGAGGGTCATCTTGGTGATGATGGCCAGCATGATCTTCTCGCCCTTGGTGGGGTAGGGGTTCTTGCGGTGCTCGTTGAGCCAGGCCTTCAGCGTGCTGGTGCTCTCCCTGGTGGCGTTCTTGGGACGGGACGGGTCCCCGAACTGGTACTGGCCATACGGGTAGAAGGCGGGGTGCGGGTGCGGAAACGCGGCAGCCGCGGCCGGATGCTGCACCCCGGGGCTGTCCTTCAGCTCATACTGCGCGCCCTGTACGCACATGGAGAAGGAAGGGACACGCGCGGAGGGAGCGCGAGTGAGCCCCAGCCATCGCTGCCTCCCCCCTCCTGGCCTGCACCCCTCTAGTCCGGCCCCCGCGCGCTCAGCTCGCCCTGCGCCCCAGCGCCAACCCCTCCTTCCCTGGCTCCGCGGGCTCTTACCAGCTGCGGGAAGATGGGCAGCTCCGCGGCGTAGGGCAGGAAGGCGCCGTAGCCTTGGGCGGCGGCGGCCGCAGCGGCCGCGGCGTAGGGCGCCCCGTACACGGACGAGAGCACGTTGGACAGGGACCCCGAGGCGTTCAGCTCCGAGGCTCCGGCACCCAGGCCGCCCCGGGCCCCCGCGCTGCCGCCGCTGCCGCCAGCGGCCCCCGGGCGCTCGGACGGGTAAAGCGGGCGGATGTATTGGTATCCCAGCTGGGGGAAGGACATGGTGGCCCGCGGGGCACGGACGGAGAGGGGGGCCGACCCCCGGGCCGCCCAGCTCAGCGCCGCCCGCGGGCTCCGGCGCGCATCGGGGGCTGGGCCGGGCTTGGGGCCGCGCTGCCGCCCGCGCTGCGCTGTGCTCCGCGTTCGCCTATTGATCTGCTCCGCGGCGGCGACGGCGGCGGCGAGGGCGGCGGCGAGGAGCCAGGTCAGGTCCGAACAGATTGGCGGAGATTCCCGGGGCTCCGGGCTCTGATTGACATTTCTACGGGGCGCAAGCCCCTCCTCTCTGCGCCGCGCTCCCTCCTCTCGGCCGCCGGAGCTGCCTCTGCCCGCTCCTCGCTCCTCACTGCCCTCCTCTCCCCAGCAGTGTCGCGCCTCGCTTCCTTCGCCCTCCTCTAGTTTTCACTCCCCCTCCTCGCCCTTCCTCTCCCCTCCCCTCTCCGCACTCCTCTTCCCCCCAGGATCGCTTCCGCTGCTTCGGGCTCCTGCACTGCCCTGGACGCTATGAAACTCTCCTTTCTCCTCTCCCCTTCTCTTTCCCTTTCTCACGAGGGCTTTTGCTCTCCGGTCCGTTCCCTTCACTTCTTCCTTTCTCACTACTTCTATTTTGTAAATCTCTCTCTTTACTCACACGATACTCCCCGCGACCTTTCCAGCCTCTGCGCCCTGGGCTAAGTAAGGCAGCCAAAAGTTGTGGACACTTAGGGTGCCGCGCGGGGGGTGTGTGTCGGTGTCTGTCTGTCCATCCCCGCCCTTCCACCCCCTCCCTCGCCTTTCCCCAAATCTCGGGTCTGACGTCGCGCCCTCTTATTCGACTTTTCCCCGCGTCTCTTCCCCGAGTCGCCAATCGCCTGGGCGCCTTACGGGCGAGGCCGCCCACCCCCGCGGATCCCGCGCGCGGGGCGGGGCGG
Source organism: Homo sapiens (assembly GCF_000001405.40). Classification (NCBI taxonomy): domain Eukaryota; kingdom Metazoa; phylum Chordata; class Mammalia; order Primates; family Hominidae; genus Homo; species Homo sapiens. The sequence goes on from NC_000016.10 coordinate 54,286,959, forward strand.
GGCAGGGGCGGGAGCCGGAGCGCCGCGAGTCCCTGCCCGCCCCCTCCTGCTCGCGCCGGGCGGGGGAGCGAGAGGCGCGGGGACTGGGTGAGTGCAGGGTCAGCTCGCCCCTCCCGCCTCCCGCCCCTCCGAGCCTGTCCCCAGGCTGAGGCGCGGGACCTGGGCCGAGGCTGGCTCCGGGAGCTCCCCTGTGCCCGGGCCCCTTTTACAGCTCGCACCTCTCGACTCCCGGCCACTTTCAGCAGCTTAGGGAGGGAGCTAGCAGCCGGCGTGGGGGTGGGGAGCGAGGGAGTGCGTCCTAACAGAGTCTCCAGAGGCCACCTCGCTGCCTTGCGGGGGCGAGGCAGCCCCCAACCCAGCAGGACCAAACCCAGAGATTAGCCACTTAACGCCGCCCCCGGGTCCGTGTGCGAATCCCTTACTAAAAATGGCGGGCTGGCTCCGGGGGCTGAAGGGTGGCAGCCCGGGGGCACTGGAAGGGTAGGGAGCCGCCACAAATCGGTGAAGCAGGCCCGCGCCCCAGGCGGCTGGGAATGGGGGAGGAGCAGGGCGCCGGGGGACGGAGGCCCTAGGAACTTTTGGAGAGCTCTTCGAGAAGTTTCTGTATTGGCGTTTTTGTCTGTGGAGAACCTTCCTTGCGCGACCCCTACCCCTTCTCCCGGTCCCGGCGCTAACCTCTTTTCTCTCTGCAAGGATCCTCCCACCGCCTCCGGTGGGGATGGAAAGCAAGAGTTTTGGTTTAATGATGGGATATTTCCTAAATCAAACTTGAAATCTCAGGATCGGGCGCCCACCTTCACGGATTAGGGCGTGCAGTCGATAGCGGCATTGAAATTCCCAGCATTGCCGCGGCTGGGGGCTCAGAGCTTTAGGCCGCGGCGGCGACCCACAAGCCGGCCAGGCCTGCAGTGGGCACGCCCCGGAGACAAAACGGGGGTGGTGACTCTGCCGTGGAGTGGCCAGCCCCAGCTCGGAGGCGGAAACCGTCACCTTGCATGGATGGATCCAGGAATCGAATTCGAATTCCACCAGAGTGGCGGGATCAGAGGAGATCAGAGGGTCTTGGCCCCGGCTGTCTCTGATCACAGCTCTGGGGAGCCCAGCTCTGGAATGAAAAATTCTTCCACCTCCACGGCAGACACCCAGTTTTGATCCCACCCCCACCGCCCACCTCCCACTTCCCACCTCCCACCTCTTTCCGTGGGTCTTGGCACAAGCCCACGGCCCTAGTAGGTGTGAACGCCAAAAACCTTGCGCGGGCGGGATGGGGGCGGGGAGGAAACAAGGGAAAGTTTGGGGAGGACCAGGTTTTGGGGGCAATGAGGGAAAGCGGGGTATTCCCAGACTGCATCTGAGTAGTTTCCCTATCACCTTCTCTTCCGCCTCTGCCTGGTGCTGGGGAGCCTGGTGCCTTCTCAGGAGCCTCGCCGGAGGAGGCGTCATCAGGGGCCGCCCTGGCTTTGAAATATCTCTTCGACGCCTGATTTCGTTTCCCGTTAAACCTCACAGAGAGTGGCATAGGGAATGTTGGGCTCACTTTCACGCGAAGAAACTTGGGGTTACAAAATTGAGAGTAACGTTATTTTCCGGGATGTTTCCTAGGTGTCAGACCTCGAGCCTCGACGGCCCTGAAGTCATAGTGTTTGTACAAAGTGGTGGCACCAGACCAGGAGGAGCTGAGAGCGAGATTCCGAGGTGGGGGGAATGGGGCTGCGCTGTAAGTGACCGAGTGAGACTCCCGATATTTAATTTAGCTTTTTTCAGAAGGAAAAGAAAAAACAATAATGAGCCTCGGAGATGCTCCTTCTGCATTAACCAGCTATCGACCTGTCTGCGTCGGACTGCGGGCGGCGAGAAAGAGGACAGGGAAGGGCCAGGCGGCTCTTAGGGACTCAGTCACGCCGGCGGGTGGGGGGGGGGGGCGCCCACAGCCCAGGGGATGAACCTCCAGACCGAGACGTGCACCCAAGAACCTCGCATATTAGATCCCTCCAGGCTCCCCAGGCCTCGAGCAGAAGCGGCCTCCTGGCTACCCTACTTTCCAATTGAGAACAGCCCTGGTCTGTCCGGGCCATCTGCGCGCCACGTCGAGACTCAGCGTCCCAGGCAGCCGCGTCCCAACGTGGCGCTGGTCCCCCAACTCGACAGGTCCAGTGGAGCCCGGCTGTGGGCTGAACTCGAGGGTCCGAGGGCAGCTGAACCTTTTCCAGGGATTTTTAATCCAACAGATTAAATGGGTCAGAGTGACACACTCGCACAGGGAAGAAAAGCAGGTGCACAGAAGTAGATTTGGGAAAGTCGCGCGCACGAACGCGCTTCACGCAGAAGCTTCTCCATCATCTTGCCTTCTTTCAACATTCCCAGCGCACAAAGCGCTTTGGAGACTGACTGCAGGCCCTCTCAATGCAGCCCAGGGAGCGGGGAGTGTTCGGAGAGGGTGTCTGTCCATCGCACACGCTTGGCGCGCGTGCGCCGGATGCGCACCGGGAACGGCTGCCCGACGTGTGCCCAGGGCCCGCGGCCCGCCAGGTTCTGGGGGCTGCGCCTCGCACTTCACAAGAGGGGAGTCACCAGGCCCGCTTCCTGCCCCCTCCTCGCCCAGCCTCACGGTGCTCACACGTCCCCGTCGAGGGGAGCCGCGGCAGCCCTCGGACTCCCAGCCCCGGCTCATCTTCTATCCTTCCCTCCCAGGCCCTAAGTCCCCGGGCTGCGGTGCGGGCCGGCGATCTCTGAGCTTCCTGCAGGCGCTGCGGCGCGCGCTCCCACCGTTCCCTCCCCCTCGCGCTCGGGTTACAGGTTAATGAAATGCTCGTTTTCCTCAGTCATTTGTTTTGTTTTCCTGCAAAGTTCTGATAAGTAGCTAACCAACGAAGCTTGTAATTACAATCTTACAGAAACCGGGCCGATCTGTATATAAATCTCACCATCCAATTACAAGATGTAATAATTTTGCACTCAAGCTGGTAATGAGGTCTAATACTCGTGCATGCGATAATCCCCTCTGGATGCTGGCTTGATCAGATGTTGGCTTTGTAATTAGACGGGCAGAAAATCATTATTTCATGTTCAAATAGAAAATGAGGTTGGTGGGAAGTTAATTTCTCTCCGCTCTGTGAAGCGTAGACAAGAATTTAATGATTTAATTACAGTTGTAAGCCCTTTCCATGAGACTTAAATTGAGCTGAGAATATTTTTTTTCCTTCTCTCTCCCTCTCTCCCACTTTCGCGTTCTCTTTCTCCGCTATTAGCAGCCGCGGACTCCTGAGAGCGTGGCCTGGCGTCCGCACAGGGTGGAATTCGTATTTGGCCAGGAATCCGGACTCCGATCATCCCAGGAGACGCGGACCGGGGGCCTCCAGAGCTCTCCGGAGCGTGCTGCCGCTCCCCACCAGCCACCAGGGACTCGGAGGCCCTTCCTGGGTCCGGAGAAGCGACGGGGACACTTAGGGGAAAACTTTGCCAACTTCGCTCTTGGCGCGGAAGAGGCCGCTGGCCGGAATGGTGCAGCAGCGGCGGCGGGCCGCGACGCGCAGGGTGGGCCCCGGGCCAGTGCTGGGCACCCTGGAGCGCGTCGGGATGCCCAAAGTGGGGCGTGAGGCCGGTGGGCTCTTTGCTCCTCCGCTTCGCCCCTGCGCCTCCCGCGACCCGTCTCACTTCCCTGCGTCTCTGAGCGGCCCGAGAGGCGCAGCGCTCAGAGTGGCCTTGATGGAAGAACCTGGCCCTCGGCGGGAACGATTTTCTTTTGCTTTACCTCTTCTGGATCAGCCGTTTTCCACCTGACTTGAGCAGCCCCCTCCCCCATGCCTTTTTTTTCTCGTTCCCTCCGTCTGTCCTCACAATTTCCTCTATCTTCGATTTCTAGATCATTCGCTTTTCTTCTCTTTCCTCCGCTTCCTCATTGTGCTGTTTTTATGCCTTTGCCCTGGACCACTTTTCAGTTCACTTTTCTCCCTTCTGCTCCCTCCCTCACCCCCTTCTTAATGTCTCTTTTTTCCTCGCCCTGAGTCTGTGACTGTGTCCCTTTCCCCCATCTGCAGTTGCCGTTTTTGATTTTCTTTCTTTCCTCCCCACTTCCATCCGGATCCTCTCCTATTTCCTCCTTGGATTTCTGTCTCTCAGGTTCTGTCTCTCAGGTTCTCCTCTCCGTAAATATTCTCTCCTCTCCCTCTCCGGGATCCGTCCCCTCCCCCACGTGGATCTGCCTCCCCGGCGCCCCCTCCTCATTCATCCTGGGAGATGAATTTGTCGCCTTATTGGACGCCGAGGCCAGAGCCGTGTGAGGGGGCTCGGCCAGCGCTGTGCATTTTCTTCATGCATATTGAGGAGATGGTAATGAGCGCGTTTGCATTGTTGCTTGGAAATGTTGTGTTTCCTGCCGCAGTTCGCAGTTCGGAGTGGGCGAGGGTGGTGTGGGCCCAGGACAGCCCCTCAGTAGGCACCCGGCCTGGCGGCCGCCGCTGACCCTCTCCGGATTCCCGGGCTCTGGGGGCCGGGGGAGGAAGCGACCTTGCCGAGCTCCTGACCCGGCCGCCGCCTCCTCCTCCGGTTTGTCCACAAAGGCCGTCGCGCTCCCCTCATTAAAGCCTCGTTACAGGAACCCCCGGCTGGCTCGCGACGGCTCCTCCGAGCCCCCCTGCCCACCGGCCTCTGAGCCCCTCCCCTGATTTGAGAGGCCTGTGATGGAGCGCCACCAGAAAATTAGTGCCTGACAACGTCGTCTATTGGCAATAAATTGAGATTCCAAGTGACACGTCGCGGGATCAAACACAGCCACATTGTTGTGTACCCTGCTCCGCTCGCTCCTCGTTAATCTTGGAGGGCGCCTTGGCATCGCTTGGCCAGGGGAGGTTGTAGGCAGGCCTTTCGGCTGTCAGGACTCGGATCCTGCCTCTGCCCTGGCTGAGCCCACTTCAGTCATTCAGGAGGGACTGACTGCCCCTCCCTGATAAGGTCCAAGGCGCTCAGGAGGCGTGACCCAGGAACGCCTTTCAATAAGCTGAAGGTTTATTAAAGTCAGGAGCTTCGAGGGGCAAACTCTGAGTTAAGCTTGTGGGGAATCGACGTGAGCCTTGCTGGGAATTCAGAACATCAAGGTCTGGCCTTGTCTGGAATTGTCTGGTGTCGAGTTTCCCAAACTTCAAGCTTCCCGCTACTACCTTTATTATTTACTTAACATTTTTCCTTAAATTGACTCATTTTTAAAATCAAAGTACATATTTTTGGAAAGAAAATCTGATACTACCACTGTAAATTGAAAAGTAGCTGTTACTCACCAGAAAAGGAAGTGGTAAAAGATAAACACAGCTAAAACCAAGCAATGTTAATACATGTTAGCCGTTTTGCTGGCTTGGAAAGACTCCTAGAGGCTCAGGTGTGTGTGTGTCATTAGCAAGTGTTGGAAGTGTTAAATACTGAATCTTTCTCGGAAGAAATGAGACAATTGAAAAGAGAATGTTTCTCACTATTCAATGTTCATTTAATTCAGTGTTAATTTAATTCTCTGATCCAAGACTGCACACTACCTAAAATAATGTTGACAACCTCAAGAGCTAGGACTGTTGAGGAGCGTATAAAAAAATTAAGATTAGGCTGGGCGCGCGGTGTCTCACACCTGTAATCCCAGCACTTTGGGAGGCCGAGGTGGGCGGATCACCTGAGGTCAGGAGTTCGAGACCAGCCTGGCCAACATAGTGAAACCCCATCTCTACTAAAAATACAAAAATTAGCTGGGCATGGTAGCAGGTGCCTGTAATCCCAGCTTCTCAGGAGGCTGAGGCAGGAGAATTGCTTGAGCCCAGGAAGTGGAGGTTGCAGTGAGCTGAGATCGCGCCATTGCACTCCAGCCTGGGGGACAAGAGCGAGACTTTGTCTCAAAAAAACAAAGAAAAAAGAAAAAAAAGATTAAAAACATAATGTTGATTTATTATTATTTACCAAATAATTGTGTTAAGCATTTTCAAACTGTATCATATTTAATTCTCACTATAAGTCTACAAGCTAGAGGCTATCCAGGGTGGCCATGTGTGGTAGTACAGGATGTTCATTGAACAAGGGCACCGACGGGCTAAAAGGGTGTGAAGTCTAGCCCTGCTGTGTTCACCAATATGTGTACCTTGGCTTGGGGCCACACTGGAGGAACAGTACCTTTCTCTCATGTACACAAATTTTATACAAAATTGGCACAAAATTGGGTTATGACCTAACCCTAATCTTAGAGATGGGGAAACTGAGGCTTAGAGAGTTTTGCAAAGCCCAGGCTGAAATCCTGTCTGATATTTTTAACTATGATCCCTTTGGGAGGGAGAGCAGTCCTTTTGGGGGCTTGGGAGGAGATGATGAGAGTTTGGGGGAGAGATGCTGAAAGACTAGTCCCTGGTTTGACTGAAGGAAAGGGGCGATCAGGCTGCCCAACTTTACCTCCCCCTGAATCTTCACACTTCCCACAAATATTGGGGAAGATTTGGGCAAAAATACAACTGGGGTCAAGGATCCATTATCCCTGCTAATGACTAGGTTGAGGGAGAGGAAAAAGGTGTTCTGGTCTGCTTAGGCCTAACTCTGGATGTCTGGAACTGTTTCTTGACTTTGTTGTTTTTGTTCAGCTTACCTGCATGAGTCTATGCACCAGAGTTCTGTCTTGTTCTCATTTACACTGTTTGGAAATTTCAGATTCTTAAAGACAAACTGACAGATTGCAGTGCACCAGCGGTTGTGAATCAGTGATTGCCTCTGATCACAGGCTCTTTTTTTTTTTTTGGTTTGGCCTCCATAGTGGCCTTTCCCCCCCCTTTTTGATTGAATTGCTTGCTAACACTTGCTACTTAGGTGATTTCATTTAAAAATCTAGGCCTTAGGGTTTGTTTAAAAAATTGGAAGGCTAAGAAATACAAGACTTCTTTATGAGAACAAATACCCAGATTTCATAGCTGCTGCCCTTCTACCTGGACACACTCTAGTTTGCTCCAGTCCCCATCTGGCCCACGTCTCTCAATTGCTTTCAGGCAGCTGAATTTGTTATCCCTACTTTGTATCATCAGCTGTGATAATGGGACATGCTTGCAAGTAGACACTGTCCTCCAATGTGAGGGACCTAGCACATGCTAGGTCAGCATGGCAAGTGACTCTTCTCTCTGCCATGCTTCTGGTTAGCTGGGCAGCTGCTTTGCCATGGTGGGGTAAGGGTGAGGGTAGGTGTCTAAGAGTGACAGGAATGAATAGTCCTGACTCCCCGGAGACTATCCAGGTATCACAGCTGGGCCTATTCTCAAGCTCCTGGGAAGAGAATGGGAAGAAAGATCCTGCAACAGGAATTAGGAGGAAGCCCCAACTTTTTCTTGATTCCCCCACACCTTAGGCCCAGCCCTCCCTTGAGTCCCATGCACCATCTTAAACATGTCAAGCCAGAAAAGCTGCATTTTCCCTTCTTTTCTCCCTCTCTCCTTTTTTCTTTGCAACACGTATTTACAGAGTGCCTTCCATGTGCCAAGGAGCAGTGCTAAGTGCTGGGGATAGAGTGGTGAATTAGAGAAGTACCTTGTTGTAATAGAGCTTAGATTTTAGTGGGGCAATTAGATACTGAAAAGGGACACACACAGGACAGCTGAAGATAGCGTTACATTCTACAAAACAAACAATAACACACCGTGTACTGGTTGGGATAGCGTCCTCCCCAGATTCAAGTCCTTCCCAGAACCTCAGGGTGTGATCTGATTTAAAAACACGGCCATTGCAGATGCTGAAGTTTCATCTCATGCTTGAGTGAGGTGGACTCTTAATCCAATATGACTAGTGTCCTTCTAAGAAGAGAAAAGATACAGAGACTGTGACCCAAGGGAGAAGACAGCCACCTGAAGACAGAGGCAAAGATTGGAGTGATGCGGCTATAATCCAAAGAATGCAAGGGGTTGCTGGCAGCCACCGGAAGCTGACAGGGGGTGGGAAAGGCTTCTCCCCTAGTGGCTTCAGAGGGACCAGAATGCTGTCAATACCTTGATTGCAGATTCTGGCCTCCAGAACTGCAAGATAGTGAACCTCTGTTGTTTTAAGCCACCTAGTTTGTGGTAATTTCTTATAGCAGCTCTGGGAAACAAATGCCCAAGATGACGTGAGAGGAGGCAGGAGGGCCGCAGCTTTAGATAAATGGCACAATCACAGGAGGCATTTGTGAGGAGGTAACAATTTAGTGGAAGTGGAACAAGTCACGAAAAACCTGGGGAAAGTGTATTTTAGAGCTGCTATGTCCAGTGCAGTAGCCACTAGCCATATGTGGCCATGGAGCCCTTGAAATGCAACTGGTCCAGACTGAGATATGCCAAACATGTGAAATACACACCAGATTTCAAAGGCTTGGGAAGAACAGAAATAATGTAAAATATCTTTATTTTATTTTATTTTATTTTATTTTACTTTTTTGAGACAGAATCTTGCTCTGTTGCCCAGGCTGGAGTGCAGTGGTATGATCTTGGTTCACTGCAACATCCACCTCCCGGGTTCAAGCAATTCTCCTGCCTCAGTCTCTTGAGTAGAGTAGCTGGGACTACAGGCTCCTGCCACCATGTCCAGCTAATTTTTGTATTTTTAGTAGTGATGGGGTTTCACCATGTTGGCCAAGCTGGTCTCGAACTCCTGACATCAAGTGATCCGTCCACCTCGGCTTCCCAAAGTGCTAGGATTACAGGTGTGAGCCACTGTGCCTGGCCTCTTTTAATTAATTTTAAAATATTGATTACACATGGAGATGATTGCATGATGTGTTAGTCTACTTGCATTGCTATAAAGGAATACCTGAGACTGAGTAATTTATCAAGAAAAGAGGTTTATTTTGGCTCATGGTTCTACAAACTGTATAGAAAGCATGGTGTCAACATCTGCTTCTGGTGAGGGCTGCAGGAAGATTACAATCATGGTGGAAGGCAAAGGGGGAGCAAGCACATCAGATGGTGAGAGAGGAGCAGTAAAGTGAGGAAGTTCCAGGCTCTTGTTTTTCTTTTTTGTTTGTTTGTTTGTTTGAGATGGAGTTTCACTCTTGTTGCCCAGGCTGGGGTGCAATGGCACGATTTCGGCTCACTGCAACCTCTGCCTCCTGGGTTCAAGCAATTCTCCTGCCTCAGCCTCCCAAGTAGCTGGGATTACAGGTGCCTGCCACCATGCCTGGCTTTTTGTATTTTTAGTAGAGACAGGGTTTTACCATGTTGACAGGGCTGGTCTCAAACTCCTGACCTCAGGTGATACGCCCACCTCGGCCTCCCAAAGTGTTGAGATTACAGGCATGAGCCACTGTGCCTGGCCTCTGGCTCTTTTAAACAACCAGATCTCGTGTGAACTCATAGAGTGAGAACTCATTCATTACCACAAGGATGGCACCAAGCCATTCATGAGGGATCCACCCCTATGACCCAAACACCTTCCACCAGGCCCCACTTCTGATATTGGGGATTACATTTCAACATGAGATTTGGTGGGGACAAACATCCAAACAATATTAAATGAGTCATCTATTGAATGTCACTCTTTGGGGTGGACAAGGGAAGAGGATGTGAAGAGGAACAAGACATGGGTCCCAGCCTCAAGGAGAGGGGCCATCCGGATATATTGGGCTAAACAAAGTATGCTATTAACATTTATTTTACTTTTTACTTTTCTAAATGTGGGAACTAGAAGATTTTGGCTAATGAAATATGAGCAAATTTTTACATTTATGGCTCCTATTATATTTCTACTGCATTATATTATTCTAAACAGAAGATACAGCAAGTGCAAAGGCCCTGTGGTAGGGACCGAGCTTCCTGTGTTTGGTGGTTCTGTACTCAGTCTGCATGTTGATACTTACTTGCTAATGTCACTAGACCTGGAGAGGTGATGTGGGAAGCCCTGTTGAACTTACAAGGGGGAGTCTATGAGTCTTTGTCCTTTCTTCTCAAGCAGAGAGCAAGGTCATGAAATTCAGCCCTTCAGACTGATGCCTCCTTCTTACTTGCAAATCTCACCTGCTCCTTTAGACCTCAGATGGAGAAAGAAGACAGCCCCAAACTTCCTGCTTAGTATGTCGATTTAACCATCTCCCTAAGCTTGTCAGTGTGAAGGACATGGAGCTAGGACTAACTCCAGAAGTCTCCTTGTGTGCTGATGGCTGGCACCAAGGCCATGGTATTACAGTATAGAGCAGAGACTCCCCAAACCCACAGCTTGCAAAGTGAACTAGAAGGACCAGGTTAGTTCATTTATTAAGCTAGAATTTTGTTCTTCTAAGACAGAGTTTACAAAAGGGCATCTTGGGGCTAACTCCCACATGTTTTGATCATTTTGCGTGGTTTCACAATTCTTTTTAGGTGTAATTGAATTGCTGCATCAGTCAGGTTGGGCTGGGCTTTGCTGCAGTAACAAATAAGCCTCGTATCTTCATGGCTGGTAGTCACCCACTCTATATGTTGTTTGCTATGACATTACTCCATGCCTTCTGCACTTCAGGATCCTGTCTGACAGAATAGCTTCTATCTGGAGTGTTGCTGAATGCCATGACCAAGAGCAATAGGGCACGGTGTACCACAGACTGGCTCTTGAAATTTCTGTTTGGCAGCAACCCATGCTACTTCTGCTGATATTTCATTGGCCAAAGGAATCTTGTAACCATGCTTAAAGTCAAGAGGGCAGGGATGCATATGCCCCCTGCAGGGAGGGGCACTCTATGGGTCACCTCCTGTGCATCCCTTCAAATCCTTTTAGGCCCACCTTCTATTCCAGCCACTGTTTCAACAACCCTTGAGCAGGGCTAGCCTGACAGTACCCACTACATACCTCTTACTTTTCTGATGCAGTGCCCTGGGTACCAGCAGGAACCTGTGAGCACTCACACACATGCCACCTGCAAGTGCAGAGGAACTTTGCAAGATAGGCCAAAGAGGGCTATCTTTGGCCAAAGGGGAGGGCATGGATGAATAACTGTCCCCCTCCGTTCTCAGGGCAGGCAGTTAGTTCTGAGATGCTAGCACCTAGAGCAGCACTCACTCCAATTACCCGTCCTTACCCATACTTACCCATCCTTACATGGCTTACCTCTCATCCCTGTCTCACTCCCTGGGCCTGCACTTACTCCTAGGGATCATTTCCCCAGTAAACGACCTGCATGTAAGCCTTTGCCTGGGGACCTACTACAGAGGGAAACCAAGCTGAGACAGACAGGAAATTGGTGGACAGTAACACAATCTATCACTATTGCCCATACTGCAAAGTTAGAAGGTTTAATATAAAATTTCAGTGGTAAGCTTTTCTTGATAAATCAGATCTGGCAGCACATAACTGAAATTCTGGCAAGTCCACAAGAGGCTAGACTTGAATAGGGGCAGTGGCTTCCTTGAGATGGGATCCAAGCTCTTTCTTGATAACATTTGCTATCTGAGAAGGAAAGTCTTCACTTTTTCATGCTGTCTACCTGGCTCCAGGAGTCTTTTGGGTTTTTTTGTTGTTGTTGTTTATTTGTTTTAAATCTTTGTTATAGGAACTGTTGCTTGAGCTAGATATCTATGAATCCTTGGAAATTTTTTTTTTTTAATTATATGGAGAATTTTCTCATTTTGGGGGGGTTTTATTTACTTATTTTGTTTCTCTTTGTCTGTTTTATAACAAAAGGATCAATTAAAAAAGAAAAAAAAACAACTTAGACTGGCAGTGCCAGGCTGGCAGGGACAGCCTGTCTGGTCACCACTGTATTCTCAGTGGTATATAGTAGGTGCATAAAGAATCTTTGCTGAATGGATGACAAGATGAGTGACTGAGGTAGCCTGTTCCCAGTATGATCCTGAGCTCCTGACTCTCATGTCCTTGTAGCGCCTACTCTCTTTGAGTACGGGCTAAACTTATTGTTTGCCTCTAATTTAGCAATAGGATGCCACTTCTGAGATTAGGTTATAAAAAAGACTATGGCTTCTGTCTTGTCCCTCTCTTACTCTCTCTCTAACATCCACAGCTGTGATGCCACGAGAATACTCAGATAGCACACGGACAGGCCCACATGGCAATGAATTGCAACTTGCCAGCAACCATGTGGGTTAGCTTGAAGTGAATTCTCTAGTCCTGTGTCTTCAGGTGACTGTAGCCCTGGCTGACCATGTGACTGAACCTGAGGAGAAGCTGAGCCAAAGGCACACAGATAAGCTGCACCTGGATTCCTGACTACAGAAACTGTGAAGTAATAAATGTTTGCTGTTCAAAGCCAAGGGTTGGCAAAATATATTCCACTTGTTTCTGTAAATAAAGTTTTACTGGAACACGGTAATGTTCACTAATGTGCCTATTGTTATGGCTGCTTTCATACTTCAACAGTAGTAGCTATTGAGTAGTTGCAGCAAAAGACTATATGTCCACAGGACTAAAATATTTACTATGTGGCCCTTTAAGGAAAAGTTTGTCTATCCCTGTTTTAAGCTGCTAAGTTTGGGAAAAATAGTTACCTAGCAATGGATGACAAATACAATAGCTTTCAAATCCAAAACATTGGTCCTAACTGGGCTTGCAGGTCTTGAGGTAGGGCATCTAATTTCAGTTTAGCTTCGTTTAATAGATATTAACTGAGCACCTAGTGTGTGCCAGGCATGGTCTCAATAATATTGCAGAATGCCACATTCAGTTCTTTCTGCACTGTCCCCTCCAGCATTTTCTTGGTCTGTGGCATGATTTGCCAAATATTTGTGGATTTAAGTTGGATTTTAGAGACTGGAATTAGCAAGACGCTCTTTGGAATGCAACAGATAACTCTGTAATCATGGGGAGGTGAGCAGGGAGCAGGAAGATATTTAGCTGGTATTTCCATGCAAAGTTCTGATAGTTGTTAAAATATGGAAATATTTCCATCCCTCCCTACGGAAATACAGGGCCCCAAAGGCCCTACCTCCAGTAACCAAAGGGGTGAAGTGTAGCACAGCAGGGGCCACCCACAATTCTGAGGGCCACTCTAATTTGTCAGTTCCCATGCCATGCTAGTGATTAAATATTAGCACATGGTTCCAGGACAAACTTCTGGCTTGTGCAGCAGGGGTGCTCAGTAATGTTGCCTGCATGATGGAATTCATAGACATCTATTGAATATTTGCCCCTTTTTGGCGTGCACAGGGAAGAGGATGCAAAGAGGAACAAGATGTGGGTCCCATCCTCAAGGAGAGGGGCCACCTGATCTCTAAGTGTGTCTAATCCTCTCTTGGCAGGAGGGTCTGGAGCCAGACCTTCAGGGTTGAAATCCAACCCCACTTCTTACCAGCTGTTTGACCTTGAGCCAGTGATTCAGCACCCTGTGTGCCTCAGTTTCCTCCTCTGTGACAATAATAGTTCCTACCCCACAGCATTTTAGGGATGTGCTAACAGTAATGCCTCGTACCTGGTTAGCACTCAGAAAATGTTAGAAAAAGAATGATCACCGTTCAGGAGCCAAAAGAACATTCTCTGACGGGTCATTATAATATCAAGATGTACATTCAAGAAGAGTTGTCAGTTTTTTTGTTTTTTTAATTGAGACGGAGTTTTGCTCTTGTTGCCCAGGCTGGAGTACGATGGTGCGATCTTGGCTCACTGCAACCTCTGTCTCCAAGGTTCAAGAGATTCTCCTGTCTCAATCTCCCAAGTAGCTGGGATTACAGGCATGCAACACCATGCCCGGCTCATTTTGTATTTTTAGTAGAAATGGAGTTTCACCATGTGGGTCAGGCTGGTCTCGAACTCCTGACCTCAGGTGAACCACCTGCCTTGGCCTCCCAAAGTGCTGGGATTACGGGTGTGAGCCACTGCGCCCGGCCAGGAAGAGTCAATTGATCATGGACTAGATTTCTGGCTCTGGTCTAGGCCCCATGCAGGCAGACAGGGCTGGCTTCATGGGCATGTGGCCTGTGCACAGAGACCTTCCTTTGGTTTAATGCTCTGCTGTTGCCATCTTGAGATGCTAAAGAATTTTCGAACAAGTGCCTTGCAGTTTTATTTTGCACTGGGTCTCAGATTATGTAATTGGTCTTGCTTACAGAGGTGGACATGGCAAACTTCTGATCATCAGGAGCTTTGCAAGTCTGCCCCGGGGAGCTAATGGGCCCGCCCATCTTTTCATCACAGAGCTACAGGCATTCTGGTGCAACACTGGGCCTAAGGCTGGCTCCCATGCGTCTTGGTTGGGTTGAAGCAGCCAAAGAGACCTCCCTGAGGCCACAAAGGAAGCCGCATCAAGGGCCTAGCATGTCTTATACCACCATCAAAACCTGGAGAGGAAAACCGATAAGGAGATCAGGTCCCATGATGCATCCGGTTAAGGGAATGCTGCTTGGATTTATTTTCCGCAAGAGGAGTAAGGCCTTGAATTCTGAAATATTTTTGAAACCTTTGGAAAATCCCCCTTTAATCACTGATGACAGGTTGACATTTTTCCAGCTGTTTAGAAGCACTAGACAAGTCAAGTTGCTTGGCAGGGCACAGGCTGGCATGCTGGGATATGTGTGGGTTCTAACCTCCTTCCCTTTCCCTGGTTCCTTGCAGCTCTGAGGAAAAAGAAGAGAAAAATAAACCAACCAAAACAAAAGCCAGGCTCTTGCAGTGTTCATGCCAGTCTATGCCATCTGCATTTGGGGATTTGCTCCTGAAAGTAAAATCTTAATTGGGTAACTTTTTAACTTTTTCCTTCTTCTTCCCAGCTCATGGATTCACCTTTTCGGCAGCGTCCCACTACAGCAGCTTGTATATCTCTCTGTCATTAAATCTACTTCTAGGTTGAGAGAATTGTTTTATTGGCTCATCAGGTGCCAGCGTGAATCCTTTATTTGCTTCCATCCCCAATTCCAGGTGTGATCAAGACCTGGGTGTGGAGTAGAATCCAGGTTCCACCATGAGCGAACCTGTTGGTTACGGGTATGTGCCCAAATCCCAGCTCTGCTTCTCAGTCTCTAGGGGGCCTTGGAGAAGTGACTTGGCCTCTCTGTGCTTCTGTTTCCCCATCTGTAAAATGCTATGAGAAGAATGACATGACTTCACACATGTAAAGCTCTTAGAACACATAATTAAGTGCATAGGCACATAATCATATATTTAACATTGTATATATATATAATGGGTGATATATATATATATAATGGGTGATATAGATACATAATGGATGATATAGACATATATATATAAAATGGGTGATATATATATGATATATATATATATATATAATGGGTGATATATATATATGTGTATATATATATATTCCCTTAACAGGATGCATATATATATATATATATATGGTGATATATATATATATATATATATATATATATATATATATATATATATATATATATAACAGGATGCATATATATATATATATGCATCCTGTTAAGGGAATGTGTATATAGATATATATATCTGTCACCCAGACCGGAGTGCAGTGGCATGATCTTGGCTCTCTGCAACCTCCGCCTCCCAAGTTCAAGCGATTCTCCTGCCTTAGCCTACCAAGTAGCTGGGATTACAGGTGTGTGTCACCATGCCTCTCTAATTTTTGTATTTTCCATAGAGACGGGGTTTCGCCATGTTGGCCAGGCTTGTCTCAAACTCCAGACCTCAAATAATCCTCCCATCTCGGCCTCCCAAAGTGCTGGGATTACAGGCGTGAGCCACTGTGCCTGGACTTAAACATATTTTAAAGGCATCTTTTCCATTTATTATTATGGATGGATACAGTACTACCTCCACCATCCTATTCCCCTATTGATAAAAGCTCACAGGTACATAACACTCAACATGTTCCAGGTGCAATTTTAAGCCTTTTGCAAATATTTCCAAGCTTAAATCTCAAAACAACCTTATGAGGCAGGGACTATTGTTTCTCCCATTTTGTAGATGAAGAAAACTGAGGCACAGAGAGGTTAAATAACTTGTCTGAAGTCATGCAGCTAGTAAGTGTCAGAGCCAAAGTTCATACTCAGAAATTCAGCCCTAGAGGCACCCTACTCTTAACCATGGTGCTCTGTTAATATGTATAACTTGTGCCTTGCTGAACATTTAGAGTTTTTTCTTTTTCAATAAAAATGTAAACTTACTGTTGAAGAATGCATGAGTATCAAAAGTGTAGGATGGGCTGGGCATGGTGGCTCATGTCTAGAATCCCAGCGCTTTAGGAGGCTGAGGCAGGAGTGTAGCTTGAGCCCAGGAGTTAGAGACCAGCCTGGGCAACATAGTGAGACCCTGTCTCTACCAAAAATCAAAAAATTAGCTAGGCATGGTGACACATGTCTGTGGTCCAGCTACTTGGGAGGCTGAGGTGGGGAGATCTCTTAAAGCTGTAAAGTCAAGGCTGCAATGAGCTGTGATCACACCACTGCACTTCAGCCTGGGCAGCTAAGCCAGACCCTGTATCCAAAAAAAAAAAAAAAAAAAAAGTGTAGAATGCATTCATTTTCACAAACTGAGAACACCGATGGAACCATCACGCAAACTTCAACACAGATGATAACACTCTCTCAGAAGCCCCTTGGGTCTCCTTGTAGTCACTCCCTCACCCCAAAGGTAGCTGCTAGCCCCACGTCCAACAACAGAGATTTGTGTTGCCTATTTTTGTACTTTATGAAAATGGAACCAAGCGGTATGAGTTCTTTCATTTCTGGTGTCTTTGGCTTGACATTGTGTTTGTGATTTATCCTTATCGTTGCATACGGTTGTAGATTGTTTATTCTTATTACCACGTAGTGTTCCACTCACAGTTTATCTATCTATTCTACCGTTGAGGGGCATTTGGGTAGTTTTTGTGAGTAATGCTGCTAGGAGCATTCTGGTGCATGACTTTCAGGGGGTGGATGGGTGCATTTCTGATGGGCGTGTCCCTAGGAGTGAAACCGCTGGGTCAGAGGGGATACATCTGCCAGTCAGTTTGCTGGAGGCTTTTCAGTGTGTTGAGCGATGGGGTAGGGGAATGAAATGGAGGGTTGGGCATTTTGTAAGTGATTTCTCTTGCTTCTGGCCATCGACTGGAAATAAAACATGACATTTGGACCTGGTGGAAGGCCGAGTCATCAAGGCATGCCAGGAGATTATTTATGGGGTTTTGTTGAACATCCCACCTTTCTTTAATTTCTTCAGGATATCCTCTTCCTGTAAAGTGAGCTGAAAGGGCAAACTGTGAGGGTTTCATGGTGTCACTGTTAGAACTGTGAGGCAATGCTGTCAGCTAAAAACAGTGGGGCCGGTGCAGAAACCGTCACCGAGGGAAGCCTGCGGGCATGGCACTAGCGCCTCTCAGCAGCCCCAGAATCCACCATGGATGATCAGGTGGATCATCTACTCATTCACTTGCCAAACCCTGATTGAGCACTCTGTGTGTGGCCAGCCATGTGCTGGGCGCTGGGGACAAAGCACTATACAAGGCTGGCCAAGTCCCTGCCCTGTCTGAGCTTACCTTCTCCTGGGGATATAAACATGAACATGAGCAAATTAAAAAAAAATATTTTCAGGCTAGGCACAGTGGCTCATACCTGTAATCCCAGCACTTTGGGAGGCCAAGGTGGGTGGATCATCTGAGGTCAGGAGTTGGAGACCAGCCTGACCAACGTGGTGAAACCCCGTGTCTACAAAAAGTATAAAAAATTAGTTGGGCATGGTAGTGGGTGCCTGTAGTCCCAGCGACTTGGGAGGCTGAGGCAGGAGAATCACTTGAACCTGGGAGGCAGAGGTTGCAGTGAGCTGAGATTGCACCAATGCACTCCATCCTGGGCAACAATAGTGAAACTCTGTCTCAATTAAAAAAAATTTTTTTTTTCAGAGCATGATAAGGAAATGAAAAGAATGAAATGGGGGGATGGGAAAATGAGTGCTTGGGGAGGGAGGCAGTACTGGAGACAGCCCAGGGAAAGCCAGTTTGAGGACGTTATATTCGTAAGCTTGGAAATAACGGTTGAGCAGGGCTGGCCTCGTGAGCGTGCACACCTGTGCACTTGCTAATGCTCTGCTGTTGCTGTCTTAAAGGTCATCATAATTTTTGAACAAGGGGCCCCGCATTTCCATTTCACACCAGGCTCTGCCAATCGCATAACTGGCCCTCTCAGATTGTTCAGGTTTCTAGAGAAGATGAAACCTCCCACCATCTCTTCTGGGATGGGGAACAAAGCAGCTACCTTGCAAAAACACCTCCAATGGCTAAACAATGAGGACAGCCTCTGTTTCCCCTGCCCCTTCCCCTTCGCCCTCATTTCTTTGCATCTTACAAGGTCTCAACCTGGCCTGGGAGCTTCAGTGAGAGCAAATCAGGATCCAAGTAGAGCAGGCTCTTTTGATGTGGGCTTTTCATGGCTTAGAAATCTTGCAGTTCCCATCCCTGGAGGCCCCTGGGTGATTAATGATAATGGGGCTTTCTCCGTTGTGCTAACCAGAAGGAAGGAAGGAAGAGTGCTTTGAAAGGAGAGGGTGTCCAAGTGCTAGGCTCTTGTAATTCAAGGCCCCTGGGGAGGAAAGTTTAACCTCTCACACAGGGCCTGGCTGGGTTGCTGGCTGGGGTGACTTTGGGGAGCCGGATGGGCTGGTGACCTGGATCGGGTCATCGGGCTATGACCCCAGGTCATCTCTGTTGTGCTTTGAAGATCAGCTACTGCATCAGGAACAGCTGAGGCCCAGAGACTGCTGCTGAGGATCTGAGACCCCTGCAAAATCCAAATTCTGGACTCATCCACCAGGATGCTGCCAGCGTCTCAGGAGCCCTGTGTTCCAGGCAGAGCCCCAGAACCCAGGGCATCTGCAGACAGAGGTCCAAATCTTCTACACATAACATGAGCCTCATAACACCCATGTCTCCACTTTTTCAATGTGCTTGTTGATGTCAGATACCGTAAAGTATGGGGAAAGAATAAAGGGTAGTGAAGTGTGGAAGCTGGGCTGGCTGATACCTGCCCTAGTGGACATTGACTGTGTGTACTATAAAAACAGCGCTTCCCTTCCCACTTGTGAGCACAGCATCCGCACCTTCTTGAGGAACTACATCTTTCTCAGCCTCAGGTCTTGTTTTGGATGGCAGGCTCCAGCAGTGAGGGTGTGGCCCAGGCCTTGGTAAGAAGCATACTAAGCATACTTGGTGTCACAAGACAGGGTCATGGGTTCAAAATTGAGCACCAGACTCAAAGGAGTCCCATGATGCTCAACTGTGTTGCTGCTGTTGTGTTTTACTCTGAAACCACTGGGCAAAGGAGACTCCTTTCCTGGTAGGAGTGGCTGAACTGGGGGGATATGGCGTGGAGCTGAGGATGGCTATCTCATCACTGCAGGGCAGACATTGAGTGAGATGGTGAAAAGAACACAGAGAAAGGCAGAGCTGAGACATGAGGAGGGGTTGGGGAGGAAAGAATGAGCCCGATTACATTATTACACAGAGCTAGAGGGCTTGGATCTAGCCATGCCTGAAATCCACATGGTTTCCTTATTTGCTTCAGTCGGTTTGAGTTGGGTTTCTGTTTTTTTATGACCAAGAGGCCCAGCAAATATATCTACTCAGATGTTAGGGGGTTAATATTTGGCTGAATATTTTTAATTCTGTCTTTCTAGCTAGTCCCCAGCTTTGGGGACTGTAAGTTCCCTAAAGGCAGGAACCAGGCTAGCTGTGGTCAGCAGGATTTGTGGTGTATGTTGATGGGAGACTGAGCAGAATGTTGACTGTGGTGAGGCAAAGACAAAATGATTGGAGCATTGGGGAGGGGAGGAGAGTGCATGGAGACAAGGCACGTTGAAGGCTCCCTCGTTCTCGCATGACTCTGTGCGATCTCTGGGCTGGAGGCTGAGGCTGCAGCAAAGGGCGGTCCACACACTGTGTCTGTCCTCACACTGTGTCTGCCCTCACACTGTGTCTGCCCTCACAGAGTTCACCATGAAGCAGGGCAAACAGGCACCAAACAAGACATCATAGTAATGACGTTTCATAGACACAGATAGGGGTCGTTTATGTGTGTGCATGTGTGTATGTATTTACGTTCTCTGTTTCTTTGTCTCTGTCTCTTTCTGTCTCTGCCCATCTCTCTTTCTAAATATATATGCAAGTCATATATATATCTCCCTAAGGTCCTCATAAATAAGCTCCTTAATGTAAAATTGTTGTGGGAAGCATGCGGTCACTCTGGGTAGCCCAGGGAGTGCCTGTCCCCAGGAGAAATAGAAGATTGTGTCAGGGCACCTGGCAGTGTTCAGAGCAGCCTGGCCATGACACCCCAGCCAGCAGAGTGCTTTTGTGGAAGGATGTGTGCCTGGTGCCTTCGGAGTCATTTGCTTATGACCTGCAATGGCCAAGATGGCTGCTGTGGTGAGTGCTGAGGTACTTTTCTAAATTCTGCAAAAGGGAGAAGGCAGAGCCTCATAGCCACCTGTCTTTACAAGTTTCCAGAGTCTTTTCCCTAGACTTGCTCTCTGCCTCTAAGGGAGCTGAGACTGGGAGAAGACAAATGTATAAACAGTATCGGCCATTGGGAAATGGCTTTTTCTCGTGTTGCCATGAGGCCTGGGTAGGAGGTGCTCTGTGGGTGAAGACAAGGGAGAGTGTCTCATACCTCTTTGGTGAATGGTCATCCAGAGTAAGGGTGTGTTCCCATGAGCTGAGGGCACATACCCAGTTGCTGTTTTGATGGACAGCCCTGCCAGATGGAGGCTTCAGCCTGCCTCTCTGTACCTGCTCTATCTGTGCCACACAAGAAACCAGGCCCCAGTGGTTGGAGCCCTGGAGAGACAGGAAAGGATGAGGGTATAGAGATGTGCAGAGCAGGGGCTTTGGAATCAGACTGGCCTGGATCCTGGCCCTGCCCCTTTCTATGCCAGTGACACTTGGGAAGTAACTTACCCCTCTGCATGCCAGTTTCCACATCTGTAAAATGGGGATTCTTGCAGGGTTGCACGCCCAGGATGGTGCTAATGATGATGATTCCTGGGCAGAGAGGTTTGAGTGATGGGAATTTTCTTTGTCCTTTTCTGTACTTTCCAATTTTTGTCTGATGTAAATGTAAATATTTTTAATTCAGAGAAAAACAATGTGTGCTATTAGAAAATAAAAACATTTTTTGAAAGATTGGAGAGCACTTGGTAAGAGGAAAGATAAGAAGAGAGAGAGTGGAATTTGGAGGCAACCAGCAGTCATTTTGTTGCATGGCTACCATGGACTGATCAGAAGCATGAGTCTCTTCTGGGGGCAACTTGGGAGCCCAGAGGTCTGCAGTGGGCCAGGGAAGCCTGGACTGTGATGCAAGACTCCTTGCCACACCCTGAGAAGGGGCTGACGCTGCACTTTCCATCAGGATTGGAACAGCACAGTGGAAGGACAACAGGAGTGTGAAGGGGTTGGACAAGGAGGGAGAGAGAACCAGTCCCCGTGGAATTGATGAGGGCAGAGGAGAGGCCCAGAGGACAGACACCCACACCAAAAGAAGGTCACAAGGTTTGTAAAAAGAAAAATAGAAAGAAGGCTGGGTATGGTAACTCACGCCTGTAATCCCAGCACTTTGGGACGCCAAGGCGGGCAGATCACTTGAGGCCAGGAGTTTGAGACCAGCCTGGCCAACATGGCAAAACCCTGTCTCTAAAAGAAAAACCCTGTCTCTAAAAGAAATACAAAAATTAGCTGGGCGTGATGGTGCACACCTGTAGTCCCAGCCACTCAAGAGGCTGAGGCACGAGAATCGCTTGAACCCGGGAGACAGAGGATGCAAAGAGCTGAGATGGCACCACTGTACTCCAGCCTGGGCAACAGAGCGAGACTCCATCTCAAAAAAAAAAAAAAAAAAAAAAAAGAAAAAGCAAAAGAAAAATAGAAAGAAATGATAATACCCTCAAAACCACAAGTATCTCTAATCAGTCCCATTTCCTGTTGTCAGCCTGCCCCTCTGATGGGCTTCTTGGTCTGTGCAGGGGCAGCCCTGATACAGGAACATCTCTGATTCTGATATTGCCATAAACCAATGCCTGGCGCATAGACAGTGTGCAACAAATCTTGTTCAACTGGTTTAACCCAAATATAACTTGGGGTCCTATGTGGCCCAGTATTACCTCCATGTAGTATTTAGAGAAAATAGAGTCCAAAGTAAAAGATATAATTTTATTGTTTTTGAAACAGGGTCTCACTCTGTCACCCAGGCTGGAGTTCAGTGGCATGATCACCACTCATGGCAGCCTCAACTCCTGGGCTCAAGGGATCTTCCTACCTCAGCCTTCTGAGTACCTGGGTCTATGTGCACGCCGCTATGCTCGGGTAACTTTTAATTTTTTTGTAGAGATGGGGTTTCCTTATGTTGCCCAGGTTGGCCTTGAACTCCTGGCCTCAAGTGGTCTTCCCACCTTGGCCTCCTAAAGTGGTAGGATTACAGGTGTGAGCTGCCACTGCACCAGGCTCATTTTAAAAAGATTCTAATCTTTACTCCTGACTTTGAAAGCACTTTATGTAGATCCATTTGTGATTCAGAGAGACACTTCCCCAAATCCCTCTCTTCTTTCCTTTTCCTGCATTCTGTGGTTGCCCCTAAATCTGTTCCTCATCTCCAGCCTGCGTGGTGCTTCTACTGCCTCCTTCCTCCTTCCCACATGTCACACTTTATTGTCTCTCTGCCAGAGGTCCCTGGAACGTCTGCTCTGGCCAAAAAAATACAGTAGAAGAGTGGAGAGCATGAATGCTGTTTGCCTCCAAGCCTTTCCTCACTCTATACAGAGAAATTCAAGCAGAGACGGCTGATGAAGTGAACAAAGGGGGACTTGGCTAACAGAGGATCCGGGTTCAGATCTTGGATCCTTTTCTTGGTCGCCATGTGACTTTGGACATGGTATGGAGCCATTTGGAGAGTCAGTTTCCTTGTGAGTAAAACAAGGAAAAATAATACACTTAACTGAGAGTATTTAGGTTTAAATGAGTTAATTGAGAGAGGAGTTAGATTTAAATGAGTTAATTCATTTAGATGCTCTAACAGGGCCTGATTTGGATTAAGTGCTAATAAGTGTCTGTTTTCCTCCTCCTCCTCTTCATTTGTTGTTACTGTCATTATCATTATCATGATTGTTATCATCATATGGGCACTGGAACCAGACTGTCTGAATTCAAATCTTGGTTCTACCACTTACTCGAATCCAGGTAAACTGTTTAACTTTTATGGACTTTCTTCCTCTGTAAAATAAGATTAATAATAGTACCTATCTTCTAGAATTGTTGTGAGGATTAACCTCTGCTACTAACATAAGTAGAAGAGGTTAGAAGAACATTTGGCATATGCTAAGTGCCCAACAGGTGTTAGTTATTTTGTTCTATGCAGAGTAAGAGGTAGAATCAGTTCTGTTTGACTGTAAAATCTGCGTCCGTAACTACTGTCCTGCCTCCTTCTCTCAGGCTTGCGGTGGGGTCACTTGAAGTTACAAAAATGTTTCTTCCGTATAGACCTGAAAAAACTGAAAGTAGAATCTCAAAGGGACATTTGCACAACCATGTTTATAGCAGCATGATTCATAGTCGCTAAAAAGTGGACGCAACCCAGGGGTCCCTCAACAGATGAGTGGATACACAAAATGAGATATTCCACACAATGCAATACTATTTAGCCTTAAAAAAGGAAGAACATTCTGACACTTGCTGCAACATGGATGGATGCTAAGTGGAATAAGCCAGATGGAAAAGAACGCATACGGCGTAATTCCACTTATATGAGGTTTCTCAGAGTAGTCAAACTCATAGAGACAGAAAGCAGAATGGTGACCACCAGGACCTTAGAGGAGAGGGGCATGGGGAGTTAGCGCTCATTAGTTTGGGATGATGAAAACGTTCCGGAGATAGATGGTGGTGACAGCTGCACAATGTGAATGGACTTAATATTGTTAAACTGTACACTGAAAAATGATGAAGATGATAAATTTTATGTTATGTGTATTCTACCACAGTAAAAATATTGTGGTGGTGCCCATGCCTGTAGTAGTCCCATCTACTTGGGAGGCTGAGATAGGAGGATGGCTTGAGCCGATGAGGTCGAGGCTGCAGTGAGCTGTGATCATGCCACTGAACTCCAGTCTGGGCGACAGAGTGAGACCTTGTCAATAAAAGAAAAAAATGGAAAAAAAGAGTTCCCTTCTTTCTGCCCCAGGAAAGAGAGGCAACGGGACTCAGTTTCCCTGAAGTCCTTTTGTTGCTTTTCTGGGGACTATGGTTGCCCCAGTCAGCAGCTCCATCTCTTGCTTATGCCCTGACCTTGTGGTGCAGTGACGATAGCAGTGACCACTGCCTCCTTCTGGGAGTGGGGGGTGAATGACCAAGACCTGTCCTCACTCCCACCCTGAGAAGAAGGTGAATGTGAGGGAGTCAGATAGAGCTGGTGGCTTAGGCAGCCAGGAGGTCTTTGAAATTGATTAATTTTGAAAATGTGGGGGAAACGTCTTAATTTATAATTGTCTGTGCAGTGTTGCGGGAAAGGGGAATCCCGTGTCTTTGGTGCAGCCCCATTGGTTCGTGCGTGTGTGTTGCTGTGGAGCCCTGATTCCCTCTTCCCCTGTCATGGAGCTTCCAGCAGATGGCCCGGCCACCTTCTCATTAGGGGCAGGTGGAGATAACTGCACCATTTCTTGTGGATCCTTTTGCTAGCTGACTTGCTAATGTCTGCTGGGGCTCTTTTAGCTAAAGTTGTGAGCTCTTCTCCTGGGTCAGCAGGTGGGAGACCATGTGCTGGCAGAAATTGCTTCCTCTGAAGGAGCCCTGATTGGAATTCTGAGAAAGTGGAGGCAATTTGGAACTTCGAAAGAGAGGCAAGCAGTGAGCTCACTGGGAAATTGAGGTTTTTTTTTTCTTTCTCCTCTTCTTTCTCTCTCTTTCAGCTTATTTTTTCTCCCTGTCTTTCCAAGGTTCCTTATCCCATTTCTCTCTGCCAAGCTATTTCTATTTCTTACTTAAAAACCTTAGTTCAGACCTCTGGCCCATCTAGAACTCTGATGATTTCTGATCAAAACCTTGTTTTAGCCTGGACTCCTTCAAAAGCAAATGCCAAGGCAAAGGCTGCTGCTCAGGTAGTTTATTTGGGAAAATCCCAGGGACCAGGAGTGCAGGCTGGGGCGGGAGTGCCGGGGCATGGGCAGGAGGTGCTGGCAGAAATGCATCTCAGGACTGCCCACCCAGGAGATGAAAGCAGAAGCGTTTTCCCATCAGTTTCCACCCCTGTTGGTCAACGCAGTCCCCTAGGCATTAACCCCCTTATATTCTTGGGGTGCACCAGTGAATGTTGAGTGGGTTTCTACAGGCCTGAAAAGTCTTATGGTGTCAGAGAAGCCCCAGGACAGGAAGAAAGAGGAATATGGTGGAGTCAATGCAAGAGGGTGTCTACCTGTGGCTCCAAGAAGCTGGTCAAAGCCCATATGGTGATAGTGGTCCCCAAGCTTTAAGCACCAGAGACCAGTTTCATGGAAGACAATTTTTCCATGGACTGGGAATGGGGGATGGTTTGGGGATGATTCAAGCCCATTACATTCATTGTGCACTTTATTTCTATTATTGTTACATTGTAATATATAATGAAATAATTATACAACTCACCATAATGTAGAATCAGTGGGAGCCCTGAGCTTATTTTCCTGCAACTAGACAGTCCCATCTGGGGGTGATAGGAGACAGTGACAGATCATCAGGCATTAGATTCTCATAAGGAGCATGCAAACTAGATACCTCGCAAGTGCAATTCACAATAGGGTTTATGCTTCTATGAGAATCTCCTGCTGCAGCTGATCTGACAGGAGGTGGAGCTCAAGTGGTAATGCAAGCAATGGGGAGTGTCTGCAAATACAGTGAAGCTTTGCTTGCTAGCCTACCACTCACCTCCTACTGTGCGACCGACCCTCAGTTCCTAACAGGCCATGGACTGGTACTGGTCCCTGGCCCAGGGGTTGGGGACCCCTGCTGTATGGGACTGACCACCCACCACAGCCATGGCTGGAGTAAGAAGTGGGCCAACAACTGCCCTGTATAGATCTTTAGAGGCCCAGCTCTGAGAATAGTGGGTGCCTTAAAACACACAGGAATGCAATTCAGCACAAAACTAATATGTAAAGTGTCAGGGGGTTCAGCAAGGGCCTGTGTTTTCCCCAAAGGCCTACTTCAATGACTTTTGAAAGAGCATCTATCAAATGCTTTAATTTTCCTCTCTAATTCTCAGTGATCCTGGATCCTGCTCCGCTCGGACCCTACATGCATGCTCAGCCTGCCTGTCAGGTGTGACTGATAGGCAAGACCACAGCCACTACTGACAGTGTGAACCTCACAGTCAGGCTGGAAGGACTGGATTCACTTCTATATGTAAAGTATTCAGAACATAGCAGCTCCCCAAACGTGGTCATTGGCTTTTTCAATTATATTATTATTATTATGTCTTTGTTTTGGAGTCCTGGATGTTATTGAGACTTGAGAGAAAGGATTAAAGAAAAGCCTCCTCATATTTGAGGGGCAGAGGGGAGTTCCTAGTCTAGTTGAAGTGTCTCTATATTATATGTATATATCTGATATATATTTAGTTGGACTCACGTCATGTTTCCTGGGTCACCAGCATGGGTTAAGCACTGTGTGGGACAGGCATGGTAGAATGCAGGACAAGAAAGCTGTTGCAAAGGCACATGTCCTCAGTGTCCACGCCAGAGGTCACCTACTGCCTCTGTAGACAATTGCACAGACAATGGCTTCCTAGTTGGAGCACCCAGCACAAGGGTTCTTTCTGGCATCTGTTCAGACTCTGGGGGTCAGGCTGGCATGTTGCTAAGACCTCCAGGAGCAACCCCCAACCACTGAGAAATAGGAGATGCTGCAGGAACACTCCAACTTCCTCGACCCTTGGTGGGGCGCTCTGAGTCCCACCTGTCTCAGGAGTTGCTAACTTACTCCTGTCTCAGGAGTTCCCCAGTGAGATGGGGACCATTATCCACTTTTCTAGGTTTTCTTCCCTATCTCCCCTGCATTCCTTCACTACACTTCTTGGGGTCATGGTGTCTACCTATGAGACTTAAAAAATAACTTTTAAACGTCATTCTGATTATAGCAGTGATTCTTGCTTATTGTAAACAGTGGTGACATCATTATTTATAACACAAGAAATGATAATTCTTCTAGATATCAGGTCCCTGCCCCTTCAGCCGTAACCACTCTTTATCGTTTGATGAGCACCTTTCCATACTTCAGCAAAGATAACAATTTTTGGAATCACATTTGATATGGTCTGGCTCTGTGTTCCCACCCAAATCTCATTTTGAATTGTAATCGGAACTGCAGTCCCTAGGTGTCGAAGGAGGGACCTGCTGGGAGGTGATTGGATCACGGGCATAGTTTTCCCCATGTTGTTTTTTTAATAGTGAGGGAGTTCTCAGGAAGTCTGATGGTTTAAAAATGGCATTTTCCCCTGCTCCCTCTCTCTTTCCTGCTACCTTGTGAAGAAGGCACTTGCTTCTCCTTCACCTTCTGGCATGATTGTAAGTTTCCTGAGGCCTCCTCAGTCATGCAGAACTGTGAGTCAAACCTTCTCTTTTTTTTTGAGATGGAGTCTTGCTCTGTCGCACAGTCTGGAGTGCAGTGGCGCAATCTTGGCTCACTGCAAGCTCTGCCTCCCAGATTCAGACCATTCTCTTGCCTCAGCGTCCCGAGTAGCTGGGATTACAGACACCCACCACCACGCCCGGCTAAATTTTTTGTATTTTTTCACCATGTTAGCCAGGATGGTCTTGATCTCCTGACCTTGTGATCCACCTGCCTCGGCCTCCCAAAGTGCCGGGATTACAGGCGTGAGCCTCTGCGCCCGGCCTAAAACTCCTTTCTTTATAAATTATCCAGTCTTGGGTATGTTTTTATAGCAGTGTGGAAATGGACTAATATAATGTTATATTAATATTCTGTAACTTTTTTCCATTTAATATGTCTTTTCCCATATAGTCCATACAGCACTACCCCATTTTTCTTAGTAGATGCCCTGTGTGTCAGTAAGAGAACACACAATGTTTCATATAACTCGGACCCTATTGATCGACCATTATGTTACATCTAGTATTTTGCTGCTATAAACAATGGGCAGTAAGTCTGTTTACAAACATTTGTTGTACTCTGCTGCTGACATGTCCATGGGATAAGTTTTTAGAAAAGAAATCTTGGCTAAAAGAGAACCCACATTAAAAATACTGATAGATATTATCTAATTGTGTTCCAAGATAATTGAACAATTTATACTCATGAGGTTTTCAGATACTGGCTATGGCCTAGGAGGCTGGTGTAATTGTAGGGCTGTCATGAACTGAAGAGAGGAGCAAGTGAGGACAGGCTCTGCCACCCCACATATGTACCTGCCACCCTTTCCTTACTAATCTGGATCACTGACTCCTACCCTCCAAAAGCCCCATTAGAAACTCACTTTTTCTTGAAGAGAGGAGAGTGCAGCAGTGCAATGTTGCGGAAGGCACAGGGGTGGGAAAAGCATTTTTGTGTTGGTTTATGTGTCTTTGGACAATCAGGAGGGAAACAGTGTCCAGAGTCAGATAATCCTGTGCTGGAATCCCAGCTGTGCCACATCCGAGTCTACTACTTTGGTAAGTCACTTACCTGTCTGGACTTACTTTTCTCACCTGAAAAACGGAGACCAACCGGAATACTTGCTTTATGCATATGTGATATCAGTTAGGCTAATGCTTAGCTGCTGTAATAGAAAGGCCCTCAGTCTCAATGGCTGAACACAATAGAAGCTGTTTCTGGTGAGTGGGTAGCTGTTCTTCATGCAGTGGGTCCAACTCCTTCTATCTCTGGTTCTTCAACACACAAGCTTCTAAGTTCCCCACCTTGCCCGCATCTGGCAGAGGAGGCAGAATGAGCATGAGGACCACCCGTGGGAAGTTGCATGGGCCAGGCTCAGAAGGGGTGCACATCAGTCCTCTGCACATTCCATTGGCTGGGCCTCAGCTATGAAAACCAGCCTCTCAGATCTCTTGCCACGGAGAGTGTGACCGACTGGCAGCCCCAGCGCCATCACCCTGGATTTACCATCACTTTCATGTAAAGAGAGGCCCTGCTTCTCCCCAGCTGCT
This sequence comes from Homo sapiens, assembly GCF_000001405.40. Taxonomy (NCBI): domain Eukaryota; kingdom Metazoa; phylum Chordata; class Mammalia; order Primates; family Hominidae; genus Homo; species Homo sapiens. Next base: position 54,315,987 of record NC_000016.10, read on the forward strand.
CCCACCAAGAATGGGGACACCTTCAATGGGCAACTCTGGTGCAAAGACTCCCCACTGGGCTGGCAGAAACTTTCTTGGAAGTGTGATGCAGTGTGAGACTTCTGCTACGCAACCCTCTTCTCTCCCTGCTTTGCTCCTCCAGGAGTCAAACTTCAGGTAGCCTGAAAGTTCTCCCTGCTTTCTTCTGCTCTCCCCCAATCCCAATAAAACACTTGCACATCAAATCTCATCTAGGTGTCTCTTTCTCTGTCAGCCTGAACTAAAGCACAGGACCATACTTAACTGCAAGGGACACTGGGAAATGTAGTTCAGCTGCGCAGCTGGGTGGAAAAGGATGCAGGTTTGGTGAAGAGTGAGCCAGTCCCTGGCACAGAGAATTATGAGGATTAGATAATATGTAAAGTCCTCAGCTCTGGGCCTGACGCACAGCAACACAGTAAATGGCTTGTCACCATTGCCATTTGTACCAAGATAGTGAGTCCCTGCAAGCAAGCAGTGTGTCTCCTCATTACACATGTGTCTTGGCCCAGCAGGTGGGCTGACCACTCAACGAGGTTCCTCCAAATCAGAGCAGGGAAAGTCACAGGCACATGCCCCAGTGTTCCAAGGAGGAGACGTTAGCTGGAGAGGAGCTGCCTCCGGGAACATCTCTCTGCCAGCCGCTCTAGCTCACCATCCAGGGCCACTCTAATTGGCTCCCTTCTCAGATGACAGCACGGTGTGATGTAACCAGGTTAGCCAATGCTGGTCTTCAGGAGAAGCCCACACATCCCAAAGGGAGCATCTTCCCCCATCCCCAGCACCTCTCTCCATGCCTGCTTCCCAGCGCTTCCACAGCTTTAAGAGTTCCATAAATGCTGATAATTGCTACATTAAACTTCAGTTTATTATTTTATTTGGGTGCAGGTATGCGGATGATATGAGGCTTCGCTGCATTTACATACAAATTGAAGATTTTTATTAATCAGTCCAGTACCAGGAATCCAACGTTAACAGTCCATCAGGCCCTTAAATACATTTGGTGACATTTTTACCATGCATTAGCATGATAGGGCAAGGCGAATATAATGTACCAATGATTGCTTTTCCATTGAAAGCACAAACGGTTTCATTTTTCCTGTCATCTCAAATAAGTGTTAAAGAGGGTTTGGAGGCTGTTGTGTCCGCGCCGTATGCTCAGGACTTACAAACACTGATGAGCACATTAAATAACCATTAGCGTCTGGGCCTGGACCACAGCACCGTCCCTTCTCTTCAGAATTTATTCTTTGATTTAAAGTGAAGGCAATCTGTGGTTGCTTTCATAAAGTCCCGCGGCCCCTCCATTCTCCCTCCAACAAAATGCATTACAACAGTAATTTTATGACTGTTAAAATAACTGTCGTTAACAAGCACTTAATTAAAATGTACAATAAATAGCCGACTACAGCCTTATCTGCTCTCCGGAGCGGCCTCAGCCCGAGACTGCAATGCCCAGGCCTGCTGTTGCCCAGCTTGTTTGCAGATTAATTGCTTTTCGAGCTGGCAGGAGCTGCCTCTTCAGCAGCCAGATCATAAATGACCAGATAGGGACTTTATCAATCAGGCGAGTGCGTCTGTGACCACTGGTGGACAGGGAGGCCAGCTGGGGAGCGGTTGGAGGGCAAGTCTTGGATAGGTGGAGGTACTGACCGGGGAGGGAGTCGGAGTGGGCGTCGGTGGAGGTGGGTAGGGGAGAAAACCTGCAGGAAGGTGTCCCCAGTGGGCTGGCCTGCTCCAGACCTCATTTTGGACATCTCTGGCCGAGTCATTGCTTTGATAATAATAATAGCTAGTCCTCATCATGTACCAGGTGCTCTCTTTTTATCAACTTTTTTTCTTGTTTTGAGACACTGTGTTGTCCAGGCTGGAGTGCAACGGTGCAATCATAGCTTACTGCAGCCTTGAACTCCTGGGCTCAAGCTATCTTCCTGCCTCAGCCTCCCAAGTAGCTAGGACTAGAGGCACGTGAAACCATGCCCAGCTAATTTTTTTAAAATTTTTATTTTTGTAGAGATGGGGTCTCGCTCTGTTGCCCAGGCTGGTCTCCAACTCTTGGCTTCAAGCAATCCTTCCACCTCTGCCTCTCAAACACAGGCGTTGAGCACTGTGCCCACATCAACTTCTTTAATTCTCACAACTATGTCAGGTTGTTATTATCAGGATTCTCATTTATAGATGAGGAATCTGAGGTTTAGAGAGGTTAAGTGACCTACCCAGGGTCATACAGCTAATAGAGGCTCAGGTGGAGTTCAAACCCAGGCAGGATTGCTCCTGCGAGGGGCACTTAAGCACTGCACTGTGCTGTCTCTCAGTAGATATGAATTTATCATATGCCAGTCAAGTGCCTGGAGTTGCGCTAAACTCTTTATGGCAATGTTCATTCCTTTAATAAATACCTGTCTATTAATGCCTACTTTGTGTCGGGCCTGTGTTAGAGGTGAGAGGTACAAGGGTGAGCCTGAAGGATCTCATTTCTGCCCTTCCACAGCTCAGCAGCCAGTGGGGAAGGGAACTGTGGCTCAGGGGAAGGGACCTCAGAGCAGAGCACCTTTAAAAGGGTGTGTGTGTGTGTGTGTGTGTGTGTGCGCGCGCGCGTGTGTGTGTGTGTGTGTGCATGCTTGTGTGAGTAGGGTCCAGGAGAACTTTCAGGAGGAAGTGACTTTTCAGCTGAGGCTGAAACTGAGCAGGGACTAGCCAGGAGAAAGGCAGGGGAATAAGTGTTCCAGGCAGGGGAATGGCATTTGTGAGGGCATTGAGGAGAGAGAGCATTCAGCAGGGCTACAGTGGCATGTGTGAGTGACCAGAGGTGGGGCTCAGGAAGTTGGCTGGTGCTAGACCATGGAGGGTCTTCTGAATAAATCCAGGGCTTCGATTTGTGTTTTAGAAGGGGCCTTATCTGGAGAAGGTTCTCATCAACAACTTTGTAAAGTAGGTGTTATGATTCCGACTTTTACAGCTGAAGAAACAAAGGCATATAGCAGAGTTAAGTGGCTTGCCAAGGTCACTGGTTCAGAGGCATCAGGGCAGACAGCAGTGAGCTTGAGGCCAGCTTCCCACACAGAGGCCCACAGCTTGCCCACCTGCTCAGCTAACCCCAGGTGACTCATTACAGCCCAGGCTTGGGACTCTTCTGGGTTTTGGAGCTGGTATCTTGGAGCTGGAATTACTGAGTCATGAAAATAATTGTCCTAAGAATGTCAGTTGTCTTGCATTGCAAGTCTGTATTGCTATGGTTTTTCCTGGAGCCCCAGGCTGGGAAGTAACCATGGCTAAGAATGCTTTGGGCTGCAAGTAGCAGAATAAAATAGAAGACTCCAACAACATGCTGAAGCAATGCAGCCATTTAATCATATTCCAAAATGAGAGGTCTGCGGAAGAGCGCTTTCAGCTTGGCAAAGAGTCCACCCATATCAACGATGGCCCAGGCTTTTTCTATATTCTCTTCTGCTTTCTTCAGTATATTGGCCCTTTATTCTTAGGTATTTGCAGAATGGTCACAAAATGGCTGCCAGATTAAAGGTAGGAAGAGAAGGAGTTTACTGGGAAAGCGCACTTCCTCTTGGGTGCCATTGGTCAAATCTAAGTCACATGACTGTCTTTAGCTGTGGGGCAGGCTGGGAAAGGACTCTCCAGCAGATGACCTGTGGTGCTGGGCTGAGCAACAGGCACACAGCCACCCTGAACAAAATCAGAGTGCTCTCAGCAAGCAAGAAAGGATGGAGAGACGAGGGAAGGCATCAAACAGCCACTGCCACAGTACATAGCAGTTATTGTGTGTCAGGAACTAAGAAGGGCTTTGCATGGTCTCTCTCTTTCTCTTTCTCTCTCTCTCATTTCTCTCTTTTTAAAGACAGGGACTTCCTTTGTCACTCAGGCTGGAGTGCAGTGGCAAATCATGGCTCACTACAGCCTTGACTTCCTGGGCTCAAGTGATCTTCCTGCCTCAGCCTCCTGAGTAACTGGGGCCACAGGCAGGTACCACCATGCCCGAATAATTTTTAAATATTTTTTGTGAGACAGGCTGGTCTCAAACTCCTGGCCTCAAGTGATTCGCCCCTGCTTTAGCACCCCAAAGTGCTGGGGTTATAGGTGTGAGCTGCCTTGCCCTGCTATAGATTCTTTTTCAATTCTTGCACCTCTAGAAGGTAGCTGAGATAACTGAGGCTCAGAGAGGCCCCAGAGGGGTATCTCTGATCTGTCCAACCTCAGGATCCCTGCTCTTGACCTCCAGAATATAATTATGTGACCATCACAGCTCCTGGGGGTGTATGCAAAGGTGGTTCTCCCCAACTCTCAGATGCCTGTAGGCAGTAGCCTGTTGCCCCGCCTGTGCCAGGCACACTGAGCCTTCAGACTTGGGCCTGATTTCTGGTTCTTTCTCCCAAGGGCCACATTCATCTGCCCCTGATCGCCTAACAGGTTGACAGAGAGCAATTCTGTCAACACCTGGTAGTGAGCTCCTTTTGCGCAAATCCTAGATCTCAGACTCATTTTAAAAAGTCAGTTTCATTATAGTAAGGAATGCTCTGTCCCCAGAGAAGATGGAAGGCAATGGTAGATAGTTTTTAAAATAGGAAAATGGTCAAACTCTTTTTTGGGGTGTCTGTGTGTGTGATGACTCTGAGGCCAGCGTGTACAATCTGCCTTTCGCTGGGGAGGTGATTGGTGATCAAGTAAATGCAGGCAACTGAGGGGTCAGGCCAGGGGCTTGGCTGCATCCCGCAGCCAGAGATACATGAGACTCCTACTAATGTGGAAGCTTTATTCATATGGATCCATCCCAGCCTCACAAATAAATGGAGGCCAGCCAAAGAACTGATCTGGAAGCCACTGCAAACACACAATCAGCTGTCAGGGAGAGGGGGTGGCATGGAGCAAAATGCTTCCCCATCTTGGCATCTCAGAAGATGTTTAACTAAGGTCTCTACCTGGCTGTTATTTAAACAAACACAAAAGATGAAGGTAAGCAGTCCAGGGAGAATGCTTGAAACCCATCAGCAAACAGGGGAGCTCAGCTGGGAAGGAGATGCTCTGTGTGTGTGTGTCAAATCCATTTGCATCAGAATCCTGCAGGGACAGAAATGCTCAAATGCAGAGTGAGTATGCACAGCCATTTGCCTGTATGAAGGCCTGGGAAGGAGCTGAGCAGGCCCCTAGTGATGTGCAGAGGGGCACATCCTCGGGTGGCCAGCGTCTCCTGTGTGCATTCATTAAAGGGCCAGCTTGGTGGCTCCATGGCTAGAGAGTGACGGCGCCATTTATGCACCAGGAAGAGTGTTACCCAGGCATGCGCCGTTTCGATTTATTTTGATTAACTTGTTAGGAGTCCGCTTACTGAGTGTCGTCTGTGCTTGCAGAGCCACAGAGCAGCCTTTTTGCTTAGGGTCCCTGTCGTTCTTCATATCCTCTGGCTTTGCCTCTCCTGTTGCTTGCCCCATGGAAATCAGTAAAGTGGGGTGGGAAGAGCAGAGGATGGTGATTGGATCCATGAGTCCTGGGATGGGCCTATTGTGTCATTTTGGGTAAGTCACTGTCTTGCTGAGCTCTACATTCCTTTTTGGTCAAATAGGAATAGTCCCCATCTCTCAGCATTGTTGAGGGTATTGAATGAAATCCTGGACACTGGGAGGGTTCTCTTGCCTGCTTGCTTCCTCACCGTGTTAGATCCAGATGTTAAACCATGTGCTTGCTGCAAGACCTCAGATCTAGGAGAGAAACCTAGGGATCCTTTGTGCAATATTTGCAACTTGTGGGATGAATACCAAGGGTTTAGGCCATGCATGGAGAGGCATTGGGTAACATTGTGACATTGAGTCCCAGAGAGTGAACTGTACTGCCTTTCCCACTCTCTTTCAGAGCTAAGTCAAAATGAGTCTCCATTTGGTGTTAACAAGCCTTTAACATCTCTCCAACTCTTTTTAATCTCCCTTTAAAACAAAGATATCATGGGGACAGAAAGTAGAGGGGTGGTTGCCAGGGGCTGGAAGGAGGATGGTGGTGGTGGGGGGGTTATGATTTAATGGATATGGAATTTCAGTTTGGGAGGATAAAGAAAGTTCTGGAGATGGAAGGTGGTGCTGGTTGTATAACAATGTAAATGTACTTAATGCCACTGAACTGTACAATTAAAAATAGAATGGTAAATTTTATATTATGTATATTTTCCACACTAAAAACTAAAATTAGAAACAAAAAACAAAGACAGAACAGGCTTCAGGCACAGAGGCTTTAGTAAGCAATGGTGTCTAACCAGACTTTAATAACATTATTTTAAAAAATTAAATTGACTCTTTAGGTGGCTTCTATTTAGGACAAAGGATACTGGCTTTCTATTTCCAAATATCCACTTGATACAAAGTTTCCTTTTGAAAGACATTTAATTAAGCCAGGAGAAATGGTGAGGAAATAATAGTGCATGAATAGAGCGACGTCAGGAAGCTGGAACTTGAATGTCTGAAGTTGGGGAATTGATGCCTACGCCTCACTTTCAGGTGGGGCACCTGAACCCTGGAGGGCCAGTGCTGGGCCTGGGCCCTCAGCACACTGCTCCTTTGCATCCACTCTGCTCCCCCTTGATTCTTTGCCTTGGCTACCTTCACCGCGCACACCCCAGCCAGGATAGCTTAATCATGGCTGGGAAGATGGCTGAGCAGGCCCCTCTCTTGCCCAGCCTGAAGCTTCTGGGGCACTTACTTTGTCCTGAGGTCTGCTGTGGCTGCTCTGAGCTTTGGGGGACAGATCCCAAATATCCTGATAGCAAAGTGACAAAGCTACTTAAGTGACAATTGGGTAAGGTCTTCCAAGATTCTTTTTTTTTGTTTGTTTCTTTTAGAGACAGCATCTCCTCCGTCACCCAGTCTGCAGTGCAGTGGTGTGATCATAGCTTACTGCAGTCTCCTAATTCCTGCACTCAAATGATCCTCCTGCCTCAGCCTCTGAGTAGGTGGGACCACAGGCAAGCACCACCACACTGGGGTAGTTAAACATTTTTTGTTTTTGTTTTTTTGTAGAGATGGGAGTGTCGCTATGATGCCCAGGCTGGTCTCAAACTCCTAGCCTTGTGACCTTCCTGCCTCAGCCTCCCAAAGTGCTGGGATTACAGTAATGATCCACTATGCCTGGCCTTCTTTCAAGGTTCTGGTTGCAATTTAGGATTAACTGGATCAGGGGTTCCCAAATATGGCTGTACTTTAGAATCAGCTAGGCCCCACACCCAGGAAAATTAAATCAAAATCTGTGGAGGGTGAAGTTTGGCTATCTCAGATCTTCAAAGCTTCCCAAGAGATTCTAATGTGTGAAAGATTGAGAACCCGGATCAGAGCCAAAGTGTGATTACCTATCAATACCTTTATCTTCTGCCTGGAATGGCCTCTTCTTCCTCTTTACAAATTCCAAAATGTGTTTTAAGACTCAGCTGAAATGTTTCCACCTCCAGGAAGGCCTCCATGCTCTTCCCAGCTTTGATATCTGATGGTAACACCTTATTATACTATATTGTAATCCTGATTCTTGGACAGTTTCCACCAGTAGGTGAGATGCTTCTTGAAGGCTGGAGTTATGCATAATTCACTATTGCAGTCTCATGGCCTGGCATATAGTGTTCAATACATGTCTTTGCTTATAGAGTAAATGAACATACAAACCCTAAGAAACATATTCACTTGGGCAGCTGAACAGGGTTCCTTTGAGGTCAATGATGAGTTCTGGGGCTGGTCCTGCTTTGGGCCATCATGGATACCTTCCAGACTTACGCATCTTAAGACTTCTGCCTGATTGGGTCCCCAAGACTTCCCTGATCTTACCTGCAGTCACTCTCTCCCAACTCTTCTCTCCCTTGCTTTAAATTCTTAGGTGTTTTCTAGTCTCAGAACCTTTGCGCAAGCTGTTCTCTCTTCCTAAAATACTTTTTAGTCCAACATGGCCTGGCTTTCTCCTAAATGTCCCTTCCTTAAGTGACCTTCCTTGACACTTATCCCTAAAGGTGTTTCTCAGTTTTGATTTTTTTTTTTTTAAGAGTCAGGGTCTCATGCTGTCACTCAAGGTGGAATGCAGTGCCCCAATCATAGCTCACTATGGCCTTTAACTCCTGGGCTCAAGTGATCCTCCCACCTTAGCCTCCTAAACTGATAGGACTATAGGCATGGACTACCATGCCCAGATAATTTTTAAATTTTTTGTAGAGTTGGGAGTTCTCACTATGTTGTCCAGGCTAGTTTTGAACTCCTGGTCTCATAGAATCCTCCTGCTTCAGCCTCCCAAAGTGCTGGGATGACAGGCATGGACTACAGTGCTTGACTCATTTTTGATTTTTAATTGCAGCACATTCTTTGTTTATTTATAACACTAACATTGGTTTTTAATTATATATTTGTCACCCCCGTGTGATTCTTTGATTAACATCAGCCACCCCAACTAGCCTTGTTAGGGGCCAATAGTAAGTGTTCAATAAATATTGGTTAAATGAAGATTTAGGTATCATATATTGATAAATGAAGATTTAATCATTGTGTTATCCTTGAAAACAATTATGCCTGGGAGCCAGGCCAGCCTCCACAAAAAGCCAGCGTCTCCACTATCCCATGGTTTTTGGTTTAGTCTCAGCCTCCTCTTGTTGCGGTCTCTTTCAGCTTCATTTATTCTCAGGATGGAATGAGCTGAGTCTCCATTTTCATGCTTAGATAATGCTTGGGGACTGGCGAAACAGTGGTGAGCCAAGGCTAGTAGGGGAGGCTGCCATTAATGAAAGACTCTCATATGAAACCAAAATGGTGGGAGGGTGGCTATGGCTGCTGCCTCCACACCATCTGAAAGACAACACTGGCCCGCACTGTGACCAGTGGTGCATGGATTCTTCAAGGTGTCCTCAGCTCACTGTGCAGGGCCCCGCTGGGCACACACAAGCCCTTCACAGTGGCTACACTCCCACTTAGTGGTGCTTAGACTTCTCTTAGGCAAATATTTTCCTGGCCACAAAAATAAAGGGCAGGTCAGGTGCCAGTGATGTGGGAGCCTAAAGCCCAGAGGAAGCCACTGCAGTCTTCAGATGACACCAGCCTTCTTTCCCTTAATTCCACCTGAGGCAGAGCTTAGCTCAAATCCCAGGACTTTGGGAGGCTGAAGCAGGAGAACTGCTTGAGGCCAGGAGTTTGAGATCAGCCTGGGCAACATAGCAAGGCCCTTGTCTCTATGAAATGAAAAGAAATTAGCTAGGTGTAGTGACACATACCTGTGGTCCCAGCTACTTTGGAGGCTGAAGGTTGAGGCAGGAAGATGGCTCGAGCCTAGGAGTTAAAGGCTGTATGTAGTGAGCCATGATATCTCAAAAAAAAAAAAAAAAAAAAAAGGAAAGAAAAGAAAAATAAACTGAAATCAGGAAAAGAGCCAGGATCCTGCTCCCTGACCCCAGAAGTGGAGAAAGATTTGGAATAGAGAGGGAGGTGAATGATGAAGAACTGCATGGCCTTGTCTCTGCACTGATTTTCTATTGATGACACTTTTCAGATATCTCCTCTCTGTATCCTTCCTTCTGTATTTGCAGCCTTCTGGATCAGTCAGTTCCACTGTGGCTCAGCTACTTAGGACCAAATTAACAAACAGTTGACGGCCTAATACTGACCAGAATCTCATATCAAAACTAATAAATTAGACCAAAATATGACTTCTCTTCAGCTTTTGCAAACTTCCAGGTTTTATTTTTCATGTATGTGTAGTCCTTCAATGGAGAACATTTTCTTAGAGTGTCTCCTCTGTTTGGTACCAGCTGTCAGAGCCCCTGGCTATGGTGGGGAAGCAGCTGCTTGGAGGTCTAACCTGACTGACAGTTGGACACAGGGGGAAATCTTGGGAGAACAGAGTAGGGAGAGAAGACTCGTGGCCTTCCTCTCCAGCTAATAAGTTTGAGATAAGCCCGGAAATGGCATCTCCAAACTGATATTAGCAGATCCCAGAATTTGTTAGTTTTTGAAAGGCACAACTTAAAATTTATTGGTAAGGCAGACTTGGTGGACAAAGGAAACCAGATTGTGGTCAGACAACGGTTATGCTTGCCACAGGGTGGTGGTGAACTAGGAGGTAGGAGTTTATCCTGGTCCCAGCCAGATCAGCTCTGCATTTGAACAGAACATTGCTGCCAACACCTACCTTGGGGGTTAGTAACCACGGAAGCCATGGGGAATTTCTACTTCAACCTGTTCTGATGAGGGATCGTGTTTTGATATTTCTCTCTGCAGATAAGTTTCATTTCTAATTTTAATTTTAACATTTGGATTGTGTTCTGGCCAGATTGGAAAGGTCTCTCTGCTCATTTGCAGAAAGAACACGCTCTTCCCAGTGAAATCTTAGTAGCAATACTCTGCAGTTTCCAAGAATCCTTCCCTCCTCCTCACTCCCTACTCCTACTGATTGCCAGAGTGTCAGAGACCTGAAATTGCCTCTTTTCTCACATGACTGACCCACTCGTATGAGTCAGGAGTGCCTGGATTAAAATGTGGTAAAAAAGAGCCCCAAATGTCATATGTCATTGGCTTCAACCAAAGGTTTATTACTCACATGCACTTCACATCCAGCAGAGCTTGGTGCAGAATTCGGGGTGTAGGGGCCCCAGGACCTGAGTGACAAATGACTCCTCCATCATTTGTCACTCAGGTCCTGGGGCTGAGGAAGCCTCCTCCATCTCATGCCACTGGCGTCTCCACACAAAGCTTCCAGATCCTGGGAAGAGAAGGCTGGAGAGTCAAGCCGGCTCATACCTTACTGGCCATGACTAGTCAGAGAAACAAGGAATTACGACCCTCCACGTGTCTGGAAGTAGAAGAGAAGTGGCTTCAGGTGACCTGTAGTAACCTGTGCAGACTGAGCCTTTGCTTTTTGATCCTGTTGTGCGATTCCTTTCCAAGTCCAGGTGCTTTTGCTCTTCTTGGGAGCCCCTCAATAGTTCTCAAAGGATTGCTTTTTGAAGAACTTGTCTTTGATTCTCTTGAGAGAGAGAGTCTAACGTAGTGGTTAAAGGCACAGATTCTACAGCCAGACTTCCTGGGTTTGAATTTGGCTCCAAGCAAATGTTCTAATGTCTCTGACCCTCGATTTCTCATCTGTAAAATGGAGACAATGATAACACCTACCTTCCAGGGTTATTGTAAGTATTACACTGTGAATGTGTGTAACAGGCTTAGGAAAGTTACTGGGCACACAGTAAGCTCTATATAATAATTGTGGGCCGGGAGCAGTGGCTCACTCCTGTAATCCCAGCACTTTGGTGAGGCTGAGGCAGGTGGATCACTTGAGGTCAGGAGTTGGAGACCAGCCTGGTCAACATGGTGAAACTCCATCTCTACTAAAAATACACAAATTATCTGGGTGTGGTGGTGCATGCCTGTAGTTCCAGCTACTCAGGAGGCTGAGGTGGGAGGATCGCTTGAACCTGGGAGGCAGAGGTTGCAGTGAGCTGAAATAGTGCCATTGCAACTCCAGCCTGGGCAACAGAGAGACTCCATCTCAAAAAAAAAAAAAAAAAGAATTGTTTAACTTGACTATATTACCTGTAGCACTGAACACCGATTACATATTAGGCTGCAAGGTACACAGAAAAATAAGTCACAGGACAGCCTGAGGTTTGGGTGGGGGTTTGTGGGGTCAACAAAGTACTACCATGTCAGCTAGGCTGTTGCTCGTCTTTGTGATTGCTCACTAATCTACCAACTTCCTTGCACTTTATGGAATGAAACTCCATGACCATGACAAGGATGTTTCTTCATCCTCCTGTGCCTTCTAGAGTGAGGCCCAAGTGGGGCCTGGGCCTGAGGCCAGAGGCAGAGCAGAAAGGAAGTTTCCCTGAGGAGTGGCTAACATCTCTGGAGATGTCGTTCCCCCAGAGCAGCTTGGCTCACGTTAGAGGTGACCGTGGGCTTTCATCCTTTCTCTGTTGCTTATGAGCTAGGTGACCCTGGGCAAGTCACACGTCAGTTTCCTAATCTGTAAATGGGGGGTTACTATATCTATCTTACAAGATGGTTATGAGGATTCAAAGAAAGATATAATGCAAGAAAAACGCTTAGAGTTGGCCTGGCATAGAGTAAGTCCTCTGCATGGGGCCATGATTACTCATATTATTACCGATGTTAATCAATAATGTGTGGGATGGGGGAAGAGGAGGTGGAGAATTAAATAGGAACTTGTTTGGGCATGGCCTCTCTAATCACCTGGGGAATTTAAACTGTCCTGAGGACAATGGGTCACCACTGAAGGCTTTAATCAAGGTGTGACTCCCTTGGGGTCTACACTTTGGAAAGATCCCTCTAGCTTCATTATACAGAGTGGATTAATGGCTGTAAGATGGGGGCAAAAAACCATCCAGAAAATGCCCCGGATTAGGGGGATGTCTGTGGGGGATAGAGGAAAATAGATTCTTAATGTGTTTATCAGATACTATATTAATGCAAACTATTTATGCAGCATTAACTCTGTACCAGGTGCTGTTCTAAGCACCTTATACTATTTACTCATTTAATCATCACAGCGTCTCTTCCTGTAGGTTCTTCTACCATCAGCTCTCATTTTTAGATAAGGAAACTGAGGCATTAAGAGATTAAATAACTCACCAAAGGTCACATAGCTAGATAGGAGTGGAGATGGATTTGAAACCAGAAAGTCTGGCTCCAACATTGGCCTTTTAACAAGTGTGCTTCGATTTGGTGATTTATTGGGTATGCAGGAATATATGAGTTGTCTGTGACCACGAGGATGCTGTGTAACGATCGTGAAAACCTCAGTGGCATATAATAATAAACATTTACTGGTCATCACAAATCTATGGATTGGCTAGATAGTTCTGCTGCTCTGAGCTCCTTGGTGGAGCTCACTCACTTGTCTTCGGTTAGCCACGGGCTAGCGGGTAGCTTTGCCCATCTTGGGTGGCTTGCTCAAGCCTGAGGTGCCAGGTGGACTCAGCACTGCTCCATGTCTCATCCTCCAGGAGGCTAGCTAGGGCATGCTCTCATGGAAATGCAGAGGTGCAAAGGAGTGAGCCAAAACCCGAAAACACAGAAAGAGCGGAACACTGTCACTTAGCCACATGCTATTGGCCAAAGGCAGTCCCATGGCCAGCCCAGATTCAAGGAGTGGGGAAATGGACTCCACCTCTTGTTGGGCCAAGGGTGTGGGTACAGAGAAGGTGAGAGATTTAGGCTGTTTTGGCCATCAGTCCACCATGGGGAGTGAATCTTTCATAACTCCCAGAATTTTTGCTTGGGCAGCTCAGAGAATAATATTACAAGTTACCGAGAGGGTGAAGCAGAGGAAAAGCAGTTTATGGGAGAAGTCAAGGAGGCTGAGACTCAGTGAGGCCAGACGTCTAGCCCAGGGTCCCATAGCTAATATAATCAGGGTCCAGACTCCAGCTGCTCAGAACTGAAAACGACCCTTTGAACAGATAGGTGTGATCGTGTGTCTATAAATTACCTTGCTGTGTGTAAATAATTACTTGGAAGTGCCGAATATGAACACTTCTGCATTTAGAATCCAGGTTTTCTGCCAGTTCAGTTCTGAGAACCCTGCTTTCCTTTTCTATTCTTGGAGTTCTTTCCAATAATGTCCCCGAAGGGGCTTCCTTCTTCACACTGTAGGAATTGAATGTAGGTTTTCACCTCCAGGGAATAGTCTGGTGTTGTTCCTCCAGGTACTGGCCTCTGGGGACTGGAGCAAAGCCTTTCTCTAGGACTCTAGACAGCCACCATGCATGGCCCACTGGGGCTTGGGGCTGGGCCATGGCAGAAGTGGTGGCTGACTTTTTTCCACTATAATCACTGAATGACATTCCCTGCCACTGAAGGGGGCTTGACTGCGTGTATGCAGATGGAGGCCACCTCTGATAACGGCTCTTCTGAAATCACCAGCACCTGAATTCCTAAGCCCCTTCCCAACACCCAGAAGCCTCGCAGGCAGTGTCGTTAACTTCCCCAGTCATAAGAAACATCTCCCCTTCTCAGGTTGAACCAGCCCCACCTGCAGAACTCCTTTCCTCCACCTTTCAGGATTCCCAGACTCTGCAGGTGTTGGCACAGCCTGGATTCGAACCCAAGCTCCCTGCCCCTATACTACATTGACAATGGCCTCTGGAGGTGGGGGAGCTGAGACTCCCCTCTCATCATGTCACTCTCAGGGAAGACTGAGTGAGTGTGTGTTCCCGGGTGGCAATTGTTTCTTCTGGAAATGCCATGGGTGCGGCCTAGGAGACACCCCAGACAAGGGGTGCAGACAAGGGTAGGCTCAGAAGGGGCCCTCCTCATGAGAAACAATTCGAAGTACTCTGAATTCTCACTGGCGTTTATCATCGTATTGTTAGCTCTTGCAGTGATAACAGTCAATACTCCATGAATGCTTACCACATACGAAGCATTGCATCAATGCCCTTGCTTCTCCTACCCCCTCTTTCCTTTCTCTCTTCCTCCTCTGCAGAGGTGGGCTGTGGGCTTACCAGTGAAGGACTCTGGAGTCAGCCAGGCCAAGATTTGGGGCAAGTGACTACTTAACCGACTTTGAACTTCAGTTTCCCCCATGGGAAATTGAATGGGGCTAGCATCCATCTCCTGAAGGGTCACTGAAGGGATTAGGAGTGATGTGTGTAAAGGGCCTTGTACATAGTAGGTGCTCAATTCCTGGTGGCTGAGCTTGTTATTTTTGTCCTTGTTTGTGAGCCCAGGGTCCCTGTGGCTACCCCGGGGCCCTGCTTTCCTCTCTTCTCAGCCTGATTTCATCCCTCTGAGGCACTTGGGGGACACTACCTACCCTGCTGAGATGGGGAGAGGGGCTCATGCCTGTGGTCCACTCTGACATCTGATGGATAGATTTGAAGTCAGGGATATGGATCCTGGGGGTTTTTATTGCCCCCTGTAGAAATGACTTATCAGCTGGCAATAGGTTGAGTGTGGCCCGAACTGCAGCTCTGGTAGCCGAGGAATGCAGTGCCCAGCAGGGCCTGCCAGGTAACAGGATTGGTGGTGGCACTGGCCAGGCCTCAGCCGGACAATAATCTGCTGGTGGGTCAGCTCTCTTCCCTTCCTTTTTTTCTCCTCCAGGTCCCTCCTCCCTTACCTGGAGTGGCTAACTGGTCTTATTGACTTACTCTGCCATTTCTTCATAAAGCCCTGAAATTTATCCATCAAGCTGTATTTCCCATTAAAATGTGGTCGCAAGGTGGTATCCAATTCTGCAGAAAACATGTAGCCACAAGCCTCTCGTTGCCAGTTTATTATCAGCGCCAGGGTCCCTGGGGTCTGGGATGGCCAGGCCTGGCTCTGTGCACAGGATAACAGTGGGAATCCTCCTGTCGCAGCCCCCCTCCTCTGCTTGAGCCTCTGCCTTGGGGAGACCCGCCTGCTAATTTATCTTGGAATGTTTGGGCTTGATGCTTAATTGCTCTGTTTTCTGACTTGCTAAGTAGATGAGTGTGAAAAGCAAGTCAACAAATAAACATAAGCTTCTACCAGAAGACCCTGAAACAAAGCAAACAGCTGCCTGCATAACTGAAGCAGAGCAGAGTATCCCTGGTGTCACTCAGTAGGAGACAAATTCCACACACTGTCTTGGGGCTAGGAAAGACAGAACTGGGGCTTGTGTCATACGGAAACGAGAAGATCTTGGTTCCTCCCTTACTGGCTGTGAGACCTGAGAAAGTGACTCCCTCTGCTGCAGTTTTCTTGCCTATAAAATGGGGATGATACTGGTGCCTGTCCCACAGGATCATTTTGCAGATTACGTGAGATAAAACAGGTAAAGCATTTAGAATAATTCCCAATGTATGGTGTGCCTGATACATGTCAGCTATTTCAGTTACAATTCTTTTTTTCTTTTCTTTTTTTGAGACTAGGTCTTGCTCTGTGGCCCAGGCTGGAGTGCAGTGGTGCAAACATGGCTCACTGCAGCTTTGACCTCCCTGGCTGAAGCGATCCTCCTGCCTTAGCCTCCTGTGTAGCTGGGACCACAGACACATACCACCATGCTTGGCTAATTTTTTTGATTTTTTGTAGAGACAGGGTCTTTGTTCCCCAGGCTGGCCTTGAGCTCCTGGGCTTAAGCAATCTTCCTGCCTTGGCCTCCCAAAGTGCTGGGAATATAGACCCGAACCACTGTGCCCAGCTTCAGTTACAATCCTAATGGTTATTAATAGAGTGTGAATGGCTCTGTGATCTCAGACAAATTTCCCAAACTTTTCACGCTTGTTTCTTCATCTGTAAAAAAAAGAAACAACCATAGCTACATCATGGAGGTAGCTATAAAAATTATTAAGTGAAATAAATTTATGAAAATGTTAGCCCCATGGTTAGCACTTAGCAGAATCTGAATAAAATCACTTTCTTTTCTTTTATGTAGGCAGAACTCCATCATCCAGACAATTAAACTGATGAGGTTGTTTAAAAAATAAATTTTTTTACATTTATGCTTAAAACAATTTATTTTTATTTTTATTTTTAATTGACAAATCAGAACTGTATGTGTTTATTATATACATCATGTTTTGCCATATGTATACATTGTGAAACGATTAAATCAAGCTAATTAGCATATACCTGAAAATGGTACCTTCTTCTTTTGTGATGAGAAAATTTTTAATCTGCTTTCCTAACAAGTTTCAAGCATACAATATGGCCCAGCACAGTGGTTTTATAGAATCCCAGCACTTTGGGAAGCTGAGGCGGTCAAATCCCTTGAGCTCAGGAGTTCAAGACCAGCCTAGGCAACATGGCAAAACCCCATCTCTACCAACAATACAAAAAATTAGCCGGGGAGGTGGCAAGTGCCTGTGGGCCAAGCTACTTGGGAGGCCAAGGCAGGAGGATCACTTGAGCCCATGAAGTTGAGGCTGCAGGGAGCTTTGATCACGCCACTGCACTCCAGCTTGGGTGACAGAGTGAGACCTTGTCTCAAAAAATAAAAAAAAAAAGCATACAATACATTGTTATTAACAATAGTCACCATGTTGTAAGTTAGTTCTTCTGAACTTATTCCTCAGGTCTAAATGACATTTTGTATCCTTTGACCACTTCTCCCTCACTCCCAGTTTGTAATTATAGCACAACACATATAAAGTACCGAGTATTTAAGGGGAAAACTCAGTGAATTTTTCTTTTTTTTTTTTTGAGATGGAGTCTCACTCTGTTGCCCAGGCTGGAGTGCAGTGGCATGACTTTAGCTTACTACAACCTCCGCCTCCCGGATTCAAGCGATTCTCATGCCTCAGCCTCCCGAGTAGCTGGGACTACAGGCACGCATCACCAGGTCCAGCTAATTTTTGTATTTTCAGTAGAGATGAGGTTTTGCCATGTTGGCCAGGCTGGTCTCGAACTCCTGGCCTCAAGTGATCTCCTGCCTTGACCTCCTAAAGTGCTAGGATTACAGGTGTAAGCCACTGCCCCTGGCACTCAGTGAATTTTTATAAATGTATACATGACCCAGATCAAGATAGAGAGCATTTCCAAAACTCCAGAAAGTTCTGCTGCCCCTTCTCTCCAATACTCGACCCCTTACAGGTAGCCTTGATCCTTATCTCTAATACTATAGACTAGTTGTGCATGTTCCTAAACTTTACATAAATGGGAGGGTAGAATATGTACTCTTTTGCATCTGGCTTCTTCAGTTCAGCATCATGCTTTGAGATCCATCGTGTTATTTATTATGCATATCCACTGGTGCACAATTTGTTTTGTTTTATTTTGCTTTTTTTTGAGACAGTCTCACTCTGTTGCCAGGCTGGAGTGCAGTGGCGTGATCTTGGCTTCCTGCAATCTCTCCCTCCCGGGTTCAAGCAATTCTCCTGCCTCAGCCTCCTGAGCAGCTGGGACTACAGACACACACCACCACACTCAGCTAATTTTTGTATTTTTAGTAGAGACAGGGTTTCATCATGTTGGCCAGGCTGGTATCCATCTCCTGACCTTGTGATCCACCCGCCTCGGCCTCCCAAAGTGCTGGGATTACAGGCGTGAGCCACCGTGCCTGGCCTGTTTTGCTTTTTAGAAAGGATCTGTTGCCCAGACTGGAGGGCAGCGCCATGATCATAGCTCACTGTAACCTTGAACCCCTGGGCTCAAGCGATCCTCCCACTTCAGCCTCCCAAGTAGCTGAGACTACGTGTGCATGTCACCACGCCTGGCTAATTTTTAAAAAACATTTTTTGGTGGAGACAAGGTCTTGCTATATTGCCCAGGGTGTCTTAAACTCCTGGCCTCAAGCGATTCTCCCACCTCTTTCTCCCAAAGTGCTGGGATTATAGGAGTGAGCCACTGTGCCCAGCTGGCGCACAACTTTGTTACTTGTGAATAAAGCTGTTGTGAAGGTTCTCATACATGTCTTTCTATGGCTGTATAAACTTATTTTTGTTAGCTGTGTACTTAAGGAGTTGAATTGCTGAGTCATAAATAGGTGCATGTTTAGCTTTATCAGATCTTGCCAAAAATATATTTAAAGTGGTTATTCTCAGGTTACTTCTTGAATTGTTAAAAAAAAAAAAAAAAAAAAAGAGGAGGAGTTAAGTCTAGAAGAGATGGAATGTTGAACTTATTTGATTATAATTGTATTGCATTCTATTTTTCTCTTGTTTTATACTATTTATAATTCACTGAGAATTGCCCATCTTCTACAGGAACAGTTGCAATTGTAACCAAATACGTTGCTACCAAAATATTCATTATTTATAATGGAAAAAAATAAGAACAATCTAAATGTCCATCTATAGAGGAATGGCTTATAAATCACAGCATAGGTATATTGTGCAATTATAAGACAAATAAAAAAGTGCTAGTCTGGTATGGTGTATAAGCTATAGTAAGAGTTTAAAAAGCATGTTGGAGAATATCAGGCAGAATATGGACTACATATGATGTTTATTATATGTCAGAAAATTTTTATGGTATACTGTTTTGCAACTTGTTTAAAGTTACAAAATCTCTCTCTCTCTCTCTCTCTCTTTCTCTATTGAAACTGGGTAGAGCGTATAAACAGGAAATTCACACAAGAGCCACCTGGAAAGGCTAGTAAACATAAAAAAGGTGCTCAATGTCATTAGCACTTATGAAAATGCAATGAAAACAATCATGAAATATCAGTTCACATTCAATAGATTGGCAAAAATTTGAATGCTTGACAGCACTTTGTTGGCAAGGACATAGAGCAACAGGAATTTTCATGTAGTGAAAATTTGAATATTGTCAAATTGTTCTCTAAAGTGGTTGTACTAATTTATATTCGATGGTGGAAATATAAATTAGTACAAGCATTTTAGAGAGCAATTTGGCAATGTTTAGTAAAGTTGAAGATACTCATGCCATGACCCAGACATTCCATCTCTAGCTCTATACTCCAGAGAAACTCCTGCATAAGTATTTAAGGAGATGAGTTCACCACAGCACTGTTTGTATAGTGAAAAATTTGAAACAATTCAAAATACCTCTCAAGAGGAGAACTGATAAACTGTGGCATAATTACACAATGAAATATGACATAGTGTTCCAATGAATGAAATAATGCTACAGTATAACAACATGGAACATCTGGAAACAATGTAGATGGAGAAAAAGCAAGTTGTAGAAGAGTACATACGCTACGATACTTCAGGAGGAATAACATGTGAAACAAAGTTACATATTGTTATGGATACCAATAACTCTAGTAGAAGATTAATGGGTATGGAAATGATAACCTCTAGATGTAAATTACTTTTGGGGAGGGAAGGAGAACGTGATGCAAGAAAGAAACAGTGGCTTTCAATTTTGTCTGTGATGTTTTATTTCTTAAGCTGGGTGCTGTGTTCTTGGATGTTCATTGAATTAACCCCTGAAATACTTAATATAAAAAGTAAGATTTTTCTATCCATCCATCTGGAATGCTATATATCAAAAAGTTAACAGTGGTTATTTCTGAGAAGTAAGATTATGAGGGAGAGTATATTTCATTTCCTACTTAATATATTTCTGTATTGTGGGAATTTTAATGAGTAGATACTCCTCTAAATATATATATATATATATATCTGCTGGGCGCGGTGGCTCACGCCTGTAATCCCAGCACTTTGGGAGGCCGAGGCGGGTGGATCACTTAAAGTCAGGAGTTTGAGACCAGCCTGGTCAGCATACTGAAACCTCGTCTCTACTAAAAATACAAAAATTAGCTGGGCATGGTGGTGAGCACCTGTAGTCCCAGCTACTTGGGAAGCTGAGGCATGAGAATCACTTGAATCCAGGAGGCGGAGGTTGCAGTAAGCCGAGATCGTGCCACTGCACTCCAGCCTGGGTGAGAGAGCGACACTCCGTCTCGGGGAAAAAAATTTAAAAAAAAGGAAGGAAAAAGAACATTAGTAATCCCATGCACACTAGATGTGGTGATTTTCAGTTAAAGAGAATACCCCCATTTTCTAACCATTTTGGGTAAAGCCCGCCTAGAAATGAGAGTGGCTTCCTCTGTTAGAGTGGGGGTAATTTCCCCTGGGAGGGTCAGGGAGATGAATAAGAAAAGCCAGAGACACTAGGGGCAAGTGGGGTCATCTCAGGCCTCAGAGTGGCCCCGAGCTTAGCAGGAGGGCAGGAAGGTGGGGGAGGGATGGACTGCTGGTGTTTGAATCCTGTAATCCTCAGATATTCCCCCATTATCACAAAGCCGTGATCCCAGTGGACCATTTTAGGACCAAGACACTCCTTTAATGAAAACTCTTAAAAAGCAGAGACAGATCAATAAAACCCTTCTGGGTTATGGTCCGTTCACTTGGAGCCAAATGGTTTGCTCATTAATACCTTTCCCCTGTCAGCCTTATGACCAATTAGCAGCTATTAAGACCGGACTCATCCTGGCATGAAGCTTTTCCCCAGCAGCAGCTGCCACAGCAGTAAGGGCTTTGGGGACATGGAGGAGGAGGAGATGGAGGAGGAGGAGGAGGAAGAGAAGGCAGAGGAGGAGGAGAAGGAGGAGGAGGAAGAGGTGGAGGAGGAATAGGTAGAGGAGGAGGAGGAAGAGGAAGAGGAGAAGGAAGTAGAGGAGGAAGAGAAGGTGGAGGTGGAGGAGGAGGAAGAGGTGGAGCAGGAGGAGGAGAAGGAGGTAGAGGAGGAGGAGAAGGTGGAAGTGGAGGAGGAGGAGGTGGAGGAAGAGGAGGAGGAGGTGGAGGAGGAGGAGAAGGAGGAGGAGAAGGAGGAGGACGAGGAGGAGGAGGAGAAGGAGGAGGAGAAGGAGGAGGACGAGGAGGAGGAGGAGAAGGAGGGAAAGAAGATGGAGGAGGAGAAGGTAGAGGAGGAGATAGATACAGAGATCCAGAGAACTCAGTATCTATGACATCAAAGCCAGGGCTCTTTTTATATCCTTGTGTGGCCTTTGTTCTGAGTTGTTTTCATGGAAAGGACTGGAGAGAGTGAAGGCGATGTTAGTCGAAGGATCAGGGACAGTTTGCCACCCAAAGTGCTTGGTTCCCGGGGGCAGACCCCAAAGTCTGTCCCCTGCCACAGCACCCTGCAATTCTCAGTGGGCTGTGCTCGACACTAGGCATCCCTCCCTGAACCGGTCCCTGCTGTCTTTCCCAGCATCCCAGCAACCCAGAGCTGCATGGAGTCCCTGAGACCCCTGAGACCTCATCTCCCGGGTCAGGATGCCCGTGCTCAGCGTCCTGCTGAGACATCTCACTCCACTCTGAAGAATTTCTAGGGCGTGGTGGCTCACACTTTTAACCCCAACTACTCAAGAGGCTGAGGTGGGAGGGTCGCTTGAGGCAGGAGTTTAGGACCAGCTTGGGCAACATGACATAGACCTCATCTCTACCAAAAAATATATATTAAAAACAAAAAAGAACTTTTGGGAAATCCCGAGACATCCTCTGTACAGTAAGAGAATTCTCTGCTCTGCCCCAAGAAAAGCATGAGCTATTGGGCCTTGGGCAAATTATATGACCTCTTTGAGCCTCAGTTTTCTTATCACTAAAATGGGGTAATAAATCTCTGCCTCATAAGCATGTCCTGGGGACAAAATGAGATCATGTGGGTGAAACATGGGGCCCAGCATGAAGAAGCTTCTTGGCTATGATGCGTTTCTTTTTATGAAGGTGGAAGTCACATAAAATTAACATTTTATACTTTAAAATTCAGCATCATTTAGTACATCCACAATGTTGTGCAGCTATCAAGTCTTTCTAATCCCAAAACATTTTTTCTTTTTTTTTTTTGAGACAGGGTCTCACTCTGTCCATCAGGCTGGAGTGCGGTGGTGTGATCTCGGCTCACTGCAGCATTGCAAGCTTCACCTCCCAGGTTCAAGGAATTCTCTCATCTCAGCCTCCCAAGTAGCTGGGAAAACAGGTGCGCCACCATGCCCACCTAATTTTTTTTTTTTTTTTTTTTTTTTTTTGAGATGGAGCCTCCCTCTGTTGCCCAGGCTGGAGTGCAGTGGGTGGCATGATCCCGGCTCATTGCAGCCTCTCTCTCCTGGGTTCAAGCAATTCTTCTCCCTCAGCCTCCTGAGTAGCTGGGACTCCCACCATGTCTGGCTAATTTTTGTATTTTTAGTAGAGACAGGGTGTCACCCTATTGGCCAGGCTGATCTCGAATTCCTGACCTCATGATCCACTTGCTTCGGCCTCCCAAAGTGCTGGGATTATAGACATGAGCCACCGTGCCTGGCCAATTTTTGTATTTTTAGTAGAGATGGGATTTTGCCATGTTGGCCAGGCTGGTCTCCAACTCCTTAGCTGAAGGGATCCTCTGGCCTCAGCCTCGCAAAGTGCTGGGATTACAGGAGTGAGCCACTGTGTCCGGCCCCAAAACATTTTTATCACTCCTAAAAGGGAACCTCATATCCGTTGAGCAGTCACTCCCCAGCACCCCACTTGCCCACTCCAACCCCTGGCAATCACTAATCTGCTTCTGTCCCTGTAGATTCACCTATTCTGGATATTTCAGATAAACAGAAGTATGCAATCTGTGCCCTTTTGTGTCTGACTTCTTTCATTTAGCATAACGTTTTCGAGATTCATCCATGTTGTAGCATGTATCAGAACTTCATTCCTTTATATGGTGAATAAAATCCTGGTCTATGGCTGTATTTCATTTTTAAATCTATTCATCCATTGATGGACATTGGGGTTGTTCCCACCCTTTGGCTATTGTGAATAGTTCAATTTTCGTTTTTGTTTTTTGTTTTTTGAGTCAGGGTCTCACTCTGTCACTCGGGCTGGAGTGCAGTGGCACCTTCATAGCTCACTGCAGCCTCGAATTCCTGGGCTCAAGTGATCCTCCCACCTCAGCCTCCTACGTAACCAGGACTATAGGCGTGTGCCAACATGCCCTGCTGTTTTTTAAATTTTGTAGAGATAAGGTCTCACTGTGCTGCCCTGGCTGATCTCGAACTCCTGTATTGTGAATATCTCTCTTGGGAACATGCACGCATGTGGACTTGTTTAAGTGTCTGTTTTCAATTCTTTTGGGTCTCTCCCTAGGAGTGGAATTGCTGGTTGATATGTGGTGTTAATAATTCTATGTTTAACATGTTGAGAACCCACCAAATCTTTCCAAAGGGGCTGCAGCATTTTGCATTGTTACTAGCAGTGTAGGAGGGTTCCAATTTCTCCATATCCTCACAACACTTATTTTTCGTTTTTTGTTTATCATCATCGAAGCAGGTAGGAATCGGTATCTTATGGTTCATTTTTAAGCAGTGGCATGAAGGGAGATGGTTTTGGGGACCTGGGTAGTCCACAGTCCTGAGAAATGGCCCTGTCTTGCTGGTTAGCCATAGGCAGGGCTGCCTGCCCCCAGATGTGACCTGGATATCCTCTCCACTGCACCCCAAACTCTGGAAGGCAGGCATGCCTCTCCTCAGCCCCACTCCCTCTTTTCTCCATCAGAGCTGGGACCTCTGAGGGCAGCAGGGGACCACCCTCCCATCCTAGTCTGCCTTCCCTTATTCCTGAGCTGGAGAAAAGGCCAACTTTCAAAGCACTTCTACGAGGGAGGCCAGGACTGTCTCCTTTTGGTTTTGCATTTCCTCCACTGTGTTGCTGTCCCTAAGACGGTATGTGGCCTGGAAGGCCAGGCCAGGCTGGAGCTACTGGGAGTTTGGATATAAAGCTCTTGGGTCTCCTCTCAGTAGCTGCTGAGTTCCTGCCTTGGGGAGTAAGGAGACCCAAGACATGCTCACCTAGCAAGGGACCTGACCTTCTCTCAGGCCAGCTCCTCCTTCCTCAGCCTTCCTACAGAGCAGCAGGGCAGGGCCCCCTCCTCAGCTCTCCCAGCCCACTGGGTTATTCTGCCTCAGGATCAAGCCCAGCCCCACCACTAAGGCAGGTCTGGGTCCAATCCCAGCTTAGGTCCATGTGTTGCTTCCCTGTCTATGAGAAGACAAACCCTCTGCTCCCATCACTGGATCCATCCTGTGCTGAGTGGAGGTTGGTTTTGGATTTGAGGGCCCTAAGCCCTCTCCTAATCCCTAGGTGCTGCTGCCACACCCTATGTGACCCAGAAGACCAGGCTTAATTAAGGAGACTCAGCAGTACCCCACCGACCTACCCTGGCTCTGGGAAGTGGTGGCCCCCGTGTGTGGGGCTGGTGCACTTTTAGCAAATGGGCCAGGCCTGTGGAGCCATAGACTGTGTCTCTGACCTTGTGGGTTCTTCGGACAAGGCAAAGGCCATCAAATCTGGGTTTTCTGTAACTCTCTGGCCTCCACTAGCTCCTGGCAGTTCCCTTTCACTGGGACACACCCCACTGCCACTCCCCCTAAGCCTCAGGACCAGCATTCAGAGATCCTCCCCAATTCAGCTCCTCCTTTTACTTTGTTGATTAATTACTCTTTCCACCCCAGCCCTTTCTTACCCCACCCAGGGCTCTGACGCCTAGATCCCAGTTGGGGGTGAGATGGGTGCGGGGGGGGGACAGCTAGGGGAGGAGCCAGGCATATCGACCTTGTTTTCCAATAGGCATCCAAGAGAGTCCTGAGCTCTTTCGCCCTTCTTGTCTCGTGGGTAGGATCTATCAGAATGTGATCCTCACCTGTTGAGGTCACAGACTTCAGCTGAGTGATGCCTTTGACGCGTCCAAATTTCCTTCTTTAAAAGCAACAACTCCCTCCCCACGCCCCAGCAATTTTATCAGCTTCAAAGATTTTTTTTTTTTGGTCATCGCCATGGCAGTACCTTCTAGGTAGTAGACAAGGAAAAACAACCAAATATTCAAAGAGAAAAAGACCTATAATCCTTTCACCCAGAGTTAACCATTTTTACACAACAATAACAGTAACTACAACAACAAAATCACCATTTATTGAACATTTATTGTGTGCTGGGATGATACTAAGTACGTTACACAGGGAATTTTCTTTAATCTTTGCAACAGCCTCGTGAAGTAGGTATTTTCTGCATTTTAGAGATGAAAAAGCTGAAGCATAGAGAGGTTGTGTAACTTGTACACGGTCACAGGGCTGGGGAGATTCAAACCCCAAACCCATCTGTCTGTCTGCAGATCACACACACTACCTCCGTAGCACTATTCCAGTAAATATATTTATATAAAGTCTTTTAATGGAATTAATTCTAGTTATTGCTTTGTAACCTGCTTTTTCTCCCTCATTTAACAGCAGACGGTTAACATGTTCCCCATGTTACTGTGTATTCTCCTGCAATATTATTTTAAATCGTTGCCTAGTAGCTCCCTGTCTCCATGCTCCAAAGTTTGTTTAACTAATTCCCTATTGTTGAATAGGTAGGTTGTTTCTAAAGTTTTTGTTATTATAAACAACACTGCCAAACAGACCAATGCTTTTTTTTTTTTTGCCCACAGTTCACAGTAATTTCCTTGGGGGTAAGTTCCCAGAAGGAAGGGATGGGAGGGTGGAGGCCCATGCCCTTTGTTTTTCAAATGTCTGTAACATCTTTGGATCAATTACCTGTAATTTGTGAATACAAGTTGTGCCATTAACAGAGGGAAGGTTGACACCTTACCTAACTTGTTGGGCTTTGCACAACCTAGAATTACATGAGTTGTAAACAAGGCTTCTAATAGCCCTGGATTATCTGTGGCTATTGTCAGGTCATGTAAAGGTGGTAATTTATTAAACAGATTTTTAAAATGTATCTAAGTACACCTGGGAGGAGTGGAGCATGGGCGGGGCTCCTGGGGGAGGAGATGGGGTGTGGTGCTCCGGGGCTGGGGGCACCTGGTGGTTATTGGTTCTGGGAGCCCTCGTACCTGACAAGGGGTTGGCTCAGAGACTCCGCTCCCCACCATCCCACAGCCCCTCTGCCTAGTGTCAAGGTGCCCAGGAGTGGGCAGCCCTAGGGGTGAGGGGAGAGAAATATGGGACGATAGAGGTGGAGGCTGCACAGGCACGAACAGGTGACAAGTCATGCCCTGTTCCTACAAGGCCGTGGGTGCTGTTTCAACTGCCAAGAAATACCAGCTGGTGATGGCGAAATATCCCAGAAGAATTTCTTCAGGGAAGTTATTTAGCAGTGAAAACTGCCTCTCATTCCATGAACGCTGTGAGGAAGGAGGATCTCTGTGTGTGTGGGTCGCCCAGCCTCCTGCCAGTCCCAGGCAGCCCTCAGCCATCTGGTCACATTCTTCGGACATCACTTGCTGGACCACATTATGTGGTGACTTCCAGGCCACCTAGAGGGGTCATGGGGTGGGGCTTCATAGGCACATGCGCCAGCCCGGCCGAGGCAGAACCAGCTGGGACTTTAAGCCGATGAGCTGTTCGATGAGGTATATGGCCTGGTTTCCTGTGCAGGCAGGGTGGATGCAGTCCAGAAGCCAGTCCCTTACGGGCAGGGACTGTCACCCCTTCCAGTGGGGCGACACACTCTGAGCTCTGGAGGAGCCTTCCTTAGGCAGAGGTCAGTGTGGTGGGTGCCAACCTGCTGCCTTCTGGGTGTGAAAACTGAACAAACAGAAGCCTGTGGGCAGGTAGTGTTGTGGGAAGGAAGTCCCCTTAAATAACTCACCATTCTCCAGGGGCACCAGGTTTCTGCGTGTTTCCTGGCCACATACCTTTTCCTTACCCACCATTCCCCCTCTCCCCTTAGTAATTTTTCAAGAGTCAGTGTAGCATCATGTCTCAGATGCCATTTATTGAGAACTTACTGTGTGTCAGGCACAGCTGTAAGCACGCTTCATGCATTTTTTAAAATTTTCCCAATAGTTTTACAATGATATCATCTCTGTCTCACAGATGGGTAAACCCAGGCTAGTCATTTGCCCCAAGACACCCAACCAGTTAAGTTGCTGTTCACCCCAAGGTTTGTGTAACCCCAGAGTTCAGTTTCTTGACAGCAACAGTCCCGTACTCCTCGCTGAAGCTTTTCCTCACTCCTAGCATGTAGCTATGTCCCTTGTAAACGCAGAGCCTCCTTCTGGGGCCTTCACCACTGTCGTCTACCACATCGACCTTCCAGGTTCGAGTGATCTTCCTGCCTCAGCCTCTCGGGTAGCTAGGAGTACAGGTGTGCATCACCACACCCAGCTAATTTCTCATATTATTATTTACTTGTTCTTTTGTTTAAGTGTCTGTTTATTTGTTATGCTGGTTAGGAAACTCCCTGGTGTCAGGGATTGTTTGTGACCCATATTCATAGCCCAGTGTCTGGCTTAGGACTGGCATATAGTAGGTGCTTAATAAATGTTTGAAGAATGAATGCATCTTAAATTGTAATAACTCAGCTGGATGCCTGGGTATCTGTAGGTTTTATCTTCTAGAGACTTACTATGGAACATCCGGAGAATAGAGCAAATCCACAAGACAGACAGAGTCTCAGAAGGGCCCAAGTCAACACCAAGGTTTTGTTTTTGTTTTGTTTTGTTTTTACATTTTTCCTCTTGACATTCCTTCTTTTGATTTTCATGGCATTCTGGAACATTCATAGGCTTCCCGTTTGTGATATCTCTTGATCTTCACACTTACCCTGTGAGGTGAATAAATCAGGTGTACAAAGAGCCTGTCTCATAGATGGGACCCCTTGATGCTGGGAGATTCATTTCCGAAGCCAGCGTCTCACAGGAACTCACGTGGAATAAGAGAGGATTCTGGGCTACCTGATCCCCCAGCCAGGACCCTTTCCCTGGGTGCTGGAGATGCCAGGTGTCAATTAGGTTTCTTTTCTTTTTTTTTTTTTTTTTTTTTTGAGACAGAGTCTCAGTGTTACCCTGCTGGAGTTCAGTGGCTCGATTTTAGCTCATTGCTACCTCCACCTCCTGGGTTCAAGCAATTCTCCTGCCTCAGCCTCCTGAGTATCTGGGATTACAGGTGCCCACCATAACACCCAGCTAATTTTTGTATTTTCAGTAGAGACAGGTTTTGGCATGTTGACCACGCTGGTCTCAAACTCCTGACCCCAAATGTTCCACCTGCCTGGGCCTCCCAAAGTGCTGGGATTAGAGGTGTGAGCCACCACACCCGGTGTGATCAGGTTTCTTTACGGAGGCTCTGTGGTGACCTGGGGAAAATGGCAGGGTCCAAGGCCAACTACACATCTCTACATGGGGCTGGTGCCCTTTGCTTTTATGGTGCATCCTTTCCCCGATTTGATTGAGTCCCATTTGGGAACAACAGTCTTTGTGCTTAGGGTCCTTCATGGGTCGCTGTCAATTATTCTTGACAGTATCACTTACCAGGTTCAAAGACAGCTCATGTCAATATGGCATTCACCTGCCTTAAGCCTGGGTGCCCTCTCCACCCCCCAACCTTTGCCACAACATCAGATTTTCACAGCCTTGAAAGGATAGGAAGATTCTCACACAAGCCTGAGGGCTGAGCAGTGAAGGGCAGTGGCGCGTTGAAGAGGGAATGAGCAGAGCCACTGTAGCGGAGTACAAAGTCCTTAACCTTGGGAATGTGGGACTGGGCTTTTTTTCTAGCTCCCAGGAGAGCTAGAGAATAAAAAACGAAGATGATGCATCTATCAGGAAGGGACAAAATGATATTTAAAAGCGTTAGTGACGTCCACGGAGGACGGGTCTTGTTAACTGGCTTCCTAGAAAAGTGACCGGCTGAGGACTCCCTGGTGTTTCCATCCCAGCTTTTCTGCATGAAAGAAAATTCCACCTGGTCGCTTCTCTAACGACAGCATGATTCGCTAGAATAATTTTTAAAAGAAAAGGGAAAGGAACTGACGCTCGACCCCTTGGTGACTCTTACACGCAGGTGTGATGGCTCTGATGGGGGCAAGGGTCATGACAAAAGTCACCTCCACTGGCCCTGGTGGCTGCTCCGGGCTCTTCTTCTCTCCCCCCTGGGATCACACAGTCAGGCAAAGCTGGTCAGTGACAGGATGCTGCGGAGGCCTCTGCTCCAGTGTCCTTCCCAAGGACATGCCCACTGTCCAACATGGCTCCCTTGTCAGGCAATGAATTCAGGGCAGAGGAAAGTGGAAGGGAAGGTGTTGGTTGCCAGCGGCCAGTCCTCGGCGGGGTGGGCCCTCCCCAGCCCTGGCTGTCAGGGCCTGCAGGAGGCAGGCAGGGCTTTAGCATGCAGCACCAGCCTTCCCAAGGAGTTCGGAGTCGGCTGATGTCAGGAGAGACAGGAAGAAAAGAAGTCAGTCACTGTCCCTCCAGCTAAATGCTTGTTTCCTTATTGCAGTCAGAGCTGGGGAGGGTTTTTTTATTTTTATTTTTAAATTTTTTTGAGATATAGTTTACATGCTGTAAGATTTATTTATTTATTTATTTTGAGACAGGGTCTCCCTCTGTCGCCCAGGCTGGAGTGCAATGGCACGATCTCAGCTCACTGCAACCTCGGCCTCCCGGGTTCAAGTGATTCTCCTGCCTCAGCCTCCCGAGCAGCTGGGATTGCAGGCTCCCGTTGTCATGCCTGCCTAATTTTTGTATTTTTAGTAGAGATGGGGTTTCACCATGTTGGCCAGGCTGGTCTCGAACTCCTGACCTCAGATGATCCACTCACCTCGGTCCCCTAAAGTGTTGGGATTACAGGTGTGAGCCACCGCGCCCGGCCAGATCTACTCCTTTAAAGCATTTATGGTTTTTAGGAAAGTTGCAATGTTATGCAACCATCACTACTGCCAAATTCCATTACTCCAAAAAGAATTTTCATTACCCCCAGAAGAAATCCCATATCCATCAGTGGTTACTCCATACTCCCCTATCCCCTCCGCCTCTGATAACCATGAATCTGCTTTCTGTCTCTGTGGATTTGTCTGCTCTGGACATTTCATTTAAGTGGAATCATACTCTATGTGGTCTTTTGTGACGGGCTTCTTTCACTGAGCATGATGTTCTCAGGGTTCATCTGTGTTGTTGCATGCAGCAGTACTACATTCCTGTCTGTGGCTGAATCATATTCCATGTCTGGATAGAACTCCTTGTGTTTCTCCCTTCATCAGCCCATAGACATTTGGATTGTTTCCACTTTCTAGCTATGATGAACAACGTTGCTGTTAGCATCTATATACAAGTTTTTGTGTGAACATATGTTTTCCATTCTCTCAGGTAGATACCTGAGAATGGAACTGCTGGGTCCTATGGTAACTCTATGTTTAACCTCTTGAATAACTTCCATAACTTCCAGACCGTTTTCAAAGCAATTGCACCACTTTGCATTCTCGTGCTAGCAATGTACGATGGTTCTAGTTTCTCCACATCCTCGCCAACATTTGGTATTGTCTGTTGTTTTGATTATAGGCATCCTAGTGGGAGTGAAGCGGGGGACTGGAAATAGACACAGGGCAATTAGGATGACCTGAGTGTGGATTGCGGGGAGGAACTGGGGTGTTGGGAAAGTCCCAAGTAACATCCCTGTGAGATTTGGGGACACATCTCATGCAAGGTGAGGAGAGTTTGGCAGTCTCATGAAGGCTTGTAGCCCCAGCACCTAGCATGAAGCCTACACTAGTAAGCACTCCACTGTATGGTGAGTGAATGATTGACTGAGTTATCACATTAAAGTCCCAGTCACTGGGGACCTGGTGAGCATGAAGGGAGTAGGAGATGGGCCAGGCCACTCTCTTGTATATTCCAGGAAAGAAGTACCCTCTTTGTGTCACATCCTTAGTCTTTTTGTGGTTGGGATGGATGCAGCTAGTTCATTCGTTCTTTTTCTTTCTCTTTCTTTCTTTCTCTTTCTCTTTCTTTCTTTCTTTCTTTCTTTCTCTTTCTCTCTCTCTTTCTTTCTTTCTTTCTCTCTCTCTTTCTTTCTCTCTCTCTTTCTCTCTCTCTTTCTTTCTTTCTTTCTTTCTTTCTCTTTTTCTTTCCTTCCTTCTTTCTTTTCTTTCTTTCTTTCTTTCTTTCTTTCTTTCTTTCTTTCTTTCTTTCTTTCTTTCTTTCTTTCTTTCCTTTCTTTCTTCTCCTTCCTTCCTTCCTTCCTTCCTCTCTTTCTCTCGTTCTTTTTTTTTTTTTTGACAGAGTCTCACTCTGTTGTACAGGTGGGGTGCAGTGGCGCCATCTCAGCTCACTGCAAACTCCACCTCCTGGGTTCAAGCAATTCCCCTGCCTCAGCCTCCCGAGTAGCTGGGATTACAGGCATGTGCCACCACACCCAGCTAATTTTTGTATTTTTAGTAGAGACAGGGTTTCACCATATTGGCCAGGCTGGTCTTGAACTTCTGACTTCAGGTGATCCACCCGCCTCCACCTCCCAAAGTGCTAGGATTACAGGCATGAGCCGCCACTCCTGGCCTCCCCTCTTTCTTATAAATGAGGGAAAGAGGCTGGTGAGAAGTGCGGAGTGGGAAGGGCCGGAGCTTGCAGTGCAGAAGCAGCAGGCTGTGAATTGTGGCTAAAACAACCCTGAGCATGACAGCTCCACCAAGGCCTCAGTTGTCTTCTTCAGATCTCTCTCTGCAGACTGCTGTGACCGTTGCTTTCTGCAGCCGGGGAGAGGGCAGCTAGTCTCCTGCTGCACATCCTCCAGGGATGAACTAGCTGGCTCTTCCTGGTATGGCTATGTGGGTGCAGGGGAGACACCAAGCTGGAAGCCTGAGGGCTCTGTGTCTTCTGGAAGCTCATCACTGAGGAGAGAGCGTGTGCTGGAAAAGCCACCCTCTGTGTGAATGGCAGGACATTTAGCTTAGCTTAATCATAAACACACTTCCAGTTACTGAGTATTTTATATGTGCTAGATTCTGCCCAGAGTGCAGAGTGCTTTTTTATTGCTTTGTGAGACAAGGACTCTGTCACTCAGGCTGGAGTGCAGTGGTGTGATCATGACTCACTGCAGCCTCTACCTCCAGGGCTCAAGTAATCCTCCCACCTCAGCCTGTTGAGTAGCTGGGGCTACAGGTGAGCACCACCATGTGTGACTAATATTCAATTTTTTTTGTAGAGATGGGGCCTTGCTATGCTTTCCATCCTGGCCTCAAACTCCTGGGCTAAAGCAGTCCTCTTGCCTTGGCCTCCTAAAGTGTTGGGATTGCAGGCATGAACCACCACACCTGGCCCCAGAGTGCTTTATATAATTTGGCAACTGCTGTTGGTTGTCTCCCTGGAAGTCATTTTCCTACTTATTCCTCTTAATAGAAGGCCAGAGCATAAAGTATAATTGGCTTGTCTTCCTAGCATCCCTTGCAGCTAGGGGTGGTGGTCAAGTGATCTGGTTCTGGCCAATGAAATATAGGGAGAAATGTGCTGGGTGCTCTTTTAACCCGTTTTCCATTTTCCCTGAGAATACTGCACTGGCAATGAGCTGCACTTTTTTTTTTCCCTAAACAGGAAAGGGGTTTTAAAAATGAGAGAGATGTGGCAATGAAAGGCTCTATACAAAGGGTTCTGCACTTAGGGTTGCCACAGCCACCTTGCAAGCCTAAAGGAAAAGCCACGTTGATGGCAGAGCCACTGAGCTAACCCTGGTACTACCTGCCCCTGACATCTTGTTATTTCAGAAAAATAAATCTCTCTGTGTTTAAGTTGCAGTAAATGGAATTTTCTCTTCTTTACAGCCCCAAATCATAATCGACACGTGTATTTTCTTTTTCTTTTTTTTCCTGTTGAGACAGAGTCTCGCTCTGTCATCCAGGCTGTAATGCAGTGGCGTGACCTTGGCTCACTGCAACCTCTGCCGCTTGGGTTCAAGCGATTCTCCTGCTTCAGTCTCCCAAGTACCTGGAATTACAGATGTCTGCCACCATACCCAGCTAAGTTTTGTATTTTTAGTAGAGACAGGGTTTCATCATGTTGGCCAGGCTGGTCTCAAACTCCTCACCTCCAGTGGTCCACCTGCCTCGGCTTCCCAAAGTGCTGGGATTACAGATGTGAGCCACCGCACCTGGCTGACACGTGTATTTTCTGATTAATTCTTATTATTGCTGTGGGGGGAGGTATACTTATTTCCATGTTAGATGAGATAATTGATGTTCAGAGAAGGTAAGGTACTTGTCCTAAGTCACACAGCTAGAATAACTTGATGTGTCAGAATATGAACTCAGGTCTGTCTGTCTCCAAAGCCCTTGTTATTTTCATTGTTCCAAGCCTCTGCCCACTCTGGCTTCAGAGTGGAAAAATATGTGACCTACAGCCAGACAGAGGTTTTTACAGAAAGGAAAAACATGTCTTGACTTTTTTAACCCCAATACGTGCCCTGGGTGTCCCAGGCTCCTGGGTTTTTTTCTTGCCTTGTGGAATCAGTCTCTGGGCCCTTCCACACAGCAGGTGCACAGCGGTCTCTTGGGAAGGGATCTTGTAGGGGAAAACACTCTAGGCTTGGAATGAAAAGTCTGGGGCCTGAATCCCAGCTCTTCCCTATGACTTCATTGGCCCTGTGACCTTGGGTAGATGGCCTAAGGTCTGTGAAACTTGATTCTTCATTTGTAAAATGTATGAGAACTCATTTGGACAGAAAACCCGTGTGACGTATTTTGGATATTTGTCCCCTCCAAATCTCATGTTGAAATGTGATCCCCAGTGTGTTGGAGGCGGGGCCTGGTGGGAGGCGTGTGGGTCATGGGGGCAAGTACCTCATGAATGGCTTGGTGCCTCCCTGCAGTAATGATTCATATGAGATCTGGTTGTTAGAGACTGGAACCTCCTCTTTCTCTGGCTTCCACTCTTGCCATGTGACAGGCCTGCTCCTGCTTCAACTTCCACCATGAATAAAAGCTTCCCAAGGCCTCACCAGAAGCTGAGCAGATGCTGGCACCATGCTTCCTGTACAGCCTGCAGGATTGTGAGCAAGAGAAACCTCTTTTCTTTATAAATTACCCCGTCTCAGATATTCCTTTGTAGCAAGGCAAAAGGGACTAACGCACCATATCAAGCTATCTTGAGCCAAGGAGGGAATGTGTAGGCTTTTATTTACTGAAAAAATTTAAGCAGTGGACCTGGCTTTCCCCTTAGAGGTAGAGGTGTTAGCAGAAAGGGAAAACAGACCCTGCCTTTCCAAATTCCACTGCACAACTTGCTCCCATCTCCCCAGGTGAATAATGTTCCTTCTTCCCCTGCTGGGTAATGTTTAGCCCAGTGGAAAGAGCTTCCTGTCTCCCTGTGGCACTGGCGACAGTTCTACAGTGAATGTCAGTGGCTCTGCCTGGCTTGACTTGTCCACATGCCCTGTCTGGGAGCTGGTTCACCAGAACCTTCTCTGAAAGTGGGGACTGGTTTCCAGTGGAAAAATTGTTGGGGGGTGGGGGAAGTTGTCTTGGTCCATTTTGCTGTGCTATAAAGGCATACTTGAGGCTGGGTAATTTATAAATCAAAGATTTATTTGGCTCACAATTTTACAGGCTGTATGAGAAGCATGGCGTCAGCATCCATTTCTGGTGAGGGCTTCAGGAAGCTTCCAATCATGGTGGAAGGAGAAGGGGGATCAGGCGTGTCATTTGGTGAGAGAGGGAGCAAGAGAGATGCCAGGCTCTTTGTAAACAACCAGCTCTCGTGTGAATGAAGAGAGCAAGAGCTCACTTATTACCTCCAGGCAGGCACCAAACCATTCAAGAAGGATCTGTCCCCATGACCCAAACACCTCCCACCAGGTTCCATCTCCAACACTGGGGATCACATTTCAACATGGGATTTGGAGAGGACAAGTATCCAAACCGTATAAGAGGTCCTATATCCAGAAGTGAGGAACAGATGCTGGGCAGGTCCCCTTCTGCCCCTCAGGAAGCATTCAATAAGACAGCTACCTTCTATGTAGGTGCCGACCACAGTCACTGACCATGATAAACCCTTTGTAAGTGCCAGGAGAACTCTTCCCAGGATGTGATGGTGCTCTCTCCACCAATAGCCCACCAGGGAGGGGAACCAGGCCCATCTCCATGATGCATCCCCTATCCATCACCCCAGCCTTTGTCCCTGCACCCAACATGACGATCACAGTGTGGCTTGAGATGAGACTGTCTAATCCTATTACTCATTCATCAACCAGCGGATGAGAGCAGGCGCTGGATCGAACATTGCTGAGGAAGCTGGGAGATGCCTTCTCCACCGCTGTGAAACTGGGCTTAGCTCAGGCACAATAGGTGTGTAATTTAAGGTTTTGTTGAGGCAGAATCCAATCACATACTTGACTGGTGGATCACAGAGACTCAGAGGCTAAAGGAATGAGATAATTCCACCTCACACAAACACTGGCATTCAGCTTTGACTTAATGACAAATGTGTGACCAACCTTACACTGCTTCATTCTCTCTTTTTTGTTTTAATGCATTTCCACCTCCTTCCTCCCTCTCCTCTCTCCTGTATCCTCCTTGGTACACAGAGACAGAATGAGGCTTGGCAAAGTCCTAGAGCCAGAAAATAAAGGCAGAGAAGCAGGGAGAAGCTTTTTAAATGGCGATCGGCAGGTGGGATTCACCCAGTCCCCACTGCTCTGTGGCTTTCCCGTTTACAGCCCACATTGCAGTTTATATTCATAGCTTATTTAATGTCTGTCCCCACTGGGAAAACAGTGGCTGCATCTTCCCTCGATCCCCAGAGCTGAGCACAAGCACCTAGCACAACCTAGGTGCCCAGCGGATTTTTTGTTGAATGACTGCATGGAGGTGAGAGACAGCTTCCAGGGATGGATTTATTCTAATTCTTAGTGATCTTGGTTCTTCCATTCCAGGAGTGGTTCAGAATGAGGAAAGGCAGCGGGCAAGAGAGATGCATGGTCATATTTATTAGATGTTTTCTTTATTCATTTTTTGTCTGGTGGGGATTATTCAGTGTGGGATGGGGAAGGGTTGTAAGAAGAAATAGAGTATTTAGTTTCTGATCCCTGTTAAGTGGTGCTATAACTGTTTATATAGGCCGGACATGGTGGCTCACCCCTGTAATCCCAGCACTTTGGGAGGCTGAGGCATGTGGATCGCTTGAGGCCGGGAGTTTGAGACCAGCCTGGCCAACATGGTGAAACCCTGTCTCTACTAAAAATACAAAAATTAGCTGGGTGTGGTGGCACACACCTGTGGTTCCAGCTGCTTGGAAGGCTGAGGCAGGAGAATCACTTGAACCTGGGAGGTGGAGGTTGCAGTGAGCCGAGATCGCACCATTGTACTCCAGCCTTGGTGACAGAGCAAGACCCCACCTCAAAACAACACAAAAAAACCCACAAAAAACTCTGTTTATATTATTAGAGAAAACACTATAAATGAGTTCACCCAACTTTGTGAGTTTCTTCAACTTACATTTATTCATTCAACAATCATTATATAATGGCTACCACGTGCCAGGCACTCTGCTAGGAATTGGGTAATGCACTGGTGAAAAAAGGCATTAAATGGAACAGGCAACAAATAGTATGTAATGAGGAATAGTGAAGAGTGCTATTTTAGAAGTGAAAAGGGTGCAGTGGTGTAGAGAATTGCATCGGAAGGCAGTGGTTAGGGAGAAATTCTCTGTGAAAGGGACATTTGAGCTGACACCTGAAAGACGAGAAAGAGACATTTATTTCAAGATTTCAGGGGAGGCCACCAGGAGTCCAAGGCTAGGCCCCAGAGGAGAGACAGCAGGGTAAGCCGGGAGCCCTGGATTCAAGCTCCGGCTTGCTGTTTCTGTGTGCCACATCTCAGGACAGGTCATGCATCCTTCTGAGTCTCTTCTTAACCTCCTCTGCTAACTTCACAAGGTCTCTGTGAGGTTCCGCTATGATCATAGTGTGTCATTTTGTACAATGATAAGCAGAATATAATTGCCAGGAATATTATTAGATTCATGTTTCTTTGTCTGGTGGGCATATTGGGTGTGGGTGTGTAGGAAGGTGTGGTCCCTAGCAATGAAAGTGGTCTGGGACCCATTCTGTGGAATCAGTTTCCATTCAATTTTCTTTCCTGGTACTTCCTTTTATGTCTGCTCTTGGCTGGCATTGTCCATAAAAATGTTTTCCATTGGCAAAGAGCCGAACTGACCTATAAAACCAGAATCCTGGGTAGTAGCCTCTGTAAGTAATTGGAGATGAACGTGACTCTCATCACTCCTGCTCTCACCTCACAGAGGATGGATTTTGTAGCCAACATTAATTGAACATTTACTAAATGCCAGATACTTATATTATTTCATTTTTACTAAAACCCTATTTTAAAGACAAGGAGGCCGGGCACTGTGGCTCACACCTGTAATCTCAGCACTCTGGGAGGCCAAGGCGGGCAGATTACTTGAGGTCAGGTGTTTGAGACCAGCCTGACTAACATGACGAAGCCTCGCCTCTACTAAAAATACAAAAATTAGCTGGGCATGGTGGTGCATGTCTGTAATCCCAGCTACTCAGGAGGCTGACAGGAGAATAGCTTGAACCTGGGAGGTACAGGTTGCTGTGAGCCGAGATCATACCATTGTACTCCAGCCTGGGCAACAAGAGCAAAACTCTGCCTCAAAAAAAAAAATAAATAAATAAAGACAAGGAAACCAAGGCATTTAAAGGTTAAGTGACTTACTCCAGGTTCCTCAATAACACAGTGACAGAGCTGATTTGAATACTTCTACTACTATCATTACTGTTATAAGCACTAATAATAATAGTTTCTATTTATGCAATGTTCACTGAGTGCCATTACTATATTGTTGTTGAGATGTCAGTTATTATTGTAGTTGCTTTTCCTAAGCAGGTGATTTTTTAAAATGTCAAGATGCTTTTAAGATCTTCTCTTTGTCTTTGGTGTTCTTTTAGTAAGGTATGTCTAGATGTCAATGTTTATTTATTTATTCAGCTTGGGGTTCCTGAATCTCAGGACTGCTGACTTTCATCAGTTCTGGAAAATCCTGAGCCATTTTTATTGAATATTGTCCCCCCTCCCCACAGTCTCTTTCTGGAACTCAAATTAAATGTATGTTAGATGTTTTTCCTCTAACCTCCCTGTTTTTTTTAACCTCTCTTCCAAGTTTTTCACCTTTTTCTCACTGTGCTACAGGCTGAGAACAGTAGTCCTCCCTTGTTGGGGACACTAATGGAGGATACATTCTAAGACCCCCAGTGGATACCTGAAGCCACGAACAGTACTAAACTTTATATATACTATGTTTTATAGAGCATATACTGAAACTGTGGAAAGCAAACCCGCAGATAGGGAGGAACTACTCTAATTCCTTTAAACCTGTCATCCAGGGCACTATTTTCCCCTCAACTGTGTCTAATTTATCTAACTCATCCATTTCCTCTTTTAAATTGAAGTGTAAATTATATAGAGAAAAGTGTAAAAATCATAGGTTTACAGCTTGATGAATTTTCACAAAATGAACGTACATACAGGACCCTAACCAAGGTGAACAAACAGAACATGGTCAGCATCTCTGAAATGACACATGCTCCTCCTATCATCATCCACTTTCTCCACAGAAACCACTCTTCTTGCTTCTAACACCATAGATGGTTTTACCTGTTTGCAACTTTACATAAATGGAATAACATGATTGCACTTCTTTGTGTCTGACTTTACTCAATAGTATGTTTTTATTTATTTTTATTTTTTATTTTTTTGAGACAGAGTCTGGCTCTATCACCCAGGCTGAGTTGCAATGGTGCGATCTCTGCTTACTGCATCCTCCACCTTCTGGGTTCAAGTGATTCTCCTGTGTCAGCCTCCTGTGTAGCTGGGATTACAGGGATGCACCACCACACTCAGCTAATTTTTGTATTTTTAGTAGGAACAGGGTTTCACCATGTTGGCCAAGCTGGTCTTGAACTCCTGACCTCAAGTGATGTGCCTGCCTTGGTCTCCCAAAGTACTGGGATTACAGGTGTGTGAGCCACCACACCTGGCCAATAGTATGTTTTTGAGATTCATCAATGTTGTGTATATTATCAACATCTAGGAGTTTCATTTAGTTCTTAAAACATGCGGAACATGCTTGGTTTTGTATTCTGTTTGTGTTTCTTTAAATATCTGCAGACTTTGTAGGTCTTATTCTCATGGTGGTTTGTTCTCTTGTGGTTTTGTGATGTGGGGCTTGTGAAGCCATGTTCTCTGGCCCTTTATCTGCAGAACTTTTTTGAGGTCTAGTTTCTTGGGCATGACTCTAGAGAAAATTTGCATTTGTTCCTGCCAGACTTCCTGATTAGTCACCAGCAAAGAACCAAGTTAAAACAAATAGCTGGCTTAGGGCTTTTGATGCCATATACGTAGGTATGGTAAATGGATTCTTACCCCAAACCCAAGTTAAGCTTGTGAGTAGGAGTTCACAGTGGGGACTGGCAAAAATCCCATGATCTCTCCTATGTGGAATGGTGGCTTTTTGTTTTTGTTCCCTTTATTTTTCTAGTAACATCTTTATTGAGGCATGGGATGATGTTTTACATATTAATTAACTCACTGAGGGGGTCACATTTTTGGCTTTCTGCAGTGGGTCCCAATCTAAACAGCCACCTTGCTTAGGTCCCCAAGCCTTGTCTTCACCCCTCCACACATCAGAGACCCTTACAAACAAAGGCTGAAGTCCACCAGGTGTTAGCAGCTGCTCCCCAAGCAAACACTAGTTCATGCTTACTTACTCGCTTCTTTTGAGAGTACTTTCTCATTGTTTCTGGCCTCCAAGGGTTGCACTTGATTTTCCTACCAGCTCACCCATGCATTTTTTAAAATCTTTCTTAAAAGTATTGTATCCAACATGCTTGTGTATGTATGTCTATTATGTAGCAGGAAGGTTTTCCCCGAACATCTATTCTGCTATCATGCTGGACCAGGTAAACAAGCTCTTTATATGCAATATCTCATTTAATCCTGGAAACAAACCCTCAAGGTTAGTAATCAGGAATATCCCCATTTTACAGATGAGGAAACTGAGACTCTGAGAGGATGAGCAACACATCCAGAGTTGCCCAACTGGTACATGGCAGAAGCAGATTTAGATCCAGGTCTTATGGCCCTGGTGCCTATGTCACTTGCTGAAGTCAGTGTCCAGGATGGCTTGGGTTTCACTCCAGGTCTCTGGGCCAATAGAGCAATCACATTATTGAGAGGACCTGGTCAGTTGGCAAGGCTGCCTGCAGGACAAAGCAATGGCCAAGCTTTGGAGCTAGGATCCAGGCTGGACATAGGATGAGGCCATCACACTGGCTTCTTTGGGAGGTAGAGATGGCCACATGGAAAAGTGTCATTTGCTGAATTGAGCATCTTCAGATATCACAGATGTACCAGTTCAAACGCAGGGAACATCCCAGGGGAAGAAATGTGGGTGGATGGAACATTTCAGGTCATTAGGCTATTACAAAGGGAAGTTCTTTAAGTGTAGCTTCATAACTAGGCTTCCTGAGTCACCCAGGGAATGCTCCCATGGTATGCCTCCCCTCCTTTGGGTATTCTGATCCCTCTATTTTTCTCCCAGCCCCACTCCCCAACCTAGTTTGGTCTGGTGGGCTCCATGGTGCAGTCCCCTCTAGCCTTTTCCTGGTTGGGATCTGGACTCCTGGGTTCCAGAGCTGGGTGAACAGGAACTGGGGATGGGGATCTGGAGTGCCTTCATCTCTGCTGCGTTGTCCCACTTGCTGGGGAAGAGTGTGCCAGGCTCCTAGTTCTGAGCCACTGCCTTTTCATCCAATGCGTGGTTGGAAAAGAGGTTCAAAGAGTTGGAAGCATAGAAACTAACCCCTGTTGAGCATTTGCTGTGTGTCAAGCACTTGTTTCATGGTAATGAGACAGGAGTTATTTTATTTTGATAATTTTTTTATTCTTATTTTTCTTTTTTTGAATGCCATTAGAGTTCATTTTCATCTTCCATCATTTTTCATTGCATTGTGTTTGGAGAGTGCGACACGGGACAGGCGGTGGAGCCCACCAGGTCAGAGCCCGAGCTCAAGTCCCAGCTTTTCCACCTTCTACCTGTGTGACTGTGAGTCTCCCTGAGTCTCAGCTTCTCCACCTGCAAAATGGGGATACAAAGAATAGCGGCTTCAGAGAGCTTCCTGGAGTGCAGGAGCCATTGTTGGGGTGCTGACTATAACCCCTGGCCCACTGGAGAGGTCCCCTGTTGTCAGTTTCCTTACTTGCCAATGGCTTTGCATCTCAGGCTCTGCCTGAGAATGTTCTTGAGAACTGCAAGAGGAACAGTTTGGAAAGTTAAAGTTTCAGGAAAGACCCTCACCCAGAGAGGGCTGGGAGATGGTGGGTAAATGCCCCAGCTTCTTTGCCCCTGGTGGGACCATTCTGTGTTGTCTTCTGCAGCCTCTCAGAGGGTTGCCAGCAAGATCAAGCCCAGCTGTCCATCCTGGGAAACTGCTCCTTAATGCATCCTTCAAAGACGTTCTTTCCTCCTTGTCTCACTTCCTTGCTGTCTCACTGTGCTTCCCGAGGTCACCTTCCAAATCAACATGTGCACCTGGATTCTTGTCTTAGTCTGAACTGTTGGGGGGTAGGCCCAACCTAGGAGGGGAGGGGAAATAAGCTATGATGAGCCCTGTGCCTGGCATGCGTCCACCTCAATATCTGCCCTGTTTGGTTTGCTTCCCATTGTACATAGCCTTGGGGATGCTCCAAGCCCCATTCTGAGATGTTATTTTGTTGCTCAGGGATAACAGGACCCTGGGCTCATTGAGGTAAAAGATGTAGTATTGGAATCACACTGCTTGTTGTGTTTAAATAGCAGAATCCTTGTCTGGCGACATCAGCCCATGTGCCATCATGAAGCTGCCAGCTGGGTGGCAGTGCCTTCTTGACCTGCAGATCTTGCTCTGTGAAATGGCAATGAATTTTAACATTTTCTTCTGCTAAAACACTGAAACTTGCAGCCAGTGTGCTGGTGTCCCCAGATGGCAGGCTTTGGATGGCCTGAGTGGGTGGGAGCGCTTTTCCTCCCATCCACGCAGACATCTAACCCAAGCAGGGGCTCTATGACCTGCCCCTGAAATGGACGGAGGTGGGCCCAGCACAGCCAGACGTAGTCAGGACTTAGGCCATTGGTCTTCGGCTGAGCGGTAGCGGCCGGTTCTCCATGACTGGGACTTGGTACAATGCTGGCTTGTCCTCTTCTCTGTGATTTGCCACCACCTACTCTTTGTCACACTCTGCACACCACACTAAGCGCTCTGCAATCCACAACAACCTTGCCACGTGGGTATTCTTACTTCTCCCATTTTACAGATGAGAAAACGGAGGTTCTGGGCGGGAAAGTGACTTGCCCCGGCCGGGCGCGGTGGTTCACACCTGTAATCCCAGCACTTTGGGAGGCCGAGTTGGGAGGATCATGAGGTCAGGAGATCAAGACCATCCTGGCTAACATGGTGAAACCCTGTCTCTACTAAAAAAAACAAAAAATTAGCCAGGCGTTGTGGCGGGCGCCTGTAGTCCCAGCTACTCTGGAGGCTGAGGCAGGAGAATGGCGTGAACCCGGGAGGTGGAGCTTGCAGTGAGCCGAGATCGGGCCACTGCACTCCAGCCTGGGCGACAGAGTGAGACTCCACCTCAAAAAAAAAAAAAAAAAAAAAAAAAAAAAGAAAGTGACTTGCTCCAGTGGACTTTGATGGTAAGGGGAAGGCTGACTCGAAGCCAGGGTGGCTCTGAGGCAAGGAAGGAGATGGGAGTCTCGGGCAGAGCTCTGAGGACAGTGGTGTTGCTCAGGGAGCTTCCTGGTGGAAGTCCTTCTCCTTCCAGTTCCCTTGGAGAGAAGCAGCAGGACTCTTGGGAGCTTGACTTTTTGGGCAGTGGCTGAGTGGGCTTCTGGGGGAATAGTGAGGCTGGGGAGCCAACACAGCGGGGCGTCGTGTCCCCTTCCTTCCCGTGTGGGTAGTTCCTTCAAAACTGGCAGAGGGGAGAGGAAAGGTAGCCTTCGAAGAGGCCTCCAGGCACGCAGGAATCTGTTCCCAGCTGTGCGAGGCTGTGTGAGAGCCTGGGATTTACTGTACTCCAAGCAGTAGCATTCCAAATCTAAAAGGCATTGGGCACACCCCTGCCTCCTCCCATGCTGGGGTCATGGGGCCAATCTGTGGAACAGAGAATCACCTGGGGCTGGATTGCACCAGAATCCGCCTCTTGCGGGACAGGCCTCGCAATGATGTTGAAATTGAGTGGCAATTGGTGAAAGTGAACAGAGGAACGCTGAAGTCCTTCCTCTGGAATAGGAACTACATCAGCGATGTGACATTTCACTGACATATCATCATCATCACCATCATTATCACTGTTGTCATCATTGTCATCATTAACATCCTCATGCTAACTTTCTCTGAGCAGTTACCATGTACCAGATGCTACTCTAGTCCTTAGTTTGTATCGTCCAATTTTAAAGCTCATAGCCTCCTTGAGGTTGGATCAGGCTGCTAGCCACACAGCATCTAAGTGTGAATGAGATGTGGCCAAGTGATACGGACTGGATCTCAGCCCCCACTGGCCTTGATTGAGCACCTTTGGGCAGCCCACAGACCACACAACTATCGTGACCCTGTATAACAACAAACATGGTACCCATTGTTCAGATGAAGAAACTAAGGCCAAGGAGTACTTGCCTGAGGTCACACAGCCAATAGGTGGCTGAGTCAGGACTCGAATCAAGACCTGTCCAAGTCCAAAGCTGCTGGAATTCACAATGACACCACATTTTATAATCGCACCATTTTATAAACACACTTGGGTGTGCTGGGAGGGGGGGTAGGGGAAGGGGGGGGTCCATCTATAAAGATGCCTTTCATTAAAACCTTGTAATTACCAGACTTGTGTAAAAAGAA
The DNA here is from genome assembly GCF_000001405.40 of Homo sapiens. NCBI lineage: Eukaryota > Metazoa > Chordata > Mammalia > Primates > Hominidae > Homo > Homo sapiens. The sequence goes on from NC_000016.10 coordinate 54,360,036, forward strand.
GATAATTTGCTATAGTTTTAAAGTCATCACTGGAGGGGAAAAAAACCCCACAACAACATGTAAATAGTATTAGCTGCTCTCCAACTTTGTTGAATTTAGCTGATGTTTTTGGTGTTGACTTTCCCAGCTATCAGCTTAACTATATAAATCCAGTTGACGTGTCTTTATTCAGATAAAACTCTAATACTGCAAGTGTAGCAAATTAGATGCAAATGCCCCTTTTTTATTTTAAGTATACTTAAAGCTGCCTTTCCAATGCAAATTTTATAGGAAATCTCAACCAGCTAGGACAGACGTCCTAGCTGTCAGCAGGCAAATGCTTTCATTTTGGTCTCAGGCAAGGGAGCTGCCTGCTTTTTTTCTTTTTGCCCCTGCAGACTGAGATAATTAAAACTACAGAGAAATAGTTTTAAATATACATGATGCACACAGTTCCTTAAATTATGGGATAATGCATAAATTCACCCATTACCATATTTGATAGCGGCCTCGCTGACCAAAGCTGGGAGGTGGGGGCAGCGGGTGAAGCAATTTTCTCCAACGACTTGCTTCCCTTGTCAACAACCTCGCAGCTCCTATCATTTCACCTGGTGTCCTAAGGAGCCCTGGTAAAGGTTCAAAGAGACGTTGTGAACACGCTCATTAAAAAGGGATTGCTATGTGTTTTTTTTTTTTAAGAAATAAAAACGTTAATGGCAACTTTTTTTTTTTTTCTTTTTCCCCCAGCAGTTCTCAGTCTCCTTGGAATACATATCCATTTCGGCTTTGATTTGTTGAGCTCCCTGAATGAGTTTATCCAAACAATGTGAATTTACTCAGATCTCTCTCAAATCCCACATCTCTTGTGGTTGATAAAGCTGACTTTAGCTAAGAAGGGCTGGATCAGTGTGATTTGAAATTCACATTGAAAATGATAAGGGCTTTGCTGGAAATAATAAGCACAGTCAAACGCTGTCAGGAGGAAACAGTTGAGCATGCGGGGAGAAATTTGGTAAGGCCCTGCCCTGCCCCCCTTCCCTTTCTAGAATCAAGGTAGAGAAACGGGGGGAAAGGTGACTGGGGCTCTGCTTAGACAGACACTTAAGCTTTGCAGATGATGGGGCTGATAGTTCTAAAGAGCTTTGTGCAGTAGCTTCATTCTTTATAATTAGAAAATGGCACTCATTTCTTGATAATGATGGACGGTCCCCTCTCCACATGGGGTTTGGGATGGCAGTGATCACTGACTACCATGGTGTCTGACACCAGTTGAAATTTCTCCCTCTCTCTCCTTGATTCCTTTTTGAGCACTTAACACATGCCTGGTAGTGGGCTAAACGTTTTCTCATTTCCTCTTTCCAACCCTATGAAGCAGCAAAATTATTACACCCATTTTACAGAGGTGAACATTGAGGCTAACTTTGGGCCCAGGAGCCTAGTCAAAGTTCCATCAGGATTTGCCACTAAGTCCTTGCTGCTGAGTCCTAAACACTCATCCTCTTTCCCTCTAGCTGGCAGACTGAGACCTAATGCCTTAAAGGAAGAAATTGGTTTAGAATGTCATTCTTAAGACATTCTAAGGGAAGATGTTTCTCTGGAAGATGTTAACCAGTGGCACTGAAGGGGAGGAGGGGAAGTGGGGTATGAGGGCAGGAACCGACATTCTGGGGACAGAGTGGAGCAAAGAGTAGGATCTTTACTCGGTGAGTGTGATTTGAGTAGACCAGGGCTTTTGACCTGGGCACTGCTTACATTTGGAGCTGGATAGTCCTTTGTCCTGTGTGTGTGTGTGTGTGTGTGTGTGTGTGTGCGTGCACGCTCAGGGGAGAGGGTGAGGGTGGCAAGGGTGTCCTGTGTATTGTAGGGTTTGCATCATCGTGGCCTCTACCTACCACATGCCAGCAGTACTTCATCCCCAGTTATGACAACCTCAGATGTCCCCTGACATTGCCAGATAGCTCACAGGGGAACAAAATCACCCTGGTGGAGAAACGCTGAAATAGACGTGGATCTTTCAGAGCTTGGATTCCTCATTTTCCTTAAAAGGCAGGTTCCATGTGGGTTATGGCTCCTCCTCCCCGTTTCCCTTTGTCTCAGAAGACCCCACTTTCACACGCCCTCCTAAGCAGCTAAGAGCAACCTTCCTTGGAAATAGGTGGATCAGAGGAGCTTTGCCATTGAAACCTTTTTTCCAATTACAGTAATTATTCCCTCTCGTCTTCACCATCAGGGCAGTCGGATAAGGCGCTGGACTTCTCCTTGCTGCCTTAATCTATACGATTCCAGTTCTGCCTTGATGAATGACTTTTCTGAATGCTTCTGCCTTGCCTGTGTGTGTGTGTGTGTGTGTGTGTGTGTGTGTGTGTGTGTGTGTGTTGGGGGGAGTGCTGTGGCCAGGCTGGGGCTGGGGGTGGGGTGCATTGATTCTTCCCAGTCCTTGTCCCTTGGATGCCTCGCAGGCCAGGGCGGCCCCACCGCAGCAATCCTTTTCCCACCAAGCTGCGCTCACAGCTGACCTCTCTCTTCCCCTTAGCTCGGGGCCTCCTCTCTCCCCTCTTCCACCCTCCACCTGGGCCACCTCTCCTGACCCCATGACTCCGTGTTTCCTAACCAATGCTGCTAATAGCCACTGATCACCGAAGGGCAGTTTAAATTCTATTTAGACTTAAAAAGGGGGTGGGGGAAAGAGCAAAACTTCAAAAGCTGTTTCCTGCAAGCAGGGCGGAAGCCAAGTCCGGCCATCATCAGCAGAAGCCGGATCGATATTTCAGCACCATCCCCTGGCTGGGGTTTCGAGGAACTTTTATTATGATTGCGGTTAAGCTGTTCTAAAGTGGAGCATCGTTTATAAAACAAACGGATCCCTTCCAAATAGGTTATTTTCCTGGTTAATGACCGATGGTCTGCCCTGGGGTCTGTCTGAGTTGCGATTCCAGATGGGAACAGACACTACCAGCCCAATTATCTTTATTAAGTGTTTTTCCTCCCCCTTTCTGAAAAACGAAATGGCAGCCAGCTCCGCTGTCCCCTCTTCCCCTTGCTCTCACCCTGCGCCATTTCCTGCATTCGCCTCATTATGGACAAGTATGTCCTTTAAGACACAGAGACTAATGAGGCGGTTTTATGAGACTAATACATTTTAAATTTTAACGCTGGAGCTAGCATCTTTAATTGTACAATTATACATTCATTTGGCACACACTCTCTCTCACTGTCTTTTTTTTTTTTTTGCGTTAAAAGATAACAAAACCACAGGTGACCAAAGGCATGTGAAAAGACCAAATTTATGTCATTCTTTAGGGTACTAAATCATGCAAGAATAAAAATTGTTTTTCTCCTGATAGATTTCTTAAGCAAAAGTAGTTAGCTACTGTTTCAATGAGAATGATTTTTTTAAAAAAAACTGGAGCAAGGAAGGATGGGAGAGGGTTAAATTATATCTTGTTGCAAACTTCTATCTTTACAGTCGTCTATTTCTACATATAGAGCCTGTAGCTAGAAAGCATTTTGAGAATGAAAGAAATCTTGATATTCTGTGGCCCAGCAGCTGGTGAGAGAGAGAAAGAGAGAGAGAGAGAGAAGCTACATATCCTGTCTCTAACAAAAGCCCTCTACATTCCCTACCTGACAGGACCTTATTGGGGAGTAATAAATAAGGCTGAATTATTGATGACGAGAACTGCTAATATTATTATGACCTCAATTAAGTGCTTTTTTCAGACACATTAGCAACAAAGGGTCTTCCCTCTCCTGGTTGCTGTTTCCCCCCACCAGGCCCCACTTTACATTAAAATCTAATTGATCAAACCTATTTGCCATTCGCACAAGAGTGATCACCATAAGGGGTCATCTATCAGCATGGACTCTTCATCCGGCGATTAACACCTTTTGTTGCCGGCCTCAGTTCTGTACCAGCTGAGAGGATCAGAAAGGCAGTGCCTCCCATCTGTGTGTGTGAGGTCTGACTTGTGGACCCTTTAATTACCTCCTTTAACACCCTTGCAAAACACAGAAGACATCCTTGCTTTTGAGGAAGTCCTGCCAGGCAGCCTTGGGGTTACAAGATGGCACCCTCCTTATCTGGAGCAGAGGTGTCCTGGTGGGGACCTTGCTGTCTCCACGCCTTCCGCTCACTGCCCACTCCCCTATCTCCCCGCCATCACATGGCCTGCTCCAGGGAGTCTCTGTGTCCTGTCTTCAAGAAGTTCGGAACTTGGTGATGAGTATGGGGGTGGATGAAGAGTGGACAGAAGCCCTTATCAAAACCCAAGGCTGGGGCTGGGCCGAAAATGGACACCTGCACCCTCCCACTCCAGGGAGTGGAGCCTCCCCATAAGTTCCCGGCCTGTGATCACTCAGGACCATGCACCACCCATAATCCCCTTGAAATGTATATAAATTTATGTTTACATGTATTTTTGTGGGAGAGGGTTAGAGCTTCCATCAGATTCTCAAATTTGTTCATGATCCCAAAGTGGGTTAGAACTATTTTCTCAGGAACATCTTTTTACATTTAATTTTATTTATTTTATTTTTTAATTTACACTTGGTCTTGCTCTGCTGCCCAAGCTGAAGTGCAGAGACACAATCGTAGTTCACTGCAGCCTTGAACCCTGGGCTTAAGCACTCTCGCCTCAGCCTCATGAGTAGCTAGGACTATAGGAACGTGCTGCCAAGTCCAGCTAATTTTTGAATTATTTTGTATAGATGGGGTCTCCCTATGTTGCCAAGACTGGTCTTAAAACTCCTGGCCTCAAGAGATCAGGAGCTTCTTAAATGGCAGAGGTCTTCCATGGGGTTGACTCTTAGACAGGATCTTGAGTCTGGTTTTGGGAATGTGAGTAAGCCATTGGGATGAGCTTGGCTCTTGGTGCATGGTGTGATGTTGGGTCAAACTCTCTCACTCTCTTCACTTCCCTCCTGGGTCTTTGTCTTCTCTGCCAATTTGGTCAAAAGAAAAAATGCTCATCAACTTTCTGCTTCCAGTAGTTAGTGTAAGGGTGGGCTTTCTAAATGAGTGCAGCTTGTACAGATCCTGCCACTGGGTGTTGGAAGTAATGAGAATGTAGGCAGTGCCTTGCACAGGCTGTATTGCTGCTGATGAAGAGGAAACAGGTCCCAATATGGCCCAACAGGAATACTCTTGGGGTGACCTTGTACAGCTTGGAGCACTATTTAAGGTCATCTTTTTGGCTCACTCAACTCCACCTACCCACCATGAAAATCACATTATCATTCGTTTCCTGATTATAAATCAATACATTCAGAAATCAGTCAGAAAAGATTGAAGGCTGGGCACATGGCTCACGCCTGTAATCCTAGCACTTTGGGAGACCTAGGTGGCAGATCGTTTGAGCTGAGAGTTCAAGACCAGCCAGGGCAACATAGTAAAAGCCTGTCTCTACAAAAAATGCAAAAAATTAGCTTGGTGTGGTGGTATGAGCCTATGGTCCCAGCTATTTGGGAGGGTGAGGCAGGAGGATCACTTGAGCCCAGCAGGCAGAGGTTGCAGTGAGCCGAGATCAGTTTGCGCCACTGCAAGTTAGCCTGGATGACAGAGTGACGCCCTGTCTCGAGAAAAAAAAAAAAGGTAAAACATTCTCAAATCTTCACATTTTGGCCTATCTCAATTTTTATTCTTTTTCCTATGCAAATAACAATAGAAAGATATCCAGAAAAACTAAAAAAAAATAAGAAGGGAACTATGTGTATTATTTCTTATTTTTCTTACTTACATAGTAACATACATTGTAAATGTCTTTCCACGTGAATAAATATTGTTCGGCATCATCATTTTAAATGACTGAATAATATTTAATAGACTAGATTTACCATATTTGCCAATCCCTTCTTGCTAGGTACTTAAGTGGTTTCCACTTTTGTCTATTAGAAACAGCGCTGCAATAAATGTCTTTATAGAAACATGAGGTACTTACCTGATTACGTTCTTAAGATGGATTTGTAAAAGTAGGATTTCTGGGTTAAAGGGTTTGTGTTAATATTTTTTATTTACAGTACAGATTAAAGGATAGGGTGCACCATTTTTGTAACTTTTAAGGCGTTGCAAAAGGGCATTTTCTGTCAAATATTTGTCCAAAGCAAGGAGGTTTGGAAGAGAGGAGAGTGGAGTTACATAAGGGCTGACTTAGTGAGTTTTCTTTCTCCAAGTGCAAGTCTGAAGGGCCTAGAGCAAATAGGCTTAGTTTTCTGCCCAGTGGAGGCTGAAGTAGAGACAGATCTTTGGCCTCTTCTGGAAGTGCTGTTGAATACACAGCCCCCTTTGATACACAGATCACCTCCAGGTCAGCAAAGAGGCTTCGAGGCTGGCAGTGGTGATGATCATGCCCTGGCCCACCCTTATCTCAGAGCTCCGATCTGACGCAACCAGTCCCCATGCCAGGCGGCCAGGCTGGGGTCGGTCTGCCCACAGCTCCTCCAGAGAATGGGGCTAGGCAGAAGGTGGCACGGTCATGAGACATCCTGCCACGAAGTGTAGCTTGTCCATTTAGCACTGCCTAGCGGCTTTTCAGCCTGCGTTGTCTTAATTCAAGTTGTCATTCATAGACAAGTAGAAAACTAAAATCAATAAATGGTGAAAATGGGCTTTAAAGGCAAACTAAAGTCACAGAGCAGGGAGAGAAACAGCATCCATTGCCTCAGTGGGTTATGTTTTTCCTTCCTATTTAGAATGACTGGATCTGGGGCCTGTGTTTTTTTTTAAAGAAAGGAAAGGAGGAATAAGACAAGTACATATCTCTTTTAAAGATGTACAGAGTGTTCATTGGATAAAATCTCAGGCCTGGAGCATCATTTGATTGGGCTACAGAGAATGATGAGGATGATGGTATTTGGGGATGGGTCTCTATTTTCTCCCAGGACCGTAGCAGGTATATCTGGGGATGTCTGTCTGTCCGATTGCTGTGTTACTTCCCTCAAGTCTGTGCACTTCTCTGGGCCAAGTCTTCTCAGTTGGAAAATGGAGTTGGACAAGGTGCAGTGATTTTGCAGACTGTTCTCTGGTGAGAAACCACAGCAGATGTGCCTCAGGAAGCATCAGGATAGGAGTGGGGGTTAGGTGGAAGGGGCTCTGGTCCTGCAGCTGAACCTTGACAGAACAGCCCTGGGTTCCTGCCAAAGATTTCATTTGAAGTTAGAATTTCATGGCAGAGACAATCATTAGAAAAAAAGTCACCGAAAGAGAGGGTTTCCAAGTTTCCTTCCGCTTCTGAGGGTTATAAACATCTGTTGCATGTCTACAAGTTATTTCTGAAAACCCAGCTTGGACTAATTCCACCTTCTTCCTGTGATTAGTGTAGAATTGACAAGAGTAGAGAGGGTGCCAGGTCCAGGTAGGGGATGGAGTGCTGGTTCCAACTATTCCTGGAAATACTGAAGGACTCCTTTGTGACACATGGGACATCTCAGCCTGGGTTGTCATCCCATGGGCTTGGGTGTCAGAGATGGAACAAGGGGAGACACAAGTCATACCAGGAATAAATTTCAAACCAAGAGGCGACAACACAAATATGGTAATACCATTTAGGTGGCACTCTGTGACCCAATCTCTGTGGCAAAACCAGGAAACAATTTCTTGTGTTTCTTTTGAAGAAACCAGGCCTTCTGTTTATTGGCACTAAATGGTGGCCTAGAAGGAGAAGGAGAAAGAAGGCTTCATTGGCAATCCCAATCCTTGACATCTTTCTCTCCCAAAGCCACTCCCCACCTCTACCCCCCTAAAAAAATCAAAGTAAGATGTGGGCTTGCCACACAGATCTAGACAGGTCCCCTAGCAGCCTCTTTCTATGAGTTTGTTGCCACTAGGCCCTTCCTATTTAGAAATTCTGGAGTCTCTGAGAGGCAGACTGATTTGCCCAGCTCAAATATAGAGAACCACTAAGGGTTAGTAAAGAAACTCATTAGCAAGAGGGTTGTCAGACATAGAAATTCGAGCTTACCTGTCTTTCGAACATACAAAAGCCAACATTTTGGGAAATCTTTCTAAGAAATGTAGTGCTAAAAAGTTGACTCAGAGCTAGAGAGCTGGTGCTGGCAGCCAGCTAGTTTCTTGAGGTGGGAATATACTGAGCCTTCTGTTGGGAATGGAGACCTGAAGCTCTGAGCAATTGTGGACCATCCCCCTATAACCAGCAGCAGCAGTGTTGAATCTACCTTCCTGTCAAACAGCCAGTATTCCAAGGGCCTGGGGCTGCTGTATTCACTTGGCTTCTGAGATAAGTGGACCTATAAGCGCAGAGAAAAATCTCTATCCGTGCCCTGGCCTAATTCAACAACCTTGGGGTGAGGCAGATGCAAAAGGTCCCACTTTTCCTTGAGCTCTTCCTACAAGTCAGTTTGATTAGGTGTTACCAAAAGGGGCATCCAGGTCGGGCGTGGTGGCTCATGCCTGTAATCCCAGCACTTTGGGAGGCTGAGGCGGGTGGATCATTTGAGGTTAGGAGTTTGAGAACAGCCTGGCCAACATGGTGAAACTCTGTCTGTATTTAAAATAATAATAATAATAATAATAATAATAATAATAATAATTAGCCGAGCATGGTGGTGCATGCCTGTAATCCCAACTACTTGGGAAGCTGAGGTGGGAGAATCGCTTGTGCCCTGGAGGCAGAGGTTGCAGTGAGCCACAATCACGCCATTGAACTCCAGCTTGGGCCACAGAGAGAGACTCCATCTCAAAAAAAAAAAAAAAGGTGGGGGGCATCCATCACATGCCCATCATAATATCTTCTTGTTTCATTTTAATTTTTAATTGAATTTCATATATATTTTTTGAGACAGAGTTTTAAGCTGTCACCAGGCTGGAGTGCAGTGGTGTGATCTCAGCTCACTGCAACCTCCGCCCCACCGGGTTCAAACAATTCTCCTGCCTCAGCCTCCCGAGTAGCTGGGAATACAGGCACGCACCACTACGCCCAGCTAATTTTTTTTTATTTTTAGTAGAGATGGGGTTTCACCATGTTGGCCAGGATGGTCTCTATCTCCTGACCTCATGATTCGCCCACCTCCCAAAGTGCTGGGATTACAGGCGTGAGCCACCCCACCTGGCCCCCAATTTTTTTTTATAGAGATGGGGTCTTGTTGTGTTGCCTGGGCTGGTCCCAAACTCCTGACTTCAGGCAATCCTCCCTCCATGGCCTCCCAGAGTGGTGGGATTACAGATGTGAGCCACCGTGCTCAAGTCATAATAGCTTCTGACATTTAATGAGCGTTTACCCTGGGCCACACACTGTTCGAAGCCTTTGACATGTACTCATTTCACACACGAACACACTGAGGCTCAGAGAGGTGAAAGTGGTAGAGCCAGGACTGGATTCTGACTTGAGTCTGGGTGTGTAACCCTGAGACAATTTTGTCTTTGAAATCACATCAGTCTACATTTAAAGGATGAGAGAGAGAAAAAGAGAGAGAAGCCTGAAGGCTGGAAACTTCGATGCTTGATCTTGGCCATGATCAATCCTCTATCCCATGGGGTCCCCAGGAACCATGCACTGAGAGCAGGCACAGGGCTGCTGTATTCATAGCTGAGGCTTCAATCCCAGCAGTCCCCAATTCAGTGTTCTGCTGGGACAGGCTGGGCCACATGGTACACTCCCTTTGCCCAGATTACAAGGAAGGCAAACAAGAGGAATGTTCTCTGTGGCTGAGATACAGGTCCTCTCAGATGGGGACAGTTAAAGGTGCAGAGGGACAGGCCAGCCCCTCTTAGGAAGGCACAGCCCGTGCTCCTGTGACTGGACAGAAATTCCGTGTTTGAGGGCCTGGTCCGTGGAGATGTCCTCCAACCTGACCAGTGATGGAAAACACCTGTGCCTGTCTCCTATGGGAAGAAACCCATCTTCTCTTTTACCTCCACTCTGCCTCTCACAAGCGGTTTCCAAGGTGGCAATGAGGATGGCTGTTCACAAATCAGCAAAGTGCAGAGCTCTTTCTGTGAGATGCTTAATTTTTGTGAGTTGTGGAACCCTATTTATTTTATGTGACAGTCTCTTCCTTCCCCCTACCGTGACAGAGTGTTCTGTGGCGTATGTTATGATCTTTAATTAAAGGGAACTTAATTTGGTTTTGAGGCAGCCTTTGTTCGTTGGCGACACCCTAGGGTGTTTTAAAGTCAGGTTTTGGAATCATTGCCATTGAAGCTTGGTGTCTAGGGCAGACTCACTCCTATGGACCGACTCTGGTTGCCCGGATATCAGGGAATATGTGTCCCCCTCACCCCCCTCCCGCCCCTCCATGGAGAAGCTGGAACTTTACCAGGCTTTTCCCACTTGCCTTGGGATTTTCTGCCCATCTTCCCAGGAACACCCGGCAGGCCCCATGAATGGACCTTGGGCCAAAATGATGTTTAAGAAGGGGACGGACCATTTAGATGACAAATGGGCTTCAGGGCGCTGTCAGAACTTCCAGGCGGCGGGGACTATTAACGGTCACATGGAGGCCGCCGCATCTGTGATGGCAGAGCGGGTCGGTGGGTCCCCACTGCTGTGTTTACTGCTCCTTAATGTGGTATTGTTTACTCACAATTAAACCCTTTACCATTAATTTAACTTTCAGATGCTGAAATTGGTCACACAGCCTCGAGTCCCAAGGCCCGGACAGATGTGTTCTATACACTTGTTTAAACACGGCGCTCATTAGGAGGTAATGCATGTATGGCAAGTTGATTACACCACAAAGCAGGATGCTTTATCATGGGGGCCTCTCAGGAGGCGGCGGGAGGGGCGGTCAGCTGCTGCTGTCACTCTTCCCCCCTCGGATCCTGAGTGACGGCTCGGCCTGCCACCTCCTCAGCCGCCTGCTCGGAAGTACACAGCTTCCCGTCAGAGCGCCGCCGAGCTGCCTGGGAGGAGGTATTAATTGTTGTCAGCCTCCATTTCACACCCCAGATAACAAACGAGAGCCACTCTGGCAGTGTTTAAGGAAGATAAACAAGTTTCCTGAGCCCCTGCAATGAAACACGCTTGCATATTTAACTGAGATGTTTCCTGTAAAAACGCAGGGCTGCCCTGAGCACGTTCGCACGGAGTGGCCCTTCCAGATGCCAGCAGCAGCGTCCTGTGACCTGGAGGCTGCCCACCCCATGTGGCTCAGAAAGAGGCCCCACATTTGCAGAGTCTCTTAGTAAACCACATTTCTCCATCTTGATTCAAACAGACATCAGAGTTCAGGGGGATGTGGAAAGAGCAGAACCTCTCTTACTATCTAGTAGGAAAAAGGTGGAGTACTGCAGTGGTTAAAAGAAAGGATTCCCGGGCTGGGCGTGGTGGCTTATGCCTGTAATACCAGCATTTTGGGACGCTGAGGCAGGAGGATTGCTTGAGTCCAGGAGTTCGAGATCAGCCCGGGGAACATAGCAAGACCCAGCCTCTACGAGAATGAAAAATAAATTAGTTGGGAGTGGTACTGAACGCCAGTAGTTCCAGCTATTCTAGAGGCTGAGGCCCGAGGATCCCTTGAGCCGAGGAGTTCAGGACCAGCCTGGACAGAAGAGCAAGACCTACAAAAAAATACAAAAATTAGCTGGGTGTGGTGACGCACGCCTGTAGTCCCAGCTACTCTGGAGGCTGAAGCAGGAGGATCCCTTGAGCCCAGGAGTTTGAGGCTGCACTAAGCTAGGATCTTGCCACTGCACTTCAGCCTGGGTGACAGAGAAAGTTCCCATCTCTTTAAAATAAAATAAAATAAAATAAAATAAAAAATTCTTGGAACCAGACTACCTGGATACAAATTCCGGATCTGTCTTTCTAAACTGGATTAGTTTGATCATCAAGTAACCCTTTGAGCCTCAGTTTTCTCATCTATAAAATAGCTATAGTAATAATACGTATCTCCTCTTCTGTTGTTATGAGCATTAGAGGCTTACATTATGGCACTGTGCCTGACCCATGGTAAACGGTGAGAAAATGCTAGTATTGTTAATAATTATGAGACTATAATAACCATCTCATAATAATAATGATGAGGTTATCAAATGTTACTTTTACCTTTCAATAAACAAAATTGCTTAGGAATAGATGGTTAAAGGGACTAGTTATAGGTCATCCCTAAACTGAGTGCTGTGACAGCAAGGTTTGCCTGTCACATCCCTCTGCTCTGCGGAACCGAGGAGGTGGCGTCTGATGAGCTCATGGCTGAAGTTGTTCTTCAGTGCTTTTCCTCAGGGCAGATTCAGCAGGCCCAGGAATTGGACAGACCTCCATCTTCCAGATATTTCTAGATACTTCCAGATATTTCTGCCCCAACCCCTGACAGGATTGAATCTGCTGGATAAACTGTTTGCTTCTCAAGTTGTTGTTATTGTACTTTTTTTTTTTTAGATGGAGTCTTGCTCTTGTTGCCCAGGCTGGAGTGCAATGGCACGATCTTGGCTCACTCCAGCCTCTGCCTCCCGGGTTCAAGAGATTCTCCTGCCCCAGCCTCCCAAGTAGCTGGGATTACAGGTGCCTGCCACCACTCCCAGCTAATTTTTGTATTTTTAGTAGAGATAGGGTTTCGCCATGTTGGCCAGGCTGGTCTCGAACTCCTGACCTAGTGATCCACCTGCCTCGGTCTCCTAAAGTGCTGGGATTACAGACGTGAGCCACTGCACCCAGCCCATTGTACTTCTTTTAATGTGGCTCTGCAGCAAAGTCCCGAATCCACCATTACATAGTAGCCTGTCCCTCCGTTCCCTGCCTCGGGTGCCTCCCCAACCCCAGCTATGCAAGGGAACTAGGCAGCTGGGATGGACACTCCCTGCTACCCTGTCCTGGTCACATAAAGGAAAGAATAAAAAGGCCACAAGGAAGAATACGGACTTTCCCCTTCTCCAGATTCCCAAGGAAAATGGTCTGATACTTGTGATCCACTGCAGTGTCACAAACATCTTTTTTTTTTTTTTTTTTGAGAAGGAGTTTATTCTTGTTGCCCAGGCTGGAGTACAATGGTGCCATCTTGGCTCATTGCAACCTCCGCCTCCCGGGTTCAAGCGATTCTCCTGCCTCAGCCTCCTGAGTAGCTGGGGTTATAGGCATGTGCCACCACGCCTGGCTAATTTTTGTATTTTTAGTAGAGATGAGGTTTCGCCATGTTGGCCAGGCTAGTCTCGAACTCCTGACCTCAGGTGATCCACTCGCCTTGGCCTCCCAAAGTGCTGGGATTACAGGCATGAGCCACTGTACCCAGCCACAAACATCTCTTGGGCATCTACATGCAGTGTTCTAGGTACTGCCATTTGATACTCTGTCCTGGGCATCTTATCCTTGTTGGGTAAGTCCAAACCATAGCCCTTTTATCACTGGGCCTTTCCACATGTCCCTTCTGCTGCAAGAGCCACTTCTACTGAGACCTACACCCTTTCTGCCTCACAGGCTCCCAGGACTTGGCTTTTCCTGACCTACTTGACTGTGGGGCAGATCTTTCTGTCTTAGGTCCTCAGAGCACTCTCTTTTTTCCTTTGTAGCATCTTTCAAAATACTCATTATCTGAGGAATTATCTGTTTAATTTCCACATTCCCAGTGAAGATGGGGGCTGTCTGTCTTGTTTACCCCATCACGCCAGCACCTAGGACTCCACTTGCAGATGCTCAAGAGATGTTTGTGACACTGCGGTGAATCATAAGAATGAGTCAGACCATTTTCCTTAGGGATCTGGAGAGAGGGAAAATCCTTATGATTCCTCGTGGCCTCTTTATTCTTTCCTTTATGTGGCTCAGTGATGATGACACTGCTCCGTTGCCTCCGTTTCCTTGTGGGAGAAGGAGGTAGGGAAGGGTTAAAGTGGACTTGCCCCAGATCAGGCGTTTGCGGTGCCCCTTCTGGAGGTCTGCAAGTCATCACTTTTGCCTTCAGCCGCGCTGACACCACCAACTGCCCAAGAACCCACGATGATTTGTCCTTGGACAATGCAGAGGATGTGGCTCTGTCTTGTGGGTACATTTCAGGGAGGTGGGACCTTCACTTATTTGTCTCCACAGCTGCTTCCTCTGGGCTTTGTGGTTGCCCATTTGCCGCCTTCTCATCCGATCGCGTTACCCTTAATAACCATCGCCCTGGCAGGAGAGGGGTGCCGAATTCCGTCTCCTGCGTGCCTGCGTGTGTAATGTGCCGAGCAAGTGATCCTAATGATGCATTCAGCACACCACTCCCCAAAGACCCGGCTTCCAGCTTATCCAAATCCATTTATATTCCCGCTCGGACCTTTGGGATCAAAATTCCTGACCCTTTTGTAAAAAGCAAAAACACCGTTTGAAAAAAACAGAAGAGGGAGGTGAAATTCCCCAAGCTTTCATTTCCCTTCATGGTTGAACTTCGATGACTCAAGTCATTTGCAGTCAATCTATTTCGCTGACTTGTCCTGCTGACTGCCAGGAGGTCAACATTTCTGACTTTGCCCCTCCAGGGGCAGCATGTGGTCCCAGCTGGTTGTGCTGTGCTGTGGTGGGAATGGGGGCTGGGGGAGGTGGCTGTGTCATCTGGAAGCTACGTTGGGGGCTCTCTTCTTTTGCACTGGAGCTTCACATTCTGCAAAGATGATACTTCCAGGATAGTGCTTTTGTTTGCTGTTTGTGTTGGGTGGGATTAGCTCTGATTACATATTAATAACCTAGAGCACTATCTAGTAATTAGATGTTATCTTCCAGATGTTTAAAAGAAACCTTTAATATTTTAAGCTGCTTGGAGTTCTCTTGGCACTTTATTAAAATGGATGGAATTTAAAATGGGAGTCGGTGGTGAAGGTTTTTCTAGATTCTCTTGTTGGTCTAAGGCCCCACGGCCCAGGGTATCTATGAAAGAACCCAAAGCATTTATTGTGGTAGCCCCTATTTGGGAACAATTGGGGCAGCCACCCATTCAGTGGGTGGCAGAGAGACGGCCACGGCACTTCTGGCCCCTGTCAATCGGCTGGGGCAGCCCATTGATTTCTTTGAACCACTTGAGTGAATCTCTCAGAAGTTCCCCTCCTCTGAATCCCACACAATCGCCTGTTCTCTCTTTATTAGGCGCTTTGAGGGACAGCCTCGTCTACACCTGCCTTTGAAGGGGCCCCCACCACGGTTTTAATGACCTCCATCCGTCAAAGGAAAAGTTCAGAGTTCATTCTTTTGTCCAAGTCCCAGCAACTGAGGAGTTGAGGGTGCTGGCTGGTCCAGGCTCTTTAAGTCACCCGCCTGAAAACTTTCCCTGTGACCCGGCTCATGTCAAAACAGCGAGCTGGCCGCTCTGGCCATTGTCATCGGAATAAGGGCTAAGTGATGCTGCTTGGTCATTACGTGTGCCCTGATTGGCAATCAGGGTACAATAGGGGGTCATTAAAGGCCATAAAACTGCCAAAGCTCTGAAAAGGGGATTTTGAATGGAGCCAGAAGGCTCTGGGAGCCTGCCTTTGCCGTGCCTTCAAGGAGAGGGGGTTTGAATTGATCTGGGGGGAAAAGTCAGCTTGGTCTAGATTAAGAAGTGTCTCCCCTGTGACATCAGAACGAACTGATCTCCTGGTGTCATCTTCCTAGTGCTCGTTCCTCCATTCTTAAATGAGATCCACCAGGAGCAACAACGCAATTCACACGTTGTGAAGTAAAGGCTGGCGGGATAAGGCTTTATACAAGGAGGTGAAAGTTAGTCATAAATATATAAATGCTTATTGGATTAAAGACTCATCATGGCCCGGCACAATGGCTCATGCCTGCAATCCCAGCACTTTGGGAGGCCGAGGCAGTGGATCACTTGAGGTCAGGAGATCGAGACCAGCCTGGCCAAAGTGGTGAAATCCATTCTCTACAAAAATACAAAAATTAGATGGGCGTGGTGGCACATGCCTGTAATCTCAGCTACTCGGGAGGCTGAGACAGGAGAATTTCTTGAACCCAGAAGCAGAGGTTGCAGTGAGTTGAGATCATGCCACTGCACTCCAGCCTAGGTAACAAAGCAAGACTGTCTCAAAAAAATAAAATAAAATAAAATAAAATAGTAATCATGCATTTATGTATGTATATAGCTCTCTATAATGAAAGAGGTAGTTCTTATGGAGCATTCATTTTATTTATTTATTTAGAGACAGGGTCTCACTGTGTCACTCAGGCTGGAGTGCAGTGGCGTGATCACCGCTCACTGCAGCCTCCAACTCCCTCCTCAGCCTCCTGAGTAGCTGGGACTACAGGCATGTACCGCCACGTCCAGCTAATTTTTAAGAAGAATTTTTGTAGAGATGGCGTCTCACTATGTTGCCCAGGCTGGTCTTGAACTTTGGCCTCCAGCAATCCTCCTTCCTTGGCCTCCCAACGTGCTGTGATGACAGGCATGAGCCACTGCACCTGGCGTGAACACTCATTTTGTATCAGGCCTTGTTCCAGGTTTTTACAGGTGTTAACTTAGTTAAACTTCACACCAACCCATGGAGGTAGGTTAGCATGACATATAACTAGAAAAGACATTCTTGTAAAACTGCCTCTGCATGGCCTGGCTTGAAAAGGAACCATGGAAAGAGAACGGGTGTCTTTTTTCTTAAGTAAAGATGATGGTAGCATTAAAAGTTTCGTTGTCTTGAGTCTACTGTGTGCTAGGCACAGGCAGTATCTCATTTAATCCTCATGCCCATGGAATCGATACTGTTATCATTCCTGTTTTATAAGAATTAACACTATGAAAACTGAAGTGCAAAGAAGGGTGATGTGGATGGCATGCAGGTACCGCCCAACCCCAGGGGGTGCCGGACACATCTATTAACTTGGGAGTGACATCTCCTGCAATTATGCAACTTTGTGGCCCTGCTGGGATTCGTGACAGCTTGACTGCCTGTGTCTTCAACCATCATGTCCCATGTGGCATAGGGATCCTAGATTAGGCTTCAGCCGGTGTGGGTCCTAGATCCTACCCTGCTGTGCAGCCTTGGACAAAACACTTTACCTCTGTGTCTCAGGCTTCTCAGCTGAAAGTAAGGCTGGGTGGGACTTGGACTAGTCTTGAGTTGCTCAAATTGGGCTCTTCTCTCCCTTGGGATAAAGCCAGGAGATACACATGGGTCATCTTTTGAGATTGTCTGTTTCATTCCCGGGCAAGTAATTAAAAACATTTTTCTGTTTTCTTAGCAACATATTTTGCAGTAGAATACAAAACCCCTGTGAATTTTTCAGATTAAAAATGAGTCTTTATGGAAGTTTGACATTTGCTCTGTATGCCACTGGGCTCTTTCCACGACCCCCAAGATCTCCCAGGGCTACTGCTCCCTCCCCTCTGCCTACAGGGGGGCTTTTGAATAAAAGTGTAGGATCCTGCACATCGCCTGGCATGAGGACAGCTTGAAATCTTTTTGAGCTAGCCTACTGGTTGGATAAGGACAGATAAGGAGCAGGGATCCTCTTGGTCTTCCAAATGGAGCTCCCAAACCCTGCTGGGGACATCAATGAGAAAATGCACTGTAAACTGTAAATGTAGTCATAAATGGGGGTGATATGGTTTGAACGTTTGTCCCCTCCAAATCTTGTGTTGAAATGTGATCCCCAATGTTAGAGGCGGGGTCTGGTGGGAGGCGTTGGGCCATGGGGGTGGATCCCTCATGAATGGCTTGGTGGTCTCCTTAAGGTAATGCGTGAGTTCTCACTCATTTAGCTCACACAAAGTCTGGTTGTTTAAAAGTGCGTGGCACCTCCCTCCTCTCTCTCTCTCTCTCTCTTGCTCCTGCTCTTGCCATGTGACACCACCTGCCCTCCCTTTGCCTTCTATCTGATCAGAAGCTTCCTGAGGTCTTCACCAGAAGCCGAGCCGATGCTGCTATGCTTCCTGTACAGCCTGCAGAACTGTGAGCCAATTAAACCTCTTTTCTTTATAAATTATCCAGCCTCAGGTATTTCTTCATAGTGATGCAAGAATAGACTAACACAGAAGGGTGAGCCCAAGCTGAGATGGCTGGGGATTCCCGAGGTTGTAGCCCCAAGTTCCATTTAGGGTTAGGAGGAGGGGCTCTAGGGACTGGGAGAGATTCTGGCTCCACACAGGACTAGCTCTGGGACCCTGTGCAGAAGATGAGTTCTCTGAACCTCTGTGTCCTTATCTGTACTAGAGGAATAATCAGAGTGCCCACTGCCTAGGGTCACAAGGGTTAAGTGAGAAAATCTATGCAAGGCACTTAGAACAGAACTTATATCATAAATGCTCAATAAACATCAGGCATCATGACTATCATCATCATGGTGTTTTATCTCTGCAGTTAAAACCATTCCTTTAAAGAGCTGAACACCTCTCCTCATCTGTGGTCCTTATGAAGTCTGCCCTCTGACTCAGAAAGATAAAAGAGAAAATAAAAGAAAGAAAAAGAGGAAGAAAGAGAGAAATAATGTGTACTCTTATGCTCTTTTTACTTTGTTCAAGATTCTTTCTTTCTTTCTTTCTTTCTTTCTTGGTAGAGATGGGGTCTCTCTATGTTGCCCAGGATGGTCTCAAACTCCTGGACTCAAGCTGTCTGCCCACCTTGGCCTCTCAAAGTGCTTGGATTACAGGCATAAGCCACTGCAGTCTGCCCTGTTCAAGGTTCTTTTGGAATTATTTTTTCCCCTTTAATTTTACATTTGGAGCCATTGAGAATCGGTCTCACTTTCTATCTCTTTGTTGGGTTATTTAGAGTCTGTGTGTCCATCTGTCTCTCAGACACGATCTTTCCCTCTCTGAGTCTCTTAGAATCTCCCTCCTCTCTCTCTCTTGGTTGGGGAGTGTGTGATTTCCTTTGAATCTCTGGGCGCAACCTTTCTTCCTCCTCATTGTAGGGTTTGGGGCCTCAAGGATGGAGAGAGGGGAGGCATTTTGGGGTGAAGCCATTCTCTGGTGGTGGGGAGCCTGGGGCCTCTGTGCCATGTGAAGCACCTAGTCTGCCCCACACTGATTTACCCAGGAGACTTCCGGAATGTGAAGGAGCCACCCTGGACCTTCTTTCTCCTGCCTGAGTGAGGCCAGACTTGCCTATGTAGATGGAGATTCCCCATGATGTCCTCCTTCCCTCCGGGAATTTTCCAAAGCACATTTGTCTCCCTCTGTGAGACAAACAGGATTTCCTGCACTCCAGTCCAAGTTATGAATGCCCAGAACACGACACCGTTTAAAATCTTATCAATCTTGCATCCTACTCCCTTGAATAAATGGGGATGGAACCTGGCATGGACATTTGCTTAAGTTTGCATTATCCCAATGATGCCTTTGGGAAAAGGACCAATCGACTTCCTGCTTGGGATAATCTGAAAATGGACTGAGCTTGCCAGTTTGCTCTTGGTCCTATCAGAGGGATGAAGATCTATAGATTCTGATCTGGTCTGGCCCCTTTCTTGCTGTGTGACCTTGGGCCTTTCCCTTTCCTTGCCTAAGCCCTAGTTTGGTCATCTGTAAAATGAAGAAGTTGAACTCTCTAAGGCCTCTTCTATAATAGCTTTAATAGTCAATTTTCAATATTCCTTTGTTCATTTATTCAACACATATTTACTTGGCACCTACTATGTGTTAGGCAGTGTAGTCACTGAATGAATGCATCAGTGAATAATAATAATGTTTCAGCTTCCATGGAAGTAAGGAAATCTAAAAGTCTAGATGGAAGGAAGGAGAGTTGGGGACAAGGAGAAGGAATGAGGAAAACCAGTGAGGAGAGTTTATAGGAAGGCAGATTTCAGATCAGTTATTAGACTTGCCCACAAAAAGAGCTATCCCAATGAGACGAGATTCCACATGAAGAGCTGAGTTCCCCAGCAGTAGAAGTGTTCAGGGATGTCAGAATGACAACCCACCAGATCTGTGCAGGTAATTCCCCCAATGAGAGGCTAAGAGCTGGCCAGGGGAAGGGCTTGGAAGGGTAGTTTTAGGCACAAGGAACAGCATGTGTGAAAGAAATCTGGGAGACCATGTGGGACCCTGCACACAGGGTCAGGTTTCATCCCAAGGGTGATGGACGAGTTTCAAGCAGAGTGGTGAAATGATCAGAATTCTAGGAAAGATGTGTTGACTGCAGAGAGGTGAGTGGGTGAGAAGGAGAAAGCCTGGGGCAGGAAGGCAATCTTTAGGAGTCTGATAGGGTAGTCTGGGTGAGAGATAACACTCTTTGAGCCAAGAAGGCATCTGTGTGATTAGAGAGGAGGGACAGGTGCTAAACACAAAGAGGAGGTGAGTGCCAGGGTGCTGGGTGACTGACTGATTGGCCAAAGGTTCAAGGAAGAGAGAGGAGTGAAAGACAATACATGGGACCAAAAGTTCACATGGGTAGATCATTGTGAACTGATTTTGATTTTGAAACAGTCACCTTTGGAAGTTAACTAGAGGGAAGTGGGTGATCTCTTTTTATAGGAAAAGGTGCTAGCAGGTGATAAGGAAAGTATTGACGAACTGGTACAAGGCGTGCGAGCCAAACTATCAGAACAGCTCAGGCTACCGTTGCAAAATACTATAGACCATGGAGGCTTCAAACATAGAAATGTATTTTCTCATGGTACTGGAGGCTGGAAGCCAGAGATGAAGGTGCTAGCAGGGTTGGTTTCTGTTGAGGTCTTTTTTTTCCCTCTTGTAGATGGTGCCTTCTTGATGCATCCTCATATGGCAGCCTCTTAAAAACTGGGATTCCTAGGCCAGGTGCAGTGGCTCATGCCTGTAATCCCAGCACTCTGGGAGGCCAAAGCAGGCAGATCACTTGAGGTTAGGAGTTCAAGACCAGCCTGGCCAGCATGGTGAAACTCCACCTTTACTAAAACTACAAAAAAATTAGCTAGGTGTAGTGGTGGGTGCCTGCAATCCCAGCTACTCACGAGGCTGAAGCCAGAGAATCACCTGAACCTGGGAAGTAGAGGTTGCAGTGAGCCAAGATGGCACCACTGCACTCCATCCTGGGCGACCGAGCCAGACTCCATCTCAAACAAAAACAAAAACAAAAACAAAAACAAAAACAAAAACAAAAACTGGGCTTCCCACTCCAGGGTTTCTCTTTCCCACCTACTCACCTCTCTGTAGTCAACACAACTTTTCTAGAACTCTGATCATTTCGCTATCCTGCCTGCCTTTTCTCTATATGTGGGTGGAAAGAGAGAAAGTACACAATCTGGTGAGTCTTCCTCATGTTATAAGAACACCAGTCTTGTTGGTGTCCCAATAGGACTCATTTATGTGTGACCCCATCGTTTTGACCTCATTTAATTATCTCCCTAACGGTCCTATATCTGGTCATATTGGAGGTGAGGGCTTCAACATACATATCTTGAGGTGGACACAGTTCAGTCCATGTCAGCTTGCCTGTCCCTGGAGTGCTGGGCATTAAGCACTTAGTTGCTGATATGGGCACCTCTGGAGATCCGAGGAAGGGTAGGGTGCCCAGGCAGTGGGCATGGGCACTGAGAGGCCAACATATTTACCAACTGGCATGGAAATATTTTAGCTTCTAACAACTTGGTAAGGCTTCACTTGTACAGACCCCACAAATTCCAGCCCTGTGTGGGCCGCATGGAACAGCATGTGGCAAGTTGTGCCAAGCCACCAGGAACAAGATGTCATAGAGCCAAAAATCAACTGGGGTGGTGGTGATGGTGTTGGGAGTGGCCTTTAAAATGCAGATTAAATATTTGCTTTTAAAAGTATTAAGACTCAGTGCGTGGTCCATGGTTGCCTTTTAAGAGAGTAACTTGGTATTTTTTTTTCTCCTTGGACTAAATATCTGTCTTGATGAGTGTAAGGGAGTCACCGCATTGAACATCAAAATCCTCATTACTAACAAGAAGGAAGCATTTCTTTCCCCTCTCACTCTGTCATAAGCCCAACCTTATCTGGAGGGACCTCTGTCCCCAGAGCTGTAAAACAAGCTCTTTTTCTAAGCTAACGGTGCACAATAGTGTCAAATTATGTATAATGATTTTGTAATGTGAACTAATGCCACCAGGGACCTTGCGGAAAGTACCACTTTCATTAAACTTATCCAGAAACAGGGTCTGAATATGAATTTAGAGGTGGTGGTAAATTGCAAGGCGCATTTATTTTAAGCATCTGCCGGCTGCTCTCAGATGCAAAGACTCATCGGGCAGAAATCAACAGCTCGGGTGCATCTGGGTTTCTTGGTGCGGCAGTGGGATGAGGCAAGAGTGATTTATTCCCTCCCTTCTCTTCACCCCGGGACCTCAAGCCTTGTGAGATTCTCCGCCAGCAGATGCTGGGGCTGCCGGCCCCTCTTTGTTTGAGACATGCTCACCTATCCAGGAAAGTTCTCCCACCCTTCCAATGGATCAGAGAGGGCATCTGGGCATGGCCTCAGAATTAATGAGACCTCCAATTACATTTATTTGCTCCAAGGAATTGTACTCAGCACTGACCCCATATATCAGATTTTCCCCACCCCCTTAGTGTTTCTTCAGAAGAAGTAGCTAATTATAAGAAAATCATACCCAGGAAGGACAAATAGAAGAGACCTCAGAAGAAAATACCAGGGAAATGCCACCTCTCCAGCCCAGAGCCTGGTCCATGAACCCCACTCTGGAAGTCGTTCTTGCCTTCCCTGTGACCTGATAGAGCCAAACTCCACCTGTGTTCAGGCCACCACCACCAAGAGATGAGAGAGAAGACAATACTAATCAAAACTAACCCATGCCATTTTTCCGACTCTGCTAATCTTAATTGAATCAATCTCCCAGCCTCTCTTGACAGTGAAAGATTGCTCAAATCTGGGAGGCCAGGCTGGACACGACTCCTAGAAGAAAAAAAATCTTCCTTAATCATTAATTTGTCCATTCCCTCCCATTTGGCCCCATTCTTCACTGTCTTGTCCGTGCATCCCCCACAACCTTCCTCTGTTATAATCACTCCTAAGTGTTCTTCCCAATACGCTCACATAGCCAGAAACCAATTTGCTGGAAAAGAATATGGCAGAGCAGCCCCAAGCCTCTCTCCTTCTCTCTGGTACACTCTTTCCCCTTCTTTCTATGAAGTCTAGTTTGGCTTTAATTAAGTCCAATGAGGTCTCTGGTACTATTTTCTGACACATTGGTAAATAGGCTTAGAGCGGACTTTTCCCCAGGAGCTAGAACTACTGGGCATCAAACTGGCCTTAGGTAAATTATTGGAAGGAATGCTATCATTGTAGGATGCACCTTATCCTAGTGAATGGATCACATGATGAAAGCAACTACACTATCCTTGACATGTCTCAAAAGGGAAAGGACTTATTTATATCCTCTGGACTTACAACTTTTCAGAAACTGCACTTTTTCCAAATTATCCAGAGCTCCCGGGCTGTAGGTTTAACTGCAATTTTTGTCTTTCTTAAAATAGGTTCAGTGGTTAGTGAGACACTCGTGGGGTGCGCAGAGTGAGTTGAGATTAAAGTAGACTGAGTGAGGGAATTTGTCATCCGTTGCCATTAGCTCTGGCTTGGACTATTGCAATAGTATGTTAACTGGTCTCCTAGCTTCTATCCTTGCCTTCCAAAATGTCTTCCATGAAGAGAGTGAGGCCTTCCAAGCATAGATCACAACCTGTTCCTCCTTGGCTCAACCTTCTTATGCTTCCTAAATCCCCTCCCAAAGCTTACAAGGCTTTATATCAAGCTTGTCCAACCCATGGCCTGTAGGCTCCATGTGGCCCAGCATGGTTTTGAATGTGGCCCAACAAAAATTTGTAAACTTTCTTAAAGGATTATACAATTTATGAATGATTTTTTTTTATAGCTCATCAGCTATCCTTAGTATTAGTGTATTTTATGCATGGCCCAAGACAATTCTTCTTCCAATGTGGCCCACGTGATACGGTTTGGCTGTGTCCCCACCCAAATCTCATCTTGAATTATAATCCCCATGTGTCAGGGGAGGGACCTGGTGGGACATCATTGGATCATGGGGACGAATTTCCCCCTTGCTGTTCTTGTGAGTGAATTTTCAAGAGATCTGGTTGTTTGATAAGTGTCTGACCCTTCCCCTTTTTCTCTCTCTCTCCTCCTGCCATGTAAGATGTGCCTTGCTTACCCTTCATCTTCTGCCATGATTGTAAGTTTCCTGAGGCCTCCCAAGCTATGCAGAATTGTGAGTCAAATAAACCTCTTTCCTTTATACATTACCCAGTCTCAGGTAGTAGCTTTGTAGCAGTGTGAATGGACCAATAGGCCAGGGAAGCCAAAAGATTGGACACCCCTGCTTTATGGGATCTGGCTTCCAGTTTCCTCTCTGATCTTGTCTCATATGACTCTCTCTCACTCATTCCACTCCAGCCACTCCCGTCTCCCTAGCGTTTCTTAAAGACGTCAATCTTCTTCCCACTTCCAGCCTTTGCCCTGGCTGTTCTCCTGCCTTCAATGTTCTTTTTTTTTTTTTTTTTTGAGATGGAGTCTCACTCTGTCACCCAGGCTGGAGTGCAGTGGCACGATCTCGGCTCACTACAAGCTCCGCCTCCCAGGTTCACACCATTCTCCTGCCTCAGCCTCCCGAGTAGCTGGGACTACAGTCACCCGCCACCACGCCTAGTTAATCTTTTGTATTTTTAGTAGAGATGGGGTTTCACCATGTTAGCCAGGATGGTCTCGATCTCCTGACCTCATGATCTGCCTGCCTTAGCCTCCCAAAGTGCTGGGATTACAGGTGTGAGCCACCATGCCCAGCCACCTTCGATGTTCTTACTCTCTTGTCTGCATGACTTCTTCCTTCACTCCATTCAGGTCTCTAATGAAATGCCACCTTACCAAAGAGACATTTCCTGGCCACCCTGTCTACTAAAGTATCCCCATCACTCTGCTTAATTTTCCTCTGTATCACTTCTTGTTATCTGATCTATTATTTATTTATTTTCTGTCCCCTCCATGAGGTGATGCACCTGCCACATAATAGATGCTCATTAAATATTTGGTTAATCCCCATGACAAGATTCATTGAGAGGGCTTTAATGACTACAGACTCTTGAAGACACATTTTCACATTTTCAAAATAACTCTTCAGGACAAATTTTCATAATTTCAAAATTCATAAGATGTTCATAAAAACATTTCATACTGACCTCAAATCTCCAAATGCCAACAGTGAAGATGGAAAAAGCCCATAATGTATGCTCTCTAATGCTAATGCTAATGCTAATGATAATAATAATAATAATAAATCAGCAGTGTTTAAAGCTAAGAAAGGCGTGGCTGTTGTTACACTGGACTTCTAATTCAACATTATCCTTGATCAGGATAAAGAATCTTCCACCAGACAGAATTACTTTGAGGTTATTTGAGACCAAGTTTTTACCCCAAGGGGTTGCCATTCACAGGTGGATTTATTGTAACCTTGTGGATTACTTCCCAACCCTCACAGGCCAACCCCCACAAGGCTCCTTCATGTGTAAATGTCAGGTGGTAAATAAAACACACTGTTCTTCTCTCATGCCTCGCCATAAATCGGTCCCAGCCTTACTTGTGGGGCTGGAGTCAAGCCTGATTTATGCAGTTTGTGAGATTTATACTGTAGTCACTTAACAAAAACAAAAAACCCTCTCAAACATTAGTTCTTACACATAAATTCCAGAGCTTGCAAATGTTTGGAAACTTTTGTTTTCTTTAAATGATGCTGAACATGCCTGCCTTATCTTGGGAATCATTTAAGGTGGGAACCTTCACTCCAGAAATTTCAGTAGAGAAGAATGGAGGATGTTGAGTGTGACCAGCATCATGCTTTGTGCATAGTAGGTGCCAGATAATGGTCTATTGAGTTGCTGTTCAAACTGGGGTCTAAGCTAAGCGTGGCAAAGGGTAACTTCAGCTTGGTCCCCAGTGCCTCAGACCCGCCTTAGTGGAAGATATGCAGATTTTATGTGGACATAGTTGACATCATCAATGGACATTGAATCTTCTTTGGTTGCCCTGGTAAAGTTGGTGGGCAGAAGTGGGAGCTTCTAGAAAGTTCCCTGCATTAGATATAAGGAAATGTAGATTTGAATGATTTTGCTATGTTTAAGTCTCAGTTTCCATATCTCTAAAATAAGAGAATAGACTACAATTGCAGAGTTATTTCACATTCTATTTTATGATTCTATGCTTTAGAGGGGGAGGAACACTCCTCAATTTTTCTTTGTATTGTCACAGGCTTTGACACAAGGAGCAATGCTAATATGTTTTTTGAATAGAATTTGATTTTTCACTCTGTAAGTTTGAGGTGGGGGTGAAGCTGGAGAAAGAGTTTTTTTTAAAGTTTGAAAATTCCTCATTGGCTCAGGAAAACAAAAATAGTTCTTTATTTGCTTTAGTTTGTGTATGCCATTTGAGAAATGCCTGAGAACTTCAGCTTCAAGAATCTTTAAACTGAAACATAGATCTGCACAAACCTTCCTTTGCTTAGAATTTAGTAGTATTTTTGGGATAGTTGGCTATCAAAAATTTTTTATTTACTTCTTTGAGGCCAATAATTGTCATTTTGAAAGCAGTTGGGTGTTCGAGTGTTTTCAACCACTCAGAAAATTATAAACCTCACCATATGCACATTTATATGGAATATATATATTTTTTCCTGTTTAGGTGACAGTTTTAGGATTCTTCTAAGCAGTGATAAAAAACTCGCAGTTATAACGTGTGATCATTTTGCCTTTCATTATAATGCAGAATTTCTCCATGCAAAATCAGGCCAAGATATAAGCATAAACCCAGGGGCAAAATCCATTCATTATGCATGTACATTATTTCCCCCAAATATTGATAATACTTTTCATAATAATTATTTTACATATATTAGCTTTTGCTGCCATATTAGTATTAAAGATACCTTTATTAAATAATCTTGAATATTTTGCTGAATAATAAATAGAATCTCAGAGGCTTGAGTTAAAAGCCGCTTTTAGCTAGAATGCAGTAAATCAGTTGTTTTATGAATAAAATTGGCTTTCATATTTTTTTTCCTGGGGATTGCTTATTTAAATAATTTTCCTGTTTATTGAATGTGTGTGTGTAGTTTTGTTTTTTAACTAGTGACAAGTCCTCCTGTTTCCAACCCTCCTTCGTGGCTCTCTCTGTTGGAGAAAAATGCAAAATCACATAAGCCTTCTTCTAAACCTCCATCTGAAAGGGCAAGTGCCCTGCGTTATTTAGCAGGCCATGGGCATGTTTGTCCCATCGATGACACTGGCTGAAGCTCTTTTGCAGTAGACGGACTCCACAGCAAAGGAATGCACTCACAGGGAACCGTCACTGATGAAACGTGAGACGCACCCTCTTGGATCGAAGCATTTCAACTTGGGCAGTAGGAGCAGGTTCTTTTCTCTCGGATCTACCAAGCAGAATTGACTCTGTTTTTTCTCTTTTCTCCAATTTTTTCTTTCTTTCCCTTTTTCTTTCTTTCTTTTTTTTTTTTTTTTTTTTTTTTGAGATGGAGTCTCGCTCTGTCATCCAGGCTGGAGTGCAGTGGCGTGATCTCGGCTCACTGCAAGCTCCGCCTCCTGGTTCACACCATTCTCCTGCCTCAGCCTCCCGAGTAGGTGGGACTACAGGCGTCCGCCACCACGCCAGGCTAATTTTTTGTATTTTTAGTAGAGACAGGGTTTGACCATGTTAGCCAGGATGGTCTCAATCTCCTGACCTCGTGATCCGCCCACCTCGGCCTCCCAAAGTGCTGGGATTACAGGCGTGAGCCACCGCGCCCGGCCCTCCAATTTTCTTTAACTGAGCATCTTCTCATTCCCTTTCCCCACAACCTTTGGCTATGCAGTACTGGAGAGGGCTGCAGAAAGAAAAGAATAACATTTACTGAGTATCTACTATGTGCCAGCCACATTTGTGTTTTCTCGTCTTCAGGGTAGGTGGTATACTTATTTAAATAGATAACAACAGCAATAATAATATATGACATTTATCGAGAGTTCTGTGCTGGGCTTTGGAAGTATCAGCTCACTTAGTGCTCACCCTGCCGGCTGAACACTGTCATTTTTTCCTTTTCCACAGGATGAAACTAACGCTTGGAGAGCTCAGGGTCACACAAAGTCAAGATTTAAACTCGAGCTGCCCTAACTCCAAAGCCTGTATAGTGCTGCCTCTGTGATGAAAGCTCAGGGAGGGGTGCTTGTGTGATTCTGAGGAAGGTGCTAGGCCATCATGTCTGGCCTTGCGGGTCCTTGAGTTCCCCAACTGGAAAGCCCTGTGCTGCCATTGGTGGGTGTGGATGTCCACAGAACAGAGATGTGGCTGTTGAAAGACAAACTTGGATGTGATGCACACCACCATATATCAGCCTCTTCCTTTTGCATGCAGTTCAATCTCTACATCTTTTGATTGTACCAATGAGCAAAGAAAGCTAATATCTTCTTAGATTTTCATAATTTCATCTGTGTAGAGGCCAAGAGCTAGTATACTAGCGCCTGCTCTGATGGATTGATAGGGTCTGCCTGGAGTTAGACTGAGTCTGAGGCAAGATCTCCATAGACTGGTGATGTCTGCCATGGGAACAGGCCGGAGACTTGACAGTGAGCTTATTGAGCATGGGCTAAACCTGGGCTAGATTGTGTAGCTATCAGACAACCTGGCTTTCAGAAAATTCCACATTGGGGACTTGGAATTATTGGCCTCATATTCCAAAGAGAAAAAAAGGATTCAGTAAAGGTGTGATTTTTTCCAAAGTCATACAGGACAAAAAAGGGAAGGGTGGAATACAGACTCCACAAGTGGCTTTTGTCTTTGAGCTGCTTTTCTGGGAAGCATCTCCTCATTGCTCTGAGAGGGAGAAACAAGACCAGCTCCATTTTCTTCATGGCACTTATGCCTGGCCTAAATGACCTTAGTTATTGTTTGTTTGTTCTGTCTGTTCTCTCTGCTAGGATGTAAACCTTAGGAGAGCAGGAACTTGGTCTGACCTGTTTACTGCATGATCCTGATGCCTAGAACTGCATCTGACATCCTGTACATGTTCTTTGAATGGATAAATGAAAGAACCAATGAATAGTTCTAATGATTTGCCCCAGGATCTACTCTCTCCTTTGAGAAATTCGAGCCACTCTCATCTTAGGTTCATCCTTCCCCAAATCCATCTTTTGCATTTGACCACTATATGGGGTTCTGGATTTTATTTCTCAATTCATCTAGTATCTTCCAATTTTGCCATTTAATCATGACCCACATGTCTTCCTTGGGAGCAGTCTAGGGCATGGAAACGTATTTCAGAAGTAATTTGTATTCTTAAATATGGCCTCTTCAGCTCCCGCAGCTAGGGGCAGCCTGGCTGAGTTGGTTTTTAGATATGCATATTATTATGTAAATGTAGTTGAATTGAATATAATTTCCTTAAAAATATTTTCCACTGGAAAATAGATCTCCTTGCAGAGGGAACCTAGCCAGGCAGTACCTGAAGAAAGCTTCATTGTTTGCACTAAGCATGCATGAGACATTTCAACAAGCTATTTTTAGAATTAATAATGATAATAACAATAGCTAGAATTTATTAAATACTTGCTGAGTGCCAAGCACTGAACTAATCACATTAAAAATGTTTTTTCATTTAAGTTTTTCAACAACCCTAGAGTGCTTACAATCATCACTCTCAGGTTACAGATGACTAAACTGAGGCACAGAGGCTTGAAACCTGTCCTAAGGTTATCCAGTTTGGAGCAAGAGCTGGCACATAATACAGGTCAGGATAACCCCAGGTTCCCTGGTTAACCTCTCTGCATTCCTGGCTCCAGGCACTAGCACCCCAACTTTGAGTCATCATCAAAGGCATCTCAGAGGAAATGTTTGAGCAAATCTGGAGGATTTAAAAGACAATTGACAATATCTATCTGTTCCTCATACCTTTTTTTCCCATTATTCCAGCTGGTTCCAGTGCCTCTCTCAGGGATAACTTGGAGAAGCCAGATTATTCCCAGTTAATAAACTATGTGAAATAAATCAGGAAATATCCCAATTCCAATACAACACACACACAGAATCAGACGCACTTGGTTTTCTAAATGGAAATTAGATTTGCATTAAAAGACTAAGTGTGTTGTTCTCTCTACAGAGCCTCTGGAGGAGACATTCCAGGGGGGATTCTACTCCTTTCTTTAAAAGGACATTTGAAATCCCATGCAAACATGAGCCCCATAGACTTTTTCTCCACATGACTAATCCAGTCTCCTGCGACCTCTCTTTAGTGTGACGGGGACACAGAAACGAAGCCTGCAGCTTCCGCCGACCCCAAACATTTGGTTACATTAATCACAGAGCGTTTTTGGACTTTGAGCATCCAGAATGAAAGACTTTCTGGGGAGACATTGATCAAACAGTCTACAGGTATCTGTACATCGAGGGACATTAATCATTTCTGCATTATCTCACTCACCAGTAGAATATGTAAATGTGATTCCTGTCAATGATAAGGGGAAGTGAAATTATTCTTAGAGATTGGTCCATCTGGAGCTGTTGATACAATCTTACCTAAGACAATAGGTTGTAAAGATAAATTTTTCAGCATTACTAATCCAGCCTTGCCAATACCCATGGAGAATGGAGAAATTTAAAACCAAACTAAGAATGTACAGTCAGTGGAAGAAAGGAAAACAAGTCCCAGTTTTGCTGGTTTTTTATTTTTTTTGATTTTTTAGTTCCTGTAATATTATATTAATTGGCAGCCTAGCAAGAAAGATGCTTTCAGATGCTTTCTGTTTAATTAAGGATGGCATTTTTGGAAGGGTCTTATTAGGCCTTTGGAGAGTGTATTCTGAAAGGGTTCACATCCGGCCAAAGGTTTAACTCTTAACACAAATAGGACAAAGACCTTAAAATCCAGGAAGGAATATCCATTATTTCTGCAGATTCTAAGTTCAGGAGTTTCATCTTCATAAGAGGAATCTCCTTAGACTCTTCTGACCCATCAACTATGCTTTATAAGATTAATAAAAAAAAATGTTCAGCATAGACAGGAACAGGAGGAAACGGGTAGACCTGTCTGCTGAAGGAGACCCAGGGTTCTAATCCCAGCCATGCAACTCAATAACTTTGCAACTTTGGGCAAATTCTCCCCTATCTCTGGCTCATTTTTTGCATATATGAAATGGAATGGGTTGGACAAGATGTTCTTTTCTGTATGATAGAATGATCAGCTTTCCTACCTGCTCCATCTTCTCTGTCAAGGTTGACTAAGTTAACAAGTTCAGTAGAAGGCCTTGGGATGCTGACCTTCAGAGAGGTCTCTTGGTTTGTCAATGTGTGACCATGATGCCCAGAAACTTAGGGCTGTTTGGTGCTGGTGATGGTGTGGGATGTCCTGTCATGAAAGAGGCCTCTGGAGAGGGGACATATATGCTTGAATATCTACTGTTTTAATAGAATTTATAATACTCAGAAATCGTTGAAAACAGAAGGGCATCATGGAGAGGTGTTAGAGTGTGAATACTGAGCACGTTTTGCTAAAAGTTCCAAAATTCAGTGTTACCCTGGAAGATTACTGAAAATCAATGGTAAGAGTGAGATTCCTTCCCCACATTCCAGCTGCCCTCCCCTCTTTTTATGTTGATAAATAAAAGAAGAGAAAACTCTAAATTATTATTTTTCAGCTCAGGTGGGAAGGGGAAAAGAAGGGGTTTTAGTGGGCATGAGAGTAATCTTTCTTGGCAATTAATGATGGACCAGCATGAGGAGAGTGATTAAGGGATCGAGAAACTCGCCCTTTGGAGAGGACTAAGTGACGACTTGCTTAGAAAGAAGGAACAAGGTGATTTTCTTCTATGATGTCAGCTTCCAAAAGGTCAGGAATGTTTTCTTCCCCCAGATCCTTAGCTTGCTTCAAATAATCCATTCTGAATCCGACATCCACAAATTAGCTTAAATGTTCCTTGAACTTTATGGGATAATGAGTTCCTTAACTTTGTTGTGCCCTTGTGAAGATTAAACGGTGTCCCTCAAGCTCTATGGCTGTCTACTTTATTTCAGGATATGGTAATCATCTTGCCCATTGAGTTATGTCCCCTTCATCTTCCCTCTTTCCAGAATGTGTGATCTTCATTCTCTTTCTTTTTTGAGATAGAGTTTTGCTCTTGTCGCCCAGGCTGGAGTTCAATGGCACGATGTCAGCTCACTGCAACCTCTGCCTCCCGGGTTCAAGTGATTCTCCTGCCTCACCCTCCAGACTAGCTGTGATTGCAGGCACCCGCCACCAAGCCTGGCTAATTTTTGTATTTTTAGTAGAGATGGGGTTTCACCTTGTTGGCCAGGCTGGTCTTGAACTCCTGACCTCAAGTGATCTGCCTGCCTCAGCTTCCCAAGGTGGGTCTTCATTTTTAAAGCTTGTTCTCATATAAAATTATTATATTATTTGCTAACAACCTTAATTCCTTTTTTTTTTTTTTTTAGTTTGTTATGTTTGCCATGCTGTTAGTAGAAGGATTATTGGATGGGAACACTAAAATTTACAATGATAAGATGATGCTCCTTGGCCATACATTAGACCAGATTCTCCAAACTTGTTCTGAAGAACTAGTTGGTTGAATCTCGAATAGGCATTACTTGAAGAAAGAATTTGGTTTGGCAAATTCTGGGTTAAAGAGCTCAGTGGTTCTAAATGGGATGCAAGTATTTTTAATGCTTTTAACATGTCAGTGAACTCTGGGACTCTCAAAGAAGGGGATGACAGTACTTAGCCATCTCCTACATTTATTTATTTGACCACAGAATCCTCTTTGCTCAGCTCACCTCCGGCAATGAGTGTCCAGAGAGCACATTTTGGGGAAAGGCTAAGTTGAAGGCCACATGCCTGGGATGTGTTTGGGAGAGTTTACTTGACATGATATTCAAGAAAGAGAGAATAGATTACATTAATGCAGGATATTACTTATGAGTTTAAAAATTCCTGATAACTGGTGAAATTTTCTTATTAAAAAGATCCTTTGTAGAAAAGAGATATTTTCCTAGTCTGCTGGTAGGATTAAATATTGGTACAGCCTTTTTGAAATTGTTTTCACAATGCTGTGAAAAAACATAAAAAAAAAAGTTAATGCTGAGTTTTACATCTGTGTAATAAAATATTTCACAGCTGTTAAAAATAACGTTATTTAAGAATACTCAATAGCATAAATACTGTTTCAATATTAAGTGGGGAAGACAGGCTAAAATTGTATATAGATAACGATTCTCTTTTGGAAATAAAACATATATGCATGGAGAAAAGATGGGAAAGAAACACACCCACATATTAACATTAGTTATCTTTGGGTGGTAAGATTCCAGGTAATTTTGTTTTCTTCATTTTATTAGTCTATATTCTCCATATTAAGGGTCAGCAAAGTATGGCTTGTGAGCCAAATTTGGACTTCCATTTGTTTTTATAAATAAACTTTTATTCAAACACAGCCAAGCCTATTCATTTATGGTTACTTTTACACTACACCAGCAGAATTGAGTAGGTGCAACAGAGATCATATGGCCCACAAAACCTGAAATATTTGCTACAGGAAAAGGTTGCTGGCTCCTCGTCTAGGTTATGTACAAGGAGCACCTTTTACTTGTGTAATGAAAAAGACTAAAATAGAAAACAATGAACTATTGGGTTTAAATATCAAAACTGCCCCTTTTTAAAGAAGAAAAGGCAAAGAAATAACACTCAAACATTTAGTAATATTTACTTCCAATATTCATGTCTCTATGAAAAGTTTCAAGGGGAGAATGTAACAGAAATCTAACAACCTACTAGATGCCATCTGAGATGGAAATTGAAACACAGAATGTGTAGATTAAAGTGTTGACGTTTTCAAGCAGGAATGTCTTTTAACCAAGACATCAGTAAGATGTATCCCCTCTGCCTATCCATTTTTTTCTTCTCCCTGTTCCCAATGACTTCCCAGAAGATCACAATAACACATCTGCCACAGACTAAATGTTTGTGTTTCTCCAAATGTTTTATGTTGAAATCCTAACCCCCAATGTGACGGTATTTGGAAGAGGGGGTTTTGTTGGGGGGCGGTGAATGGGATTCATGCCCTTCTAAAAGAGGCCCCAGAGAACTCTCCCTCCTTCTGCCATATGAAGACACAACATAAAGACAGCCATTTGGTGAGCAGGCCCTCACCAGACACTGAATCTACTGGTGTCTTGAACTTGGACTTCTCAGCCTCCAGAATTGTGAGAAATAAATATTTGTTGTTTAAGCCACTTGGTCTATGATATTTTTTATAGCTGCCCGGACTGACTAAGACATTACATTCAGAATATTCAGTTGTTGAACCTCTCTCATTGCTTAAATTCCCGTTGCTTACTCTCTGACTATCCCTCTGTTTTTTCCCCACTCTTACCCTTCAAGGGATCAGAAGATATTTTTTGGGAGAATAGGAATGTCCCCCAAGGAATGATGACTAGATATTGACTTATGGGGGCTCCTCAAAACAAAATATGGCCTCTGACCAATGATCAAAATACAAAGAACTTCCCATTTGCTTCTCAGCACCTCTCTCTTAAATATAAACAGCCAAGAATCTTCAGACATTCGAGAAATTTTCACCATGAAAAAAAGAGACACTCTGCTCCACAAAAATAATGAAGGCAGGAAATAAAGACAACACAGGATCCAGGTGATATAAAAAAACCTATAATATCTTTAGAGTTATATTATAATGTATTATAGTTATGAAAAAAGACTATAAAAGTCAACAAATATATAACAAGAAAGAGTTTTGGGGAACTGAAAATTTAACAAAAGTAAAAATAAATTAATAGAGAAGTTGGAAGATAAAGTTGAGAAATATTTCAAAAGATCAAGTTTTAAAAAAGAACAAAATTATGACTGTTAGGAGGAAAAGAGCTTTTAAATATAGAGGTCAAATCCATGTGTTCTTTATCCCACTATCAGGAAGCTTAGAAAGAATGCAAACAGAAAATACAGACAAAGAAGTTATCTAAGAAAAACTATAAGAAAATTGCCCAGAAGTCTTCAAGTTAAATGATCCACTGGTTTTTCAGTGCAATGAATGAAAAAAAAATTGACACTAGGCTCATAGTGGTGAAATTTAAGAATGTCAAAGATAAAGAGAATATCTTTAAAGATTTCAGAGGGAAAAAAATGTCCATACTTGAAGCCTTGGAGTAAGAATTGCATGAGACGTCTCAATTGCTACAGTGGAAGTGAGAAGACAATGGAGAACCCTGAGAAAACACTGAGACAAGATTTTTCTAATCCTAGAATACTATAACCAGCAAATTTTTTATTCAAGTTTTTTTTTAAAGAAGTAGAAAGTTGAAAGATACAATGAACTCCCAGGGAGCCACTTGAAGATTTATTTTAGCAAAATGAGGGTTGTATTAGTCACTTTGGGATTCCATAACAAAAATTGTAGACTAGATGTCTCAAACAACATAAATTTACTTTCTTACAATTCTGGAGGATAGAAGTTCTGGATCAAGGGTTGCCAGGGCTGGTTTCTGGTAAGGGCTCTCTTTCTGGCTTACAGATAGCCACTTTCCTGGTGTATCCTCACATAGTGAAGGGACCATGACTTGGTGTTTCTTCCTTTTCTTTTAGGGGCACCAGCCCTATCAGATTAGGGCTCACACCCTTATGACCTAACGTAATCTTTGTCACCTTACAGGCCCTATCTTCAAGTACAGTTACGTTGAGGATTATGGCTTCGACATATGAATTTTGGGGAGACACAAACATTCATTCTATAACAATGTAAACAAAAACAGAGAAAGATAAGGAATCTAGGAAACCAGAGAGAGAGGCAAAGGGAAGCCCAGGAACACATCTTTGTAGCAGGGCTGCAGAGCATGCAGCCTGGCCTAGACCGCAAGGATGGAGTCTTCAGGAGGGCAATATTCAGGAAAAGTACATGTTTGAGAATGAAAACCTGTATTGAGAGGCTGCTGGGGTTGGGGAGAGGTACGGTGGAGGAAAGAAGGAATATTTAGGATTGCATTTAGAAGACTGAGTTAATAAAAATGTCATAAACTGAGCCATAGCACGTGCCTTAGTTCCTCATTGGAAAATATTTGCATAATTCAAAATAATGTGAATATTGACTTAACAAAAGATTATACCATATCTCAGATCATACCAATTCCCTGTCCAAAATTTGACAGCTTTTTATTGCACCTAGCATAAAATCCGACCTCCTTTCCTGCCTCCCAGAATCCTGGGTGAGCTGGGCTGCCCTCTCTTCCTTATTCCGCTATCTCTGGTCACATAGGCTTCATCAGTTCCTCTCAAAACACTGAACTCTTGTGATCTTGTGATCTGTTCGTGTTCCTCCCTCTTCCTGGAATGTGCATCTCTACTTTCCCTTAACTAATTCTCTCTCTGCCTTTGGGGGGTCACCTACAGTGTTAACCTCTTCAGAGAGGCCTTACCTGAAGGAAGCACCAGACCGCCATTTTTTTTTTGAGGCAGAGTCTCGCTCTGTCACCCAGGTTGGAGTGCAGTGGCGCGATCTCGGCTCACTGCATGCTCCGCCTCCCGGGTTCACGCCATTCTCCTGCCTCAGCCTCCCGTGTAGCTGGGACTACAGGCGCCCGTCACCACGCCCGGCTAATTTTTTTGTATTTTTAGTAGAGACGGGATTTCACCGTTTTAGCCAGGATGGTCTCGATCTCCTGACCTCGTGATCCACCCGCCTCGGCCTCCCAAAGTGCTGGGATTACAGGCGTGAGCCACCGCACCCGGCCCCATATATGTATTTTTTTTTTCTAGTTCTGTCTCTTGCTGGTTTCCCCCATAACTCTAACTCTAACGAATAATTTTTGGGAACTTATAAAGGAAAAGCCTCCTCCTCATCCTTCCCTCTTTCTCCCTCTAAATGGAACCCTTGGAAAACTGCAGGTATATACCCTTTTCAGTGGAACAAAATTATATCTCAGCTGGGCTACAGTGCCCTCTCTCTTCAACTCAACTGGCGCTTCAGTGGAAAATGCAGCCTCTGCCTTGTGCTCTTGTATTCATCATCAGCCTAGAGCCTTGGGATAAGGAAGCCTTGGTTTTTCTCTGCAAGGCCCCAGCCTGCCGTCCTCCAGCAGATGAGAAGTTAAACTCTTCTGACTTCTATGGAAGCCCCCATATGGGATTGATAGGCTTTGGAATCTAATGACTGAGGTGTAGTTTTGCCCCAGTGCTTCCCAGTTCAGTAACATTTCTGAGCCTCCATTGTTCCTTCTTTAAAATGGATAAAATAATAGGACTTGCCTCATAGGGTTGTTCTTAGGATTCAAGAGATAACAGCTCTAAACCACTAAATACACCTTCTGGGAGGTAGTGCTTGCTACGTGCTTATTATGATTATTAGGACTATTATTGTGGAAGAACATGCTGGAAATAGCGACTGCCTAGTCAGGCTCTTCAGTGTGGGTGGTCTAGGAAGGAAAGGAAACGTAGGACAGAAAAGATATGAATCGTTAGCATTTAGTGAGCCAGACCATTTGCATTCCACTTATTTTCTCATGGTATTGGTGTCCCCATTCTACAGATGAGGAAACTGAGCCCCAGGAAGGTAAAATCACTCATGCAGCCAGAAGGTGGTAGAGGCAGATGTGGAAGGTAGGTTTTCTGTTCTGGGCTCCGAGAGGTGAGAATTCCGAGGGCTTCCGTCCCTGTCCTTTCTCATCACGAAACCCTGCTCCCCGAGTGCCCAGTTCTCCTGCATTTAGCCCTTGGGAGTCACATTGGGGAACTTTCAGGCCAAGTCCAGGGCAGGAAGTGAGATCATCAGCCATCTTTTAAGGGGGTAATTAGCTGACTATGAAAACAGCTTCTTTAACCACAGCAATTTGCCCCACCAGGGAAGAAGGGAAGTCGATGTTTTTATTATAAACGGAATCATAGTGGGGTTTAAGGCTTAGTAGTGTTTGGTTTAGTTTTGTTTTTTAAAGGCCCGAGGTGGAACTTGGAATCTCCTGCCCCATCCCAGAAGAAAGGAAGTTTATTTTCTGGGTCAGATTAAAAGACTTTGGCTCCCTTGATTTTTATTTTCGTGGAAGAGGAGTAACTTGTTGTGTTTGCTGAATCTCCCAGATTCCTTTTCTCCTTCTTGCACTGACCTTCTCCTGATTTTCTAGCCAAATGATGTGGGTCTTGGGCTAAGTGCAACAGGTAGGAGAGAGGAAGAGACTTGTAAGGTAGCTCTAAGGTCTTTGGATCCAGTGGGAACAGGGTGGAGCCCAAGGGAAGTGCTTCAGAAGCCACTTACTGCCTGCATGACTTTGACCAAGTTACTTAACCTCTCTGAGCCTAGTTTTCACATCCGTACAATGGGAGGGGTACCTGTGGCTTGTTCAGGAAACAAGTTTCCCAAGCATGATGTCGTGGTTTAAGGCATGGACAACCCAGCTTTGGGCAATAGCCCCTGACTTTACTTTCTGTATGAGCAAGTGCCTTGAGCCTTTGTTTCCTTGTCTATAAAATGGGAATGATATTATTAGCGTTGTGAGGATCAAATGGCAAAAGTGTTTAAAATAAAGTCTGGCACATAATAAGTGTTCAAAAAACACTAGTAATTTATTGCTATTGTTACTGTTGGCATTGTTAATAGGGTCTGTCTGGTTTTTGTAGGCGAGTAGTGGATACTAATGTTGAGTTGAAGGTCATATGATGGAAATATTTAAATGTTGAGCTAAGAAATTTGGATTTAAGGAACCAACTTTTGGGATAAAGGAACCTAAGGGGCCATTTCATTCAACTCACTCAAGCTTCGGGTGTAAAACCAGGGTCTCAGGCAGAGAATGTAGGTTGCTCAAGGCCCTACTGTGGCTGATCTATAACCAAGAAGGGGCAAATTGACAGGTACATCAATGGCCATCAGTGGGGAGGCTTTCCTCCAAGAAGGGCCCAGATTAGAGCCTTATTGCTTGTGTCTAGAATCCTTCCCAATGGACCTGGATAAAGGTACTTTTCACATTCCCATGCAAACACATTAAGCCCACGTAGGACCATTGACACTTTAGTATGAATTAGTTTATATGAAGATTTACAATGTGCTGGCTAGTTGAAGGAAGGGCCCTGCTGGGAAGGTCAATGGGCAGATGCATCATGATATATGGTAGAGGTTGAACCTTGGGTCTATCTAAATTAGCTCAGTGTGGTGGGGATAGGGCAGCTGAGAAGCCAGAAGGCAGCTTGAGGACTGTCCCTCCTAACTTCTCCGGGACACCAAATAAATGTCTCATACCTCCTTACAGTTCAGCCAAGACATTTATAATTTGGAATCTCTTCACTTTTGGGCAGAGAGTCCTCATCCTTCCTGATCACTCAGAACCAAAAAATGCTCTAAAAATGTGGTCAGTGGGGCCTTAACCTCAGAGGCCCATTTGCAAATAGGCCAGTGCATTGGGTGAAAGCACGTCCCCAACCCGCAGCATCTCTGGGTTACATTATTATTGCATTCATTTGTTCAGCTCTGCCTTCAACCAGAAAGGACTTTGAGCAATTTATAAGGAGAAGTTAAATAAAACAAGATGGTCTCCCTATCTCTCCTCTCTCACCCTCCTTACCTTGAAGAGCAAAGGAAGGGGGAAAAAATTAGAGTAGGGTAGAATGTTCAATGAGGACTGAGGCCAAAAAGGGCAGTCCATTAATTCACGAAGCTTACCTAACAGTACGCACATCTGACTTGATCCTGGGAGCAATTTCAGCCTTTCTGGAAACATTGATGTAATCTGCTTCCCTGACCAATCCTCTAAACACCATCAGTGTTATTGGTACTAATGAAAAAACAGCTGAAGTGGAGACAGAGGTGTACAGTTGTTTCCTCAGTCAACTCCACCATGATCATTGAACCTCCTTCTCCTAAGAGGCGGCTGCCTCCCAATGGGCTATCTCTTCATTTCATTGCTTTATTCTTTCCATGCGTATTTATAGGATGCCTACTGCGTGTCTGCATTCCTCTGGGCTTTGGGAATGCAAGGGTTAACAAAACTGTCCCAGATCCTCACTGGGTAGAGCTTACCGTCTAGTGTGTGTGTTTGCACGGCATCTATGAAAAGCTAAATGCTGGCCAGGCATAGCGGCTCATGCCTGTAATCCCAGCACTTTGGGAGGCCAAGATGGGAGGATTGCTTGAGGCCAGGAGTTCAAGACCAGCCCGGGCAACATGGTGAGACACCCACCTCTAAAAAAATATTAAAAAGTAGCCATGTATGGTGGCACATGCCTATAGTTGCCTGTAAGTCCTAGCTACTTGGGAGGCTGAGGTGGGAGGATTGCTTGAGCCCAGGAGTTCAAGGCTACAGTGAGCTGTGATTGCATCAGTGAACTCCAGCCTGGGTGACACAGCAAGTCCTTGTCTCAAAAAAAAAAAAAAAAAAAAAAAGAAAAAGAAAAAATATTAATGCTAAGAAATTCTCCAGGACCTCAGCTTGTATGAATATAAGAAAGGTGCTTTGGAGCGGGAGTGCAGCAGGCAGGAACACGTGAAGGCTTCAAGTATTTTCAACAGAGGGAAATTAACACAGGGATCACTGACAGAGAGAGGAAGAGCTGAGTTGCCAAGCGGGGGACAGTGAAGTCACTTGGAGATCAGTAGCAGCTGGATGCAGCCACCACTCCCATCCCTCCAGACTGGCGGGACAAAGGGGTGAGGCTATGTCTCTGAACTCCAGGGATCAGGATCAGCTTGTGGAGGCTGCAGGCATGCCTGGCTCTCTGGAAGGAGCCTGAGCCACAGATGGGATTCAGTTTCTTCTGAAAACCATCCAAAGCAAAGAGAACACTGGGAGAAATACCCTGACTTTTCCCTGCTTTCACCCTGCAGACTCCCACCGAGGCCTCTTATCAGCTAATTCCACTGAGAAGCCAGCCTTTCTGGGAGTCTAGGATCCACAGAAAGCTTGCAGGGTCAGCCCCCTCTCTCTTCCCCACTATGGGGTAGAGCAGGAGGATGATCCATAGATCTGTTTACGAAGCAGGCCACTGGCCATGGAAGGAATCACTGGACAAGATGTTATATGAGAGCCCGGTATAGAAACTCACCCTAGGCCAGGCGTGGTGGCTCACACCTGTAATCCTAGCACTTTGGGAGGCTGAGGCGGGAGGATCACCTGAGGTCAGGAGTTTGAGACCAGGCTGACCAACATGGAGAAACCCCGTCTCTATTAAAAATACAAAATTAGCTGGGTGTGGTGGTACATGCCTGTAATCCCAGCTACTTGGGAGGCTGAGGCAGGAGAATCGCTTGAACCTGGGAGGTGGAGGTTGTGGTGAGCCAAGATCACACCACTGCACTCCAGCCTGGGCAATAAGAGTGAAACTCTGTCAAAAAAAGAAAAAAAAAAAAGAAATAAAGAAACTCACCCTAATGGTCAAGGGGAATAGCAAAATTCAATGCCAGGTTCTCCTGGAAGAATAACAACAACGACAATGGCAATGATCACCACCACCACCATAGAACGCCTTCCCCAATTATAAATATCTATGTGTGCACACTTACTCAAAGGGCTGTCATTGGGCCATTTTGTAGATGAGGAAACTGAGGCTGAGCAAAGGCAACTCATTTGTCCAAGGTCATAGGGTGAGCAAGAAGCAGGACCAGAATGTTGAATTGCAGTCTGTCAACCACTGAGCCCTGAACCTTGATGCTCCTAGGGCAATGGACTCTAGAGCAAAGCCAGCCCCTAGCATCGGGCATCCTTGGGAAGAAAAGGCAGCTTTTGCAGGACTTAAGGATGAGATCAAGACCTATAGGAAAAGCCTCTTCTGAACACCAGTCCACACTCCAAGTAGCATCTGAGCATCTGGAGCTGGCCAAAGGCCTGAGGAATGGGCCAATGGGCTATTGGCAAGACCATGGCACGGGTGCCCAGAGGGCTCGAGCCAGTGATTCAAAGATCAATGTGTGCTCATTTCAAAATATATAGTGGGTGTCCCCAGTGCTGGGATGCCTCTGCTCTGCCTTCAGGCTCTGGGTGGCTGGGTTGGATGGGGCTGG
Source organism: Homo sapiens (assembly GCF_000001405.40). Taxonomy (NCBI): domain Eukaryota; kingdom Metazoa; phylum Chordata; class Mammalia; order Primates; family Hominidae; genus Homo; species Homo sapiens. The sequence continues at coordinate 54,401,823 of NC_000016.10, forward strand.
ATCCCTCCCTGGGATCTTCCTGGCTGGTCTCTCCTTTGGGGCCTTCAGATGTTGCTCTGAGGCTGTTTGGTGTCAACAGGGGGCCTGGCACTGGGGAGCTGAGAATGGCTCCTTTCCTGCCCCTGGAACTCTCAGCATTCCGCCCAGGTCTGTTAATTATCTAAACTGGGAAGGGAGGGGGCAGGCAGCATCCAGCCACAAGGATCAGGCATTTCTTTGAGGACACATCCTCATGGCCCCTGCCTGGAGGTCTTCAGAAATTCCTAGATGCCGAGCGTGAGCCATGCCATCTTGAGACTACCAGATTGTCAAAAGAAGAAAAGTCAAGTAAAGGTGGGGACCTGGGGGTGGGGTGGGGGCCTCAGCGACTTTCCTTGGAGGGCCATGTCACCAAGTTTCTGCTGTGGCTTTCACACTTTGTAATAGTCAGGCCTCCATATGTTACAGCGTTCTTTGCAGCCTGGGACCCTGGGTTTATCACTCCCTAATCTCAGTTTAATTGCTGTGGTCAATTTACCCTGCACTTAATAACCCACAGCTTGGTGTATTGTTTAATATGGTTGACACACACTTTGCTTAAATGTCAGCACTGGCCAGGTCTGGGGACTTGGCAGGCTCCCTGGGAGAGATGGCAGAGGAGCAGCGTCATCTGCCCAGCATCTGGGGCGCTGGTATGTTGGCTGCAACTTTTCTTGGCTTGAGGGCTCAGCCACTGCCCAGTGCTGAGCTATGGGATGGGAACTGCCATCTCTGCCTGGATCTGGGGCCCACTCAGCCCTGATCTGCTTTCCTCTTGCTGCCTCCCGTGTGGGGGCCAGTGGAGAAGGGGTGTTGGAAGGCAGCATCCTCAGCTTGGAAAGTGTGTTGAGTCCAGGCACAGACCGAGAACCCTGAAGCCCCAGAGCTATGTGTGGGCTGCTCCTGGTTGTGTGTTTGTGACAGAGACCCTAGGGGCAGCTGTTGGGTAAATATCACACTCTGCTTGAGGGACTGTAAGTGACATCAATGATGGCAGCTGTGCCACAATGCTCTGCTCACCAACCACCCTGCCATGGTTAGCATCAACTGGCAAACTGGATACGTTTTTGCCACTTACTGAACTTCCACTCCTTCTGCTTCTGATGGACTAAATGGTCGAAAAGATGCCTATTGAGGTGGCCTCCCAGCTCCCTGTGATGCCCCAATGCAACTTTCTATGGAAACTGCCCTTCAATCCACAGAGCAAGGACACTGGGTAGTGCTGTTGGCATTTGGTGTTTCCGTCTCCCTGGCAGGAGCCCTGACCCAACCGGGGCTGATCGCCTCTCTCCTGGAGATGAGGAATTCAAGTCCAATAGACAGCATGGCAGTATCTATGGGTGCCCAAGGCAGTATCTACTATGGGGCAGTATCTGTGATAACTCATAGACTTGGGAGCTGCATTTTGCCACATGGACCAGATTGCAGAGGAAGCTAACTTGCAGGGCATGTGCGAAGAATATGTGCAGAGACAGGCAGGCAAGAGGAAAAGAGAGAGACAGAGCTACTCTCGGAGGCTCTCTAGTTCCAGGTTCCAGTCTCTCCCAGAGGAGCAGCGTTTTCCTGTCTTTGGCTTCTCTGAGACACTCTGGAGCCTTGTGATAAATTCCCCCTTTTAAGGTAAGTAATTTGGGTTGGATTTGTCACTTTCAAGCAGAAGCTCTGCCTCAAACAACGATGTTGTCCTCTGCACTGAGCTGGCGTGTGCTGAAGCCTGATCCTAATACTAAGTTGTGTTTGGCATATGATTTTTGGGGAGAATGTGGGAGTCTGTTAAGGGCTGTATTGGCTTTGGGTGAGAGGAGTTTGTTCCTAGGGCTGGAGTGTTGCTCTGACTGCCTCATCTTGCATGAGTTCCTCCTGCCACCCCTGACATTCAAGCTATTGCAGGAATCCTGTGTCTGTGCCCTAGGCCATAGCCTGGGGAGTTTGCTCCAGTCTCTGGTCTGGTTCCACCATCCAGGTGATGAATGCCAGGTAATGAATGCCCCTTCCAGGCTGTTTTGGAAACTCGGGCTTATCCTGGAGTACCTGAAAGCCAGCTTGGGAGCCTCTTCTCCAAGGACATTTTCTCCTCCGGGCTCAGCCCCTGGGTACAGCCAGGCTGATCCTCTCCACCCTGAGACAGCTCATCCTTCAGGCCTGGTGGGCACAGGGTCTAGGCTTATGGTGCATCTAGGGGCCCAGGAAAATGTCTAAATGTTAATTTCTTTCAAAATTAGAAGAAAAAAAAGACTAAAATAATAATAAAGGTATAATAATGAATCCAGCCTGGAACCTATTTGTCCATTTGTCTTTATACCAACAGAGTTGTAAAATATGTTTTGTTATTATTTTTTTTAATGGAGGAAGAGGCTTACAAGGGCAAAAGTGCTTGAGGCCTACAAACAATGTTACAATGTGGCTCTGTCTACACTCCCCTGCTCCTAAGTGTATATGGAGAGATCAGCTTCCTGGGGACCCTAGATGGAGCCCTCTACAAAAGCAGGTAGACGTGCCCTGGATTGTTTGGGGGGGTGGGTCTCTAGGAAGGACAGTGCCTCCTGCTGCTCTGGTTGGGGGAGCAGTTGTCGAATAGGGGACCAACCTGCTGATCTGGGGTCATTATTTTTTATCAGCTTGGATTGAGCTGAAAGTTCAACCAAGAAGAGGCTTGAGCCCAAGGCCCGAAGACACTGAATTCTGAATCTGGAGGGACAATCAGCCCAGAGGTGTGACCGTCAGTCATAGAAGAGCATCAGGCACTTGACCCCTGCCCTGACCCCTTGCAGGCTGGAACTAGGCACTGCCCTGCCTCCTCTCTATCCCAGCAACCACAGAACTTCATGCGAGCTGTCCAGCGCTGAGCTTGTCATATGCATTCTTGCATTCAGTTAGCCTGGGAGTCCTGCAAGGTGGATGGGTGCTCTTAATGGTGCCATTTTATAGACACAGAAGCTGAAGCTCAGGGACAAGAAGAAGTTGGGCCCAGTTCAGAAAGCTGGTAAGTGGCAAGGCCAGGATTTGAATTCAGGTCTGGCTGACCCCAGAGCCTATGCTTCCCTCACACTCCAGTCCCCAACCAGAAGGCTGGCCAGAAATGGAGGGGCAGGACCCCCCGCCAAGGAAGCTGCCTGGTGTCAGGTGGCATTTCTAAGGTGAGGTACAAAAGTGGCATCCTGGAGGTTTGCCAAAAGGTGACTTCTGAGGGGTACAAAAAGTAAATTTTCTCTTTTCTTCCATATGTAGGCATATAAGGAAACATAGAGACTTTACACACCAAACTTCCTAGGTATTCCTGCTAGAGTATGGTCTATATGTTTTTAAACCTATAGATTTAAATGTATGATTTAAATAAAAAGATGAAGAAAATAAAGGTACAGATGACCTATAAGTAAAGCAAAAAACCAAAAACCAAACAAAACCAACTGTAAATACTGGTCTGTGAGAGACAGGTGTAAACCTTTAATCAGAATCTTTGGGTTTGAGTTATTTTATGAGCTGTATGGCCTTAGTAAGATTCTTCAGCTCTGAGACTCAGCTCCCTCATCTGTAGAATGGGAAGGGTCATTGTAAAGATGCAAAGGAGATCTTTGCATCTTCACCGTAGATGCTGTGCCAAGCTCTGTTTAGATCCATAGGGAAGTGGGTCAGGGAGACCCCTGGTAAAGTGTTTCTTGCTGCAACTCTCAGGCAGGCAGTGGGAAAGGCATTTTTGAATGAGAAAGACCGTGGAAGGGCTAGGTTTGGAACTGGGAGTTCTCTGGGCTGGATTCTGCTCAGGACCTACACCAGACTGGGCCTCCCAAGTAACATGATACACATCTGTTTAATTGGACATGAGTCTTAATGGCCAAAATTACCTGTAACATTAGCTTCTTTCACAGCTGTGCCCTCTGCTGGGGTTGGTGCCAGTTCCGAAGCCAGGCCCTGATGGGGTAGACTGTCAGCGGGCCCGAGAGCTCAGCACAGTGACTTGGACAGGGGGCGAGGTACAAGGGCTGGGAACTCACACATTGGTGCCATGACCTCTCAACTTGCTTTTCCCAGGATGGTCCTAGCCCCTTGTCTCAGCCACTCCAATTTCTCCCTGAAGAAGACTTCTCTGGTTAAAAATGTTGGAAAAAGCTTCATTTTCCTGAAATCACCTCAGGTCCTGGAAGGCAGGGCCTCTGCCCTCATTCCTATTATAACCCCCAACCACAGAGGTGGTGAGGAGCAACCAGGGGGACCACTCAGCATCTCCTAGGGTTTATGGTGACTGGGGGGACAGGAGGCATGAGATGAATTTTGAGGACGTCGTGACCACCATTGGGGGTGTGTTTTTACCTCAAATGATCTTCTCTTCATTGAATGACATAAGAAAATAAAAATGGCCAAAAGAAAGTAAGAAAGAAGAGATAAATGAGACCCACCAGTTATCAGGGAAATGCAAATTAAAATAAAAATTACAATTAGGGAATGGAGGGTGGGAGGAGGGAGAGAAGCAGGAAAAGTAACTAGTGGATCCCAGGCCGAAAACCTGGATGATGAATAAACTGTGCACATGTTTACCTATGTAACAAACCTGCACATCCTGCACATGTACTCCTGAACTTAAAAGTTCAAAAAAAATTACATACCTATGTTCACCCATAAGATTACAAATATTTTAAAGTTTAATCATTTCGATATTGTGTAATGTGGGAAAATGGACATTTTTTTTTCCAGTGGAAGTATGATGTGAGAACATTTGGCAGTATTTACAAAAATTAATAATGTGTATGGGGATCCTCCTTGACCCAGCAATTCCACCTCCAGGTATCACTATCTACCCCCAGGAAAGTCCTTGTACATGAACCAAGGACTCTTGGCACAAAGATGTTCATGGCAGCATTGTTTAGCCAGCAATTGGAAGCAACCTAACTTTTTCTCCAAAGTTCAAAAATGCACAGTCCTGTGGTAGCCATCACCTCCTCCAGGTTGATTTCATGTCCCCAGTCCCCTGTGGTCAACATGAACTTTCAGTGATGACTAAGGGATAGAACTCAATGCACAGACTTGGAAATCTCTCTAAGACTTACCATTTGGTGAAAATAATCAATACACAGAAAGATCCAGAATGAAATAAACTACGTAAGAGCAACAACACACAACATACAATCAAAACTATAGAACAAACCCAAAGCAATATAATGTATTCCTAAAAGTACATAGATACATAAAAGTCTATAGAAAAAGGACAGGAAGGGAACCCTCCAAATGATAGTAGTTACCTCTGGCATAGGGTGTGAGACTGGGGGAGGTGGTTAAGAAGATATTGAGCTTTATATCAACTGAAAATAATTTTTACAAATGAACGTAATCTTGTGCTATTTATGAAATTAAAAGTGAATTTACTGACAGAATTGGAGGAAGGATATGTGGAGGTGTGTTATTTTCTGTCAACTTGTGTATTTGTCCACATTCTCTATGAGAAAAATTTAAAATTAAAAAAATACAATTGATATTATAAAAGTCATTATCTCACTGAGATATGGCTCCTTCTGAGAGGTTCATTTGATGTGCCCAGCTCTTCCCTAAGGTGAACTTGGCTGACTTTGGCCCTCTGTATCATGGACAGAGACTGGTGGTCTCATTCACTGAATAAATAAATGAATAGATGGATAGATGGATGGTTCCAGTGAAGCAAAGCAAGATCTTGTCCCTTGATGACCCATTTCTGGTATTTCTGGAGGCTTCAGGGTGTGCCGTGACCTCTTTGGGCCCAGTAGAAAATGTGGCTCACATTCTTCTTCAGGACTAGAGAGGTGGGTATCTTGGAGTGGTGGGTATTTCTGACAGAGAAAAAAACTTTGCCAACACATAGCAGAAAAAAGGAAACATGTTTCATATGACTTGAACAATAAAAATTACCATTTGTACAGTCTGCAAAATGTTAAGAATATGGAATGTATCCTGCTCCCAACCCCATCTGCAACATGAGATTCCTGGATAGCAGCCCAAGCTGTTCCTTCATCAGGGCTCTGGGCTAAGTCCTGGCATGCAGAAGTGTTTTCAGGGATGGTTACTAGACGACTCAACAGGCTGAGCGAAGGGACTTGATGTGAAGAGTCCCGGAGAGGATCCATGTGTGTAAAATCCACCCTGGGGCAGGACTAGGATCCCATCCACATTCTCTTCCCATAGATAACTCCAGGGCAGCTATATTAACTGATAAGGTTGAACGTGATAATTAAAAATGTATTTGCCGTTCCTGCCTGATGGTATCAGTGAGAATCACCTTTCTCAACATCCAGTGTTTGAAAATGAAAATGGCAGGCCGGGCGCGGTGGCTAACGCCTGTAATCCCAGCACTTTGGGAGGCCGAGACGGGTGGATCACGAGGTCAGGAGATCAAGACCATCCTGGCTAACACGGTGAAATCCCGTCTCTACTAAAAATACAAAAAAAATTAGCCGGGCGTGGTGGCGGGCGCCTGTAGTCCCAGCTACACGGGAGGCTGAGGCAGGAGAATGGCGTGAACCCGGGAGGCGGAGCTTGCAGTGAGCCGAGATCACGCCACTGCACTCCAGCCTGGGCGACAGAGGGAGACTCCGTCGCAAAAAAGAAAGAAAGAAAAAAATAAAGAAAAGAAAATGAAAATGGGAGGAAGACGGGAAGGGTGTGTGTAGTTGTCTATGTGTGTCAGGGTGGTGATGGAGGCATGAGGTTGGAGAAGAGAGAAGTAGGGGACAGATGCAGAAAGAGGAATACAGGGCGCTGAAGGCACATTTTGGGTGCAAGCAGAAGGCACACATGTTCAATTATAAATCAGTCAGTTGTAGGGGCTACAAGAGAGACAGAGGTTCTTGCTGAGTATTCAGTCTTGGAGTCTCTGAAGTATCAGTTTGTAGGGAGATGCAAATGTCCTCAGAACACCCCTCCAGTATCTACAGAAATCTCTTTGTCTTCAGCCCCTTTGTGATTGTCGCATGTTCTAAACGTTTCAACACACCTGAGTAAGACAATTCAAATCAATTGCAAACTGAAATCACCAGTCTTGCCAAAGATGCAGGGTTTCATGAAGCAGATGAAAGCGATATTGCAGGACTACTTGGAATAGTTCACAAAGCCAGTGTTCAAAGAAGACCTGGCCATGGTAGAGTGTTGGCAAATGAAAAAGAGAAAAATCATCAGGGATAATGACACAGTAACTGCATGAGAAGAGGATGGGTTGAACGTCAAGGTATTGAGAGTTTCTTGAGAAAATGAATGAAACTCTTTGATAGGTTCACGAAATGATCTTTCTAAGTAATCCCGCTACCAAAGCCAAACATCAAACTGTCATATTGATTTATCACATAATTTTATAGGAATTATAAACAAAGGCCAGTTATTATTCCTTGTTAGTTCCAAAATTAGCACATAGTTGTGGTGGTAACTTAAATATGCTTAAAAATCAGATAAATGTATTTTGAAGTAATTTTCTATTCATTTATCAAGTTGAAATCTTAAGTCAAACCCTTTTTCGCTATTAACATGATATTTTGTTCATAACTTGTTTATTTTTTTATTTATTTTTGAGATGCAGTCTTGCTCTGTCATCCAGGCTGGAGTGTAGTGGCATGATCTTGGCTCATTGCAACCTCTGCCTCCTGGGTTCAAGTGATCCTCTCGCCTCAGCCTCCCAAGTAGCTGGGATTGCAAGAATGCACCACCACACCTGGCTAATTATTATTATTATTATTATTTTTTTTTAATAGAGATGGGGCTTCACCATGTTGGCCAGGCTGGTCTTAAACTCCTGACCTTAAGTGATTCACCTGCCTTGGCCTCCCAGTGTTAGGATTACAGGCGTGAGCCACCATGCTTGGCCTCTAATCATTTTGTTCATAATTTTAAAAAATAACCTGGAATTTTACCTAGTTTTAGCTTTGTGATTTTAAATGGAGGCACAGGTAGCACATTTCTGCTGTTTCAGTGCCTAACCCCATCCATGGAGGAAGAATCAAGGAAGGTATCTTGGGGAACTGATATTTGAACAAGCCTGGACACAGGAGGAGAAGTTTGCCCATCAATGGACAAGACGAGGGAGAGGCAGGACTGACAGAGGGTGTAGCATGGGACTGCACAGGAGCCTGAACGAGCGAGGTGCATCTGGGGGGCAGTCATGAGCCTGGCATTGCGGCATTATTGAGTACAAATGACAAATGGCAGAGCAAGTTGTAGAAATCGACTGGAGACAGATCACAGAAGCCCCTGGGGGCCATTGTGAGAGGTTCAGACTTCCTCGTGGGGAGAGTTTACAGCAGAGAAATGACAAGATCAGGGTCAGCTTTTAGAACCATCCCTCCAGGAGGCGCGGGGAAGCCTGGTGTGATAGTCTGGAGCTCCCCAGTGGTGAGGCGGCAACACTGTGCGACACTCACCCTGCTCAGTCCAGCAGTAACTCACCTAAACCTCACTGCAACCCTAGGAGGAACAGAGAGAGGTTAAGGAACTTGCCCAAGGTCACACAGCTAGCCAGTTACAGAGCTGGGCTTCAGACTCAGGCTCGAGTCCTCGACCAGCACATCATGTGGCCCTTGTTTTGCCCTATCTGCATGCTACAAGCTGCCTGTCTTAACTTTTCAAAATGTAAATGAACTTACTTCTTTTTTTTTTTTTTTTTTTTCCTGAGGTGGAATCTCACTCTGTCACCCAGGCTGGAGTGCAGTGGCACGATGTTGGGTCACTGCAACCTCTACCCCCTGGGTTCAAGCAATTCTCCTGCCTCAGCCCCCCTAGTAGCTGGGACTACAAGCCAGCTAATTTTTGTATTTTTAGTAGAGATGGGGTTTTGCCATGTTGGCCAGGCTGGTCTCAAACTCCTGACCTCAGGGGATCTGCCCGCCTCGGCCTCCATGCCCGGCGCAATGAACTTACTTCTTTATTTAGATATGTTTACTTGAAAAGATAGCTTTATATTACTACTATAAAATGAAAAAGCAACTTATTTTCTTCCTTTTTTTTTTTTTTTGAGACAGAGTCTCACTCTGTCACCCAGGCTGGAGTGCATTGGCACAATCTCAGCCCACTGCAGCCTCGACCTCCTGGGCTCAAGCAATCCTTTCACCTCAGCCTCCTGAGTAACTGGGACCACAGGCATGCACCATGACATTGAACTAATTAAAAACATTTTTTTTTTTGTAGTGATAAGACCTCCCTACATTGCCCAGGCTGGTCTCAAACTCCTGTGCTCAAATGATCTATCTATCTCAACCTCCCAAAGTGCTGAGATTACAGGCATGAGCCACGATGCACCACCCCAATTTATTTTCTATTATCCATTAAAATAAACATCTAAGTATAATATTAAAATAAAACATTTGCCCATGCTGGAGACTGAGAGAGGTGAAGGTGGGAACTAAGGTGGTGGTAGCTGCCAGATAAGAGGGGACACTCTGGATACCCATTTAGGGGGGTTTGGCAAGAGGGCGATGTAGTTGCTGGCTGGCATGTGGCAATGGCCTCCTCAGAATGTCTTGAGGCCTGCATGATTAGTGACACAGTTCACACACCTGGGTGCAGGCTGTGGGCATCACAAGGGGGCCCACTGTGCACATTCAAGTTAAAATTCTAAATAAAGTGCTTTGAGAGTTAGGTTACACCTGAGCTAGTGGGGCAGGGTGGGGCAGAGGACTTGGTCACTGACTTCCTGGACATGATAGAAAGGGCTATGGCTCAGGAAGCATGCAATTAACATCATGGGGACGTGGAAATTCCCAGCGAGTACAGCAGAAGAGCAGAGAGAAGACTGGGAGGGGGCTGTCTACTGGGCCCCTGTGCACAATCCCAACTCAGCCTGAAGCTGGAGCCCTGAGATCATAAGGAAGGTGACATCAGGGCTATATCCGCGGTGGCGCTGGACAGGAGGGTGGAGCACTTGTTACTTGACTGCTTTTCAGCACTGAACCAAGGAAACAGGATCTGTGGCATTGGCTCTGCCAACTCTGCTCCCACGGCACCGGCCTTTTTCCATTTCCCCTTAGCCTATCCTGGCTCCAGGTTAAGCAAGGCCCCTCTCCCCTCCTGTTGTCTTTTGTTTCCGTGGCGGAAAATTTGAAAGCCCAGCGTATTGCATTTCTTTTCAGCACACCGATAAGGCAGAGGAAACATCTGCGACTGGGGACAAAATGTGTGAAAAATGGGGGTGGGGTGGGGGGGCAGAAGTTTTCTGTCTTAAAAAACGTTTTATCTCCTCGCTGGACACCTCCTTTATTAAAATGAAATTGATAGGTTGAAATGTTCACGTGAACACAGAGGAGACAGAAGGTTTAAATCCAAGAGGAGGGAATTCAAAATGAATAAAAAGGAAATCCTGGAAACGCACACTTCCAGGACTCAATGCAGACACATTCGTCTCGGTTTCCTACGCTTCTCTTGGCCATCAGCTCAGAGAAGTCTACCACCTGTGATACACGCCTCAGATTTATGATCGGTTTCCAGGGACCAGCCGAACAGCCTCGCTGCCTGCCTCTTCATAAATCAGGCACTGAAAGCAGTTCAGATGCGAATTTGACAGAAGAGGCCCACGTCTCAGAGAAAGCAAGCTCTTGAGCCCCCAAGTCTGGCCATTTGCCCTTTTGCCTAATCCCAAAGAGGGAGAAGACCTGGTGGAGGATACGATGTGGTGTTTTCTGGAATTAGACCAGGAGTCAGAGACAGCTGCATTTTGCGGCATCTTTCCACCTTGCCCACCATTCCCTGTTTGCTGCCGTTCAGGTCCTGGGTGCTGCGAGTGAATCCAAAGGACCACGCTGGGCAAAACGGCTCATGCCTGTAATCCCAGCACTTTGGGAGGTCAGGGTTGGAGGATCACTTGAGCCCGGGAGTTTGAGAGAAGCCTGGGCAACATAGTGAGACCCTGTCTATTAAAAAATTTATAAAATTAGCCAAGCATAATGATGCACAACTGTAGTCCCAGCTACTTGGGAGGTGGAGGTAGGAGGATCTCTGGAGCCCAGGAGTTTGAGGCTGTGGATTGCACTACTGCACTCCAGTGTGGGTGACAAAACAAGACCCTGTCTCAAAAAAGAAAAAAAAAAAAAAGCAAAAGACCAGTAACCAAATGGTGCCAGGGTATTAGATGGGCAGGAGCTGCCAGCATGGTGCCAGGCTGTTAGATGGGTAGGAGCTGCCAGCTTCAAGAGGGGAAAAGCCTTGCTTCAAAATAGCCACAGTACACTCTGTAAGTGGGCCATTTATTGTTTGATGTGTTAGAAGTTTCGTCAAACCTCTGGGCATATTTATACAATTAGAGCAGCCAGCAAAAGAAAATAGCACAGTGACAAATTGGGCTCGTGGACTCTGATTAACTTGTTAAGCTAAATAAATTGCATAGGAAATGTGCCCCGTTTGAATTTATGAAATTGCTTCTCATCTAGATAGATGACTGCTGGGCCAGTCTGGGGCAGGCAGCTGGTACACACTCCGGTCGGAATTAGGTGCAAGTCCAGAAGGAGAGGGGAAACCATCCCCCTACTGCAAACAACATGACAAATGCCCTTTACAGTAGCAAGGCAGGGCTGCTGTTTTGTCCAAAGCGTGTAGTGTTGATTTGCTGCAATATTGTCAACTCCTGTTAGGGCAGAACCCAGGCAGCAAGCTGACGCCTGTCACCCAGTATTTGCTAGTTCTTGGTTTTTAAGAACAAGACAAGTAGCAGAAGTATAAGAGGACATCAGGGTTTTAGTTAAAAACCCTACAGGATCCAGCATGCATCTTGTACATCGTCAGCCATTGAGGATCTAGGAGGGTGGCCCCTGTGCCTTGCAGTGTTGAATTCTGTCCAATCCTAACAAATAGAAGCAATCATTTGTCAAGTACTTACTCTGTGCTGAGACAGAGGCTGAAGGCTTTTAAGTCAATTATCTGATTAAGTCCTCACAATGGCCCTAATATTATTCCCATTTTCCAGATGAGAACAGAGAGGGGATCATGGAAGTGTGCAGGGGAGCCAGAAAGAGGCAGCACCAGGATTTGAACCCAGGTGAGCCCGGTTCCAGGTTCTGCAATGTTAACCTCACGTGGTGCTGCCTGCATCAGGGACTCCCAGGGGATCCCTGAGCCTTGTTGGGTCTGAAACATCATTCTGACTCACCAAAGAGGTTGATTCTATTCCCTCCAGCTTGCATGTTATTTTATGATAGTGCATTATTTGAAAATTGATATGTACAGGGATTGATTGCCCCTTCATCTGGCCCAACCCAGAAAACTGGATTAATCCATTCATCTTATGCCTTGACCATTCCAATGCTTAAGGGGAGATGGTATTTACAGCATGTCAACACCACCAGTAATAGCGACGGCTACACCTGCAGCACTCATGCTATTTATGTGGCCCCGTTTGAAGTATTTGCCTGTATCAACTCATTTAATCTTATCATCGATCCTAGGAGATAGGAACTTCTTTTCAAAAAGCCCATTTTTCAGATGAGGAAACAAAAGCACTGGAGGTTAAATAAATTCTGAAGGTCACACCATGGCATGGGGACCCACATAGCCAGAGACTGGAGTCCACGTCCTGACAACTGTGGATGTGAGTGAGGCCATGGAAGTCCTGTGTTCCCCCCAACAGGAACTGTCCTGTGTGTGAGCCACCGCGCCTGGCCTGAGGTCATCATTTTCCTTGGTGATCTAGGACTTTAGCAGGTTGTTCATTCACTAACTCATCCACTCATTCAGCCCGTGTGGAGCAGGCACTCTGCAATGCACCGGGACACGGCAATGAATAGAACAGATGCAGCCTCTCAGGAGCAAATGATCCAGGCGACAAGGAGGCAGTTACAGCAGCACGTCAACAAGGGCAAAATGTGTTCATCTTCCGTGAGAACTGGCGAGGAGAGCAACCCAGTGCTTTGGGAGCCTGTAGGGCAAAAATCCCTGGTCAGCAAAGTCAGAAAAGGCTTCCCCAGGAAGGAGACACTGGGGCTGAGACCTGAAGCATGAGAAGAGCTCACCAGACAAGGGAGCGACAGGAAGAGAACATTCCCAGCAAAGGGAACCGCAAGTGCAAAGGATCCGTGGCAGAAGAGAGCATCGCAGACATGAGGGACTGAAGAGGCGTGAAGACTTGAGGGGTGGCTGGAGGACAGAGTTAGGGGTGGGTCTGGAGAGGTCCGCTTTGACCACACTAGGCTGGGCCATGTTGACAATGCCAGCACCATGTAAAGTGATGGACTTTATCCCAAAAGCAATGGGAAACCATTACATGATTTTAAGCATGTGGGGGTGGGGCGGTGACCTACCCATTTGTGTTTGGCAAAGATCACAGCGGCCTAACCTCCTTTTTTCAGGGCAGAATTTCAAGTAAGGGCTGGATGTTTCCAACACAGAAACTCAAGAGGCTAAGACTCTGGGTGTTACAATCTGGCACGGAGCCTAGGAGAAGACCCAAGGGCAAAAGGAGTGAATGAGCCAAGCAATGTGGGGAAAACCTCGACTTTTAGGCACAAAAGCTAACATGGGGGAATGTTTAGTGTGTGGTCACCAGCATCACACTCCGTTGTCTTTGGACCAGGTTTTGCTCTCCTGCAATAACAGAAGTTTATCCTCATGACCCCAGGGCTAGCCAGAAAAGATAAAATTATAGTAAGCATTATTTGTTTTAGAAAATACAATACTGGGCCGGGCGCGGTGGCTCATGCCTGTAATCCCAGCACTTTGGGAGGCTGAGGTGGGTGAATCATGAGGTCAGGAGACCGAGACCATCCTGGCCAACATGGTAAAATGCCGTCTCTAGTAAAAATACAAAAATTAGCTTGGCGTGGTGGCGCGCACCTGTAGTCTCAGCTACTCGGGAGGCTGAAGCAGGAGAATGGCTTGAACCCGGGAGGTGGAGGCTGCAGTGAGCTGAGATCATGCCACTGCACTAAAGTCTGGGGGCAGAGCAAGACTCCATCTCAAAAAACAAAAAAAAAGAAAAGAAAATACAATACTGAACAACAGAGTACATTGCAGGTGTATTGCCAGACAAAATGGTTAAGATAAAAAAGAAATTGGTGCAAAGAAGGAATACATCCCATAGCCTCTAATCACATGGCCCCTGAGCCTGCCAGATAGCCAAGTCTGACTGTATGACAAACATCTTAATAACTGATGAGATTTTCAGCTGGCTAAAGAAAGTGAGATGCCCCCGTGACACTGGCTGAAAACTGTGGCAGTGGCTTTGGAATTGAAGAATGGATAGAAACAGGAAGAATTTTAAGGCGCATGAGGGAAAAAACGCTAGATTGTCTCAATCAGGCTGTTGGCAGAAGTAATAGACATTCAAGGTACTTCTGAGAGGGCTCAGAAGAAGACACACACACAGAGATGAGGAGGTGAAGATGGAGGCAGAAACGGGAGCGATGCCGTCACAAGCCAAGGAACGCTGGCAGCCACCAGAGCTGGAGGAGCAAGAGAGGGAAAGCCTCCCCTGGAGTGTGGCCCTGCAGACACCATAATTTCAGTCTGGGGATACTAATTTTGGACTTCTGGTTTACCAAATTGTAAGAGAAGAAATTTCTGTCATTTCTAAGCCACAAAGTTTCTGGTAGTTTCCAGTAGCCTCAGGAAACAAATCCATTCTGAGCATCATTTCCTTCCTATGCCACAAACACCCACAATCTCGCGTGGCTGATGTGTTCTCTTTTTAAAAAACATTATTTATTTATTTATATTTACTTTTTTGTTATTTTTTTAGAGACAGGGTCTCACTCTGTTGTCCAGGCTGGAGTGCAGTGGTACAATTATAGCTCACTGCAGCCTCTAACTCCTGGACTCAAGTGATCCTCCTGCCTCAGCCTCTTGAGTAGCTGGGACTACTGGCATGAGCCGCCATGCCTGGCTAATTTTTACTATTTTTTGTAGATACAGGGTCTCTCTATGTTGCCCAGGCTGGCCTCGAACTTCTGGCCTCAAGCGAGATTCCCACCTCTGCCTCCCAAAGTGCTAGGATTATAGGCAAGAGCCATGGAGCCTGGCTGGCTGATGCAGTCTCATACTCCAGGGCTCAGACTAAATGACACCTCCTCAGAGTGGCCTCACAGACTTCCCTAACCAGAGCAGGTTAACTCCTGTCAACCTCGATTGCAGTATTGAGTTAAACCTAAATTCTTTCTTTAGTTTGTGTACTTGTATTTTGTCTGCCTTCCCCCACTAGAGTAGGAGCTGCAGGTGGTCAGGGACTGTGGTATTCTGCTCCCTGCTGCGCCCCCAGCACCTAGCAAGCAGACTGGAGGACAGCGAACACTCCATGAATGTTTGTTGATTGAATAACTGGCCTTTCACAATATTCTGAAGGTCATTTGAGAGTTTGACCAGTATTAATAAGACCAAGTCCTCTAGCTTGCCTTGATCAACAGGTGTTGATGGCTATTTAAATTCTTATTTTGGATCTTTAGTGTGCCCTAGTCAGTGAGGCTGTTTAATATTCAGTCACTCATTCACTCATTCAATAAATATTTATTTATTTGGGGCTTATGATGTGTGCGGCAGTCTGCTGATGATTCCTAATTGGGCTATTTTTTCCCCTGTTGAATTTCAATTGAGTAAGAATAAAGCAATTGCAGCATTTTTCAAGGCAAAACAAGCCATATAACAACCACAGACCACAAGCAACAAAACAATCTTTCATGAGGCTAATTAGTCCTAAGCCTTAAAAAAATAATAATTGCCAAATTCTGGAGTGGTCTTTGAAGGCTTTTTGAGCTGAATAGTAATCAGGAAACTACAGCTTCACGAAGCAAGCTCTCAGACAAAAACAAGCCACTCTAGAGTTGTGTACTTTTCGTGCCTCTGATTTAGTTGAATTTCCTTCTGATAAGGAAATTTTAAGGACATTGATGGGCAAGGCAAGCACATTTATTGCACACATGAATTCTTTCAACAGACTTCATGATACACAGCCAGTCTCATAATCAGAAGTATTTCTCTCTGTTTAAAACCCAGAAGGGTAGCTGACATCTTTTATCAAAAAGACAGACAATTCTTATCCCCTGACAATTCCAGATTATGGATCTCAGGAGGCTCTCCTTACACTGGTATTTTATCACTGGAATCAGAGAGACTGCTGTTTATTTTCTAAACCTCTGCATAGTTTTCAAGGTGTTGCCAGCAGGGCCTGGGCTGACAGTGACACGTGTTATTGTCACATTGCTAGATCTGAAAGAAAACAGAAGATAAATAAATATCAGTGTTTTCTTGGATCTCTTTTTTTTGCTATTGTGGGCACCGGAGGCACTGGTATTTGTTAATTCACATATCTGCTCTGTTTGATGAGGCCATTTTCCCTTTCATCTAATGGGGCACGGGGGGAGGGGGAGCACAGGCTGACCGACTGGTATGGACTAGGACAGCCAGTTCATCCAATTCCTAGTCTGTGTGAGGGACGGAGTGTGGAACTCTGGATAAAAAGTTCTATGGAGGATGCAGATTCTGGCTGCAGAATCTTGTTCACCAATTACTGGGGCCAGAAACCTAAGACCCATCTTGACTCCCTCATTCCTTCACACTCTGTATCTAATCCTTCAGCATGTCTGTCACCTCTACCTTCAAAATATGTCCTGTACAGGCCCTCGTCTCACCATCTGTACTGTCTCCAGCCAAGTCTAAGCCTCAAACATCTCTTGCTATCAAATCTACGTTGGATTCCTGCAACGGCCTCCAAATTGGGTTCATCTCCAAATGTGGTTTGTCTTCTGCACAGCAGACAGAGTGATCTTTCTGAAACTCAAATCCAATCACATCCCTCCCTGGCTTTAAGAAAAAGATTTCTGTTCCAACCAGAATAAAATACAAACTACTTAGAGAACTTTCCAGGCCCTGCATGATCAGGCCTTCCCTTAACCTCTCACCTCTGGCCTATTCTGCTCCTCAAACCTATGAACTCAGGGCCTTTGTACATGCTGTTCCTTCAGCTTGGAAAACTCAACTCACTCCACCCTTCTCCCTGTGATCCCTGTCTTTTCAAGGCCGCTTTTGATTCTTCATTATTGTTTAGGTCTCAGCTTCAGAATCTTCAGGGAGACCCTTGCTGATATAACCACATATACAACATTTCTTTGTATCAAATTATTCTTGTTGATCATTCTTCTAGCTCTTACTAGGAAGTGAAATTAGCTGATCTATTGTTTGCATGCCTGTTTTTCTGTCTCCCTCTGAGTACAAACTTCATGAAGGGAAGGAGCAGGCCTGTCTTTCCTTTTCTACCTCTGGGGATGCAGAGCCTAAGACAGTGTCAGGCCTACAGTAGCTATTTGACAATGGCCATTTGTTGACAGAATGACTCAAAACCTCCTTTGTCCACGGAGCACCTTCTGTACTAGCAGTTTACACTATCATTATAACAACAACGATTACACTTGACATTTGTTCTGCTCCTAGGTGTTTGCCCAAGAGAGGTGAAAGCATATGTCGACACAAAGACACATGCAGATATTCACAGCAATATTATTTATAAATAATAAATTTATTGTTTTAAATTCCCCAAACTGGAAACCCCTTAAATATCCATCAACAGGTGGACAGATAAAGAAATTATGGCATACCCACACGATGGAGAACTACCCAATAATAGAAAAGAACAAAATATGAAGGCCCACCATGACATGGATGAATTTCAAAAGTATATGATAACTTTTGGAGGCTGAGGCGGGCGGATCATGAGGTCAAGAGTTCAAGACCAGCCTGACCAACATGGCGAAACCCTATCTCTACTAAAAATACAAAAATTAGCTGGGTGTGGTGTGCATGCCTGTAATCCCAGTTACTCAGGAGGCTGAGGCAGGAGAATCACTTGAACCTGGGAGGCGGAGGTTGCAGTGAGCCAAGATTGTGCCATTAAGCTCCAGACTGAGCAACAGAGCGAGATTCTGTCTCAAAAAAAAAAAAAAAGTATATGTTAACTGAGAGAAATTAGAAAAAAAAGACTGCACACTCTATGATTCCACTTTTATGATCTTCTTAGAATAGGCAAAATGTAGCGACAATAGTTTGCTGGACCCTGGGATGAGGAGAGAGGAGTGAGATAAAAGAGCCAAGAAGCACTTTTTGGGGATGATGTAAAAGGCCTCTCTCAATGGCAGAGATGGTTACATGGGTATATAGGTTTGTCAAAACTCATGGAATTGTGCACTTAACATGGGTACATTTTATTGTATGTAAAGCATACCCCAATTAAGTTAATTGAAATAAGAATTTAAAGGAAATATAGGTAAATGATAAGGTAGGTATTGAATGAAGGGGCAAAACTCATAAAGGCAGTAAAGGAATGGCCAAGGTTTGGGAAGCCCTGGACTGGAGTTCCACCATCCCGACTGAGCAGGGGGTCTGTCTTTATTCTCCTGTTCTCTTAACTGTCATCAAAACATTCCTTAGCAATCTTTGTCAATCTTTTTTTTTTTTTTTTTGAGACGGAGTCTCGCTCTGTCGCCCAGGCTGGAGTGCAGTGGCGGGATCTCGGCTCACTGCAAGCTCCGCCTCCCGGGTTCACGCTATTCTCCTGCCTCAGCCTCCCAAGTAGCTGGGACTACAGGCGCCCGCCACTACGCCCGGCTAATTTTTTGTATTTTTAGTAGAGACGGGGTTTCACCGTTTTAGCCGGGATGGTCTCGATCTCCTGACCTCGTGATCCGCCCGCCTCGGCCTCCCAAAGTGCTGGGATTACAGGCGTGAGCCACCGCGCCCGGCCAATCTTTGTCAATCTTAATGCAATTGTGACTTTAACTCTGTCAACCTTTTCTTTGATGGATTCTGTATTTTATGTTTTGCTTAAGACAACAAAAAGCCCTTTCCCACCCTAAGATTATGACAAAGTAGGATCTCATATTATTCTCTGATGATCATATAATTTTTAAAAATATGACTTTGAGAAATTATTTTTTAAATTGTTGTAAAATACATATAATGCGAAATTTGCCATCTTTACCATTTTTAAGATGGTGAAACCCCGTCTCTACTAAAAATACAAAAATTAGCCTGGTGTGGTGGTGGGCACCTGTAATCCCAGCTACTTGGGAGGCTGAGGCAGAGAATTGCTTGAACCCGGTAGACGGAGGTTGCAGTGAGCCATCATCACGCCACTGTACTCCAGCCTGGGCGACAGAGTGAGACTCAGTCTTAAAAAAAAAATGTATAGTTTAATGGCATTAAGGACATTCACATTGTTCTGCAACCATCACCACCGTCCATCTCTGGAACACTTTTTCAAAAAACATCTTTTTGACATTGTGATGATGTTTTGATGCATATATACAATGTGTAACAATTGAATCCAGAACACTTTTCCTCTTATAAAACTGAAACTCTGTATTCATTAAACAATAACTCCCTGTCCCCATTTCCCCCAGGCCCTGGCAGACATCATGCCACTTTCTGTCTTCATGAATTTGACTACTCTAGGTAACTCATGTAAGTGGAATTTATTTAGTATTTGTCCTTTAGTAACTGACTGCTTTCACTAAATACAACAGTCATATAATTTAAAAAACCATTAGATATTGAATCCACCTGGAATTTATTTGTGTGTGTATGTGTGTGTGTGTGTGTGTGTGTGTATAGTGTAGGTAATAATTTAATTTTAGCCCTCCTGACAAATGATTAACCAGTTTCCCCTGTATTGTTTATTAAAGAGACAGTGTTTGTCACAATCCTTTAATATCCACCGGTATCATACTCAGTGTTCCACAGGTAAATGCCTCATGTTTGGGAGCCTCTTTTTTGTTCCCTTGATCTGTTTCATTCATTCCTATGCCAGTTCCACAGTGTTGACCACTTTAGCTAAGATCTCACCTACCTTAAGCAAGGGGCTCTGCTCTGGCTTAGCGCTTGTCAGCATTTTTGTTTGTTTGTTTGTTTGTTTTGAGATGAAGTCTCCCTCTGTTGCCCAGGCTGGAGTACAGTGGTGCGATCTCGGCTCACTGCAACCTGCATCTCCCAGGTTCAGATGATTCTTGTGTCTCAGCCTCCTGAGTAGCTGGAATTACAGGCGCCCTCCACCATGCCCAGCTATTTTTTTTTTTTTTTGGTGTTTTTAGTAAAGACAGTTTTTCGCCATGTCGGCCAGGCTGGTCTCGCACTCCTGACCTCAAGTAATCCGCCCGTCTTGGCCTCCCAAAGTGCTGGGATTACATGCTTGAGCCACTGTGCCTGGCTCTTGTCAGTTTTTCAACTGTTTACAAGGATACAGGATGCTCCCCAGGCTCCCTAAAACTCTCCCATCTCTCCTTTTCTCAAGGGAGTTTAGCATTCAGGGGTCTCAGTCTGAGTGGGTGAAGAAGGCCCGGGCCATGTTTGTCAGATTGCACAGAACCCAAGAGTGCTGGGCACCCCTGCCTGCTGCAGGGCTGGGGTACCAAGAGGCTATTTTGCTGTCCTTGCCTCAGAAAGATGTGTTGGGGGTTAAGGTGCCCTGGGATGGTCTGAATTTCTCTGCCGGCTGTGGAACTTTGCCATAACCCAGTTGACTGAGAGGCAGAATTCAAGATAAGGCAAGTTAATCTTGGTTCCCCTCCAAGGACATTTGGTACTGACATGCAAAACAGGATCCCTTCAAAGTTCATTGCAGCAGGAGACCCTGGAGGCAGTCATAGAGTGTCCCCTGTATTTCTACAAAGGGTATGTGGAGTGCTGCTGGGGCTACCTGTTGCAGGCTGTGACCTGGCATTGACAGAAGACAGAATAGGCCCATCGGGGCAGGGCTGGCCTGCAGCTTTGTGGGCCCACAGAGTCTGCAAGGCTGTGCTAGGCACACCGGATCTGGACATTTCAAACTCCTTTCTCAGGGCCAGAGGTGTGGGCAGAGAGTGGGAAGAGGTGATGTTTCCACGAACCTCTTGCCATTCAACTTCTGATGAGTCAGATCATGTTCATCAGTCAGCTCCCTCTAGGTTTCTGATAGGCAGGAGAGATAGGATGGGCCAAGATGGAGCTGAGATAACATGGGGAGCTTGCTGGAGAATCATGGACATCCCGTTCCCCCACCCTGCAAGCCTCCAGTGTCAGGGAGGCCAGCTGGAGAGTCTGGCTGTCTTTGGTAAAGGCCCTTGGGCACAAGGTATCACATGGGGACATACAGCTCAAGGAGAATCATGCTGGGATTGTGGGTATAGCAGGCAGGGAGACAGACTGACTAAACCAGTTATGTGATGGTTCAGTGTTTCCCAGATTACAGTCAGTTCTATACTACCTGTCCAGGCCTCCCATATCCTCCAGCTTTTGCACTGGCCTTCACATTTTATTTTGTTTTATTTTATTTTTTTGAGACAGAGTCCGGCTCTGCCGCCCAGGCTGGAGTGCGGTGGTGCGATCCCGGCTCACCACACGATCCCGGCTCACCACAACCTCAGCATCCGGGGCTCAAGCAATTCTCCCACCTCAGCCTCCTAAGTAGCTGGGACCGCAGGCATGCACTGCCACACCCAGCTACATTTCTTGTAGAGATGGAGTCTTGCTATGTTGCCCAGGCTGGTCTCGAACTCCTGGGTTCAAGCAATCATGGGATTACAGGCATGAGCCACTGCGCCAGCCTACATTTTATACACACACACACACACACACACACACACACACACACGCACACGAACACACATGCTCATACAATATACATATACATATATATTTGAACTTTTTCAACATAAATTTAGCATTTTTAAAAGCAATAATATCTGTAATAATCACACGTATCACTCAGAGAACACTTATGATATGCCAGGCACTGCTGTAGGTAATCAAATATATTACTCTGGTCAATATCGTCTCCCTTGAGGTGGTTCTATTTTGTGTTATTTCCTCCCATTTAACATATAGGGAAACTGAGGCACAGAGAGGTTACAAGTTACCTGCTCAGTCTCACTGATTCAAACCCATGCTGTGTCTGGTACCGGACCCTGAAACAGACTGCCTCTCAAGGAATGAGTCAGATATGGGTTAGGTTGAATTTTTTTTTTCCTAAGTCATATTAATAAATCACAATAATATATATATATATCAAAGTTTTTTAAAGCTCATCTGTGTACCGTCTGGTTCTTTCTGCACACTGCCCATTTTGGGCACCCACTTAGGCATTGCTGAGCCCAGGAGGTATAATGTATGTGCCCAGTCCAATTCTGGAGCCGTGACCACTTCCTTCCCCCAAATGGTGGGACCAGCAAGGCCACCATCCTCCTGACCCACGTGACTTAGCTCCATTAGCTCTCTATATAATTTATACCTGGCTGCCACCTCCAGCCACTGTGGGGATTTGGTGTGCATGTGTTGGACAGGAGAGTGGGAGGAGAGAAAAGCCATGCAGATTCCTGCAGATCCCAGTGATTCATGCCTCACTGTCATCTAGCACCTTGCCTTACTCACTCCTGAAAGGTGCTCCGTGAAGTCGGCAAGGAGCAAGTTCAAGGTCCAGCTCTGGAGCCGCCCCCCATGGCCAGGAGGGCATGACCTTCAGCACCAGCCTGTTTTGTGGTTTTCATGAGCAGTTGCAGCATTGTTTGTTGGGTCATGATCACCTCGGGTCATCTTATGGGAGAGCTGGGCAGCTCTTTGGGAAACCCTGGGGCACATTCCAATTTCCTTAGCTTCAGCCCATGCTAGAGTGAGATTTGAGAAATTATCTTGTCCTCTTTTGAAAGCAGCAGGTCACGTGGAGAAGGAATGGGCTTTTCCTCCAAGCCCTCACCTGTGGCCTGCCGCCTGTCCATCAGGCTGAGCATCTGGGCCTGAGATTTTAAAGGCCTGGACTCGTGAGCTCTCCTTTAAAGAATGACTTAGTCCTGTCCTCTGCTCTCAGCTGTGGATAATTACAGCCTTCTGTGCAGGTGGCTCTGGGTCAAATCCTGCTGCTTCTAATGAGCTGGTGGCAGGGCAAGTCATTTAGCCTCAATACAGGCTGGTTTCCTCATCTGTAAAATGGGCATGACATTGCCTATTCTGCAGTGTTGCAGGGAGAGTGGGATGAGTTAATTCATGGAGTCCTCAGCCCCTAAAAGCTGCCCAAGAACTGTTGGCTAATGCTACACCAGTGTGGTGCCTGTTGTTGGCTTGCTTGTTTGTTTCCACCCCTACATTCATTGTGTACCTCCTCTGAGCCAGGCTCTGTGTTACATGAAATTCAGTGGCAACTGACAACAATGCAGTTCTAGCCCTCATTGACCAAAATGACTATTTTTCCCTGGTTATATATCACTGATTTTTGCATCTCTTAAAGATGAGTCTTTTCTAAATCTTAGTGGGAAGGTCATGAACTCTTACAAAAGTCAGACAAGTGCACATAGGTACAAGGGACATAAATTTGCAAACAAGTTGTTGTTTTTTGCAAAGCAGTCAGGACCTCCTCTTGGTGCCAGGTTAAGAAACCCTAAAGATGGAATGGAGATAGGAAAGGTGTCTTCAGCAATTTATGCTCATTCTATTTTCCTCTTCCCAGCCTCCATGGGTGCCCAGGGAATGGTGAAATGCTCTCTTTAAAAGCCAAGTTGTTTACACTGACCATATTTACTCTCAACTTCTAATTATTGAGTCAATATCATTTTTCCTTCTCTCCTTCTGCCCCTTGGCTCACAAAGCAAACAGCTTTACGAAACCTACCTGACTGTATTTCTTTATTCTATTTTAAATTTCACCTGCACCAATAATTAAATTACAGAGGCCAGGAGGGTCTAGAAGAGAGCCACTGTCTAGGCTGATGTGTTTGCTTCTTCTGCTAACATTGGAACCTCCCTCTTCTCTTGACATAGCTTTCAGCCCCCCATGTCTTAGGTGAGCTTTCACTATGCCTCTCTCACATTGTAAAAATTTTTTCAAAGTTTTGCTCCCTAGCTATGACCTGAGACATTGCTCCAACCAACGTGGGAGGGTGAGAATTTTCTCCACATCTATAACCACCAGGGAGTTTCTGAACATACTGTGATTACAGGAACCAACCCTCTTATCGGCTCTCCCCATCACTGCCCGGGTGAGGCTTTCAGGCTCTGCCCTGCTACTGGGCACCCTGTACCCAGAAGTGAGCTTCCGAGCACTGAGCTGTACTCAGCAAACTGATTTGTTCAGTCTTATCTCAGATGCCATGGGCAGATGAGAGTGATAATACCTCCTCTGTTTTGCAATGGTGGACATGATTGAGATGGGAGATAAGGCGAGGGAGAGGTGTGGCACAACCTTGAACCAACTCCACGGACAGTAGTGAGGCCATACAAACCCTTTTTCTTGTTGAACAACATGTCCTATCTCCATTAGTCATCTTACCAATCATCCTGTAATTAACCATGCTAATAGCGTTCTCTGCGGTGCTAGCGCTCAGTGCTCTCCTAGGCCCCCTTAGGAACAATGCCCTGCAATTAGCAGCCGATGGGTGACTCAGATCTCCTGGCTGGATGGTGATGGTCCTCAGATACCATCTCAGGGCCTGCCCGATTCTGCAGAATTTCATCTGGGGCTCTTGCCCATCCTGAAGTGAAGGGAACCTTCTGTTCCCCTTCGAGCAATTCCTCCTCCTGCCAAAAAATGTGGGCTCAGCAAACTGGTTTGTATTTGTACATCTCTCTTTCTCTCCACAACAGAGCTTCTCAAAGCCTCAGTCTGTCTCTGGTCAGTTCACCTCTGGGTCCCCAGAGAGCCTGGTGCTGAGCCCAGCCTACTACTGACCTGTGACAAATGTTGAATGAATACATTCTAGAGAACAAACACACCCCAGCACTCCCCCGGGGTGCCAGTTCATTTCACAAGTCTATTTTCTATGCCACCTTCTCCTGTCTCCTTCCTTGGCCTAAGGACAAGTTGCAATCTATAAGCTGAAAGGAAGCTGAGCAGTTTAGTCCTGAGGTGTGAGTACAGCTGTTGCTGTGGGTGGATGAGATAAGGCAATAAAGACTGGTGGCTGTCGTCGCTTCCAGAGAGCTCTGTAGGGCACTGTGCATAGGTGCTCTTAATGAACTAACGTCAGCCATCCACACTGCAGACACATGGGGGCTGCAGTGTTGGTGGAGAGAGAAGTGGGGCAGGGATGAAAGGGGGTGTCATGGGTGAGGAGGTGCCACGAGTTCAGCCCTGTGGTATTTCCAGATACTAGGAGCTAGCTAGGAGGGAGAGGCAGGGAGTAGATATAAAATGACACACATATGTGTTGATGTATATCCATATAGATCTATATAAATTATTTCTTTAATATACATGACCATTTTCTGAGCTGTTATTGGATGTGGTTGGTCCACTGATTGGAGTCGCTGCAGGAAATACATTCCAACTCAGATGGCCCAAAGGTCTTTAAGGAAGGGCCTGCTTTGGGGGATATTAAGGGCATGACCAGGGGATGACAAGAACCCCAGAAACTAGTAGGGTGTTGTGACTACCTCTAGATCTGAAGGGGCACAGGAGGAAGTGGGACACCAGGGCTCTATGAGGGTGGAGACCATGGAGCAGCACTGGCCACCTGGAGCTGGAGCCTTGGAGGGATATGGCCACTGCTTGAAAACACCGCCTGAAGCAAGAAGAGAGCAACAGCTTGTCCCGTCCTCTTCCTGATTTTTTGTCGGGGCATCCCATTGGCCAACTGGGAAGAGCCCATGGAGGTCTGAGTGTGCCATCCACGGGACCAGCTTCATAGGACACAGAGTCGGGCAAAGCCGGGAAGAGAATGGATGTGGGGTACATGGCTAGTGGGGAGAGCAGCACAGTTGGGGGACAATGACATCATCGCCTGGCCCTGGGATGAAAGTTCCCCGTGGCCGTGTGAGTGATGCTGCTGGCTGTCCTCCTGAGTCACCTGTCTAGGAGATGCTAGCAGTACACAGTAGGTGCCACATTGTTTCATTTAACCCATTGTCTATTAACTCTAACGCACTGACTATTACTTAGCTGCTTTGATGCGTCCTCTCATTTAATTCCAGTACAGTGCCTGGCACCTGGAAGATGCTCACTAAGTACTTCTTAAATAATGAGTGGATGAATAAATTAATACATGAGTAAACAAATGGATGGATGTAAGTCACCTTCGGAGGGGATACTATGAAACCTGTTTGACACCACTAGAAACTTGGGTTCTGAGAGGTTAAGAGAGCAGCCCAAGTCCATTTTGTCACTCGATCCATTCCATAAATACAGTTGTCCTTTGGTATCTATGGAGGATTGATTCCAGGACCTCTGCAGATACCAAAATCAGCAGATGCTTAGGTCACTGATATAAAATGACATAGTATTTGCATATAACCTATGCACAGCCTTCTCTATACTTTAAATCACCTTCACATCTCTTATAATACATAATACAATGTAAATCCTATGTAAATAGTTTCTATACTGTACTCTTTAGGGAGTAATGACAAGAAAAAAGTCCACACATGTTCAGTACAGATACAGCTTTTTTGAGTATTTTTGATACCGGTTTGGTTGAATCCACAAATGTGGAACCCATGTACACAGAGAGCTCTGTATCTATTGAGACTATAGACTAACTGTTGAGCACGCACTCTGTACTAGTGGTGTTACATTTGACTGGAGGAGAAAAAAATACACAAACCCGTGTATCCTGTATAATATCTAAGTGCTACAGATGAATAAAGTAGACTAGAGGGGCAGGGAGCCCTGTGCCCGGCTTTTTAGAGTGTTGCCAAGGATGGCCTCTGTCACAAGGGACATTGGAAGTGAGACCTGAGGGAGATGAGGACATGTCATGTGGCTTTCTGAGACAAGAGCCTTCCTGGAGGAGGAGAGTGAGTGAAGAGGCTTCAAGTAGGAACATGTCTGGGGGATTTGGGAAAATGCAAGAAGACCAGTGTGGCTTGGGCAGGTGTAACTGACACTACTGTCTGCCCAGCAGCTGGAGGGATGTCCTGAAATGCCAGTCTGATGCCATCTTTCCTCAGTTGGAACCCTCTAATAACTTATCCTTTTACTTGGAATGCAGGTCAAACTCCTACCTGGCCAGGCCTACTTAGCGAGGCACGAACCGTTCCACCCAGCTCTCTGAAGCCACCCACGGCCACACTTGCAGCCTGCTTTCCCACCATCAAGCCTTTGCCCTGGCCATTCCTCCTGCTTGGAACACTTGTCCTGGCTCCTTGGCTGCCACTCCTTGGAACTCCATCTTCTGACTCCCACTCCTGAGAATGCTGTCCCCAGGCTCTCGCAGTCCAACGTGGAACCATTTTTGGTTGCTTCTTACTTGACATTATTATCTCCTATTACCTGGTGACAGAGGGAGGAAGGAGTGGGAAGGCAGTGACCCAGAAAATTTGCCCCACGATGATGGGAGTATAGGAGAGAGAGAGAGAGATGGAGAGAAGAGAGATGTCACTACCAGGTTATTCCACGTCACTCTGCCCCAGTGTGAGCATCTCGAAGGAAGGAACCTCATCAGTCTCATCAGTTTTGTTCTTCACAGGGAACAGTTCTGAGGGACATCTGCAGTCACCTGAGTGTCTTCTGTGCCTGGAGCAGTGCCGAGCACACAGCAGCTCTTCAGTAAATATTTATTGAATAATGAGTGACTGGGTGAACCAGCAAGCAAGCTTTGTTTGAGACACCAGAATGAGAAGTTTTCTTGTGAGACTTTAGGCTTCCCAGGGAAGATTTAGGCCAAAGGTCTACACTCAAATGTCCACATTTGTTGACCAGAAGAGAAAACTTGTGGGGATGCCAGGTGGAGAGGTTGGGGGAAAGCTTTCCTTTGCACTCTCCCCATATTTTCATCAAAAAGATGTTTTATGCAAGTTCTCCCCAGTGCCAGCAGCTCCTAGAACCCTGGGCAGCCCTTGAGGACCGGCTGTTATCAGCCATGCCACAGAATCTGCTGCCAGCACTCTTGTGGTGTTTTTCCTTTTAGCTAATGAACAGGAAACCACCCACTTATAGAGCCTAAAGCTGCCTATGAGTTTGTGCTTTCTACCTGGGAAGCTTTGAGAATTGCAGATTCTCTCACCTCCAGGGTGAGAGGTCCCAGATCCAAACATCTAAGCTTAGATGGGGATGGGCTTGGCATCCTGTCTTTAGAACAAGGTTCCCAGTGACTTAAATATACTTGGTCTGAGCACCATACTCTGAGGGTCATACACTGGGTCTTGGGCCCCAGGCTTGGTTTTGGGTATGAAGAGGTGGTGTATGTGTGTGGTGTGTGTGCATTAGTGTGTGTATGTGTGCAGTCTATATATCTAGGCAAGTTTTTAATGTCTGATAAAGACATCTGATAAAGTCTCATCAGAACACTGGCATAGAAGTCTGCCATCATCCACCTTATCCTATCACTTTCAATTATAATGCCTTTCCTGTCCTTTAAATTTTCTAATAGTGCTCTGTGGTAGATGGGGCCAGCATGTTTCTTGTCCCCATTCTACAGAGGAGGACATAGTTCTGAAGTTAAATGGCTTCAAGTCTCAGTCTCAGGATCCTCTCACCATGGACTAAGCAGTCCACCAATTTCCCCTACATTCATGGGGGACCATGTCATGACATGCTGGTGGCAGAAGGAGAAAGGACAAGGATGGAGACAACTCAGAAAATCTGTCCCACAATGGAAGTGGAGGAGAGAAAGACAGAGGGAGGTGAAGAGAAGAGAGGTGTCGCACATGGGGCTGTCCATCACCTAGAGTCCAGCCTGTGTATTTCAGAGAAAGCAAAACACCAAGAAACCGCATGTGATGAGAAGAAAGTCCTGGGAGCAAGACGAGCCTTGGTCCACGTCTCAGTGCTGTCCCCCAATTCTCTTGTCTTTGGCAGTACATCTCAGCCTGGGGCCAAGCAAATACCCCTGAGGAGGCTGGGCTCCGGAGAAGCCGGTATTTACCCACAATCTCTGTTTTGGAAGTAATTAATCTTCGAATGTAGGAGCCCCTTTGTGGTGGAAAGCGCACGCTGACACTTTTGTGTAAACACCCAGCTTAGCATATTGACAAACTGGTGGCTGTTACTTTGATCCCGGGCTGCCGGCTCTGAAAAGGCAAGCCAGCTCCGGGCTGCCCCACCGGGCACAAAGGCAGCTCTAATCCCCTCTACACTCCTCTGCGACCCATATTTAGAATTCGGAGTCTTTATTTTCTATATCCACTTAAGCTCTGCTTGGAGTTTGTTTAGTAACCTTCTTCCTTCTTCATGCTCGCTGGTGACTCAGAAGTTCGTTTTCTTAGCAAGGCATGCAGCAAAATGCCAAAGTAGCAGATGACCCGAATGAAAACCCTTAAACTCACATAGATTTAATCACTGCAGCAAATTGGAACCATTTGTGGTCAGGTTTTGATGGCGATCTATAAAGATTTCTCCCATTCTCCCCTCTGCTTTCTTTTTAAGTGGCTTAGTTAAGGTTAGTGAGAAAAGGAGGCATTGATGCCAAGGTCCGTGGGGTGGGGAAAAGGGACACTTACATTGTTTGTCATCAGCTCTCAGGACATCTGTAGCCACCTGAGTGTCTTCCAACAGCATGGGGCAAATTTTTAGGGTAGCCAGCAACTCTCTCACGCATCACAGTAGCCAGTACTGTGCAATCCAGAAAACAGGGAGGTTTCATTGCTGGGAGTTTCTGCCGAAGGCTTGGGGCCCTCTTAAGAAAATATTGTGTTTTGTGACTTTTGTCGCCTCCAGTTACCCTAATAAGGCAAGGGAAAGGTCGGTGTATTTTTTTTTCAGGAACAAAGAAGAAATCGAACCCGATCTGTTATGATTTCTCCTTAAGCAAACCAAACAGAGAGAGCTTTAATGAAGACGCCGATCCGGGACTGAGGCTGACCCAGGCAGCGCCATGAGAGTGTCAGATCTGTTTCTGATAAAATCGACATTGAGGTTTTGAAGAATGAATCAGAAAGGAAGTTCAATTCTATTTCACGACTGGGCTGAACTAAATAGAAGGGGAGACTCATCTGTAATTAAAGGGAAGCTTTTCTTAAAATTTTTTTCTCTGCAACATTTTTAGAAATTTCTAGAATTTGGATTGCTCTCAACAATCAGTTTTCAGGGTTCTGTTTGATTTCTTGAGAGCAGATGGGAAAGCAAATTTGCAAAGACTTCAGCAACAAATTTCACTGAACAAATGATGGAAAAAGTTACCCAATAAGGTCCTTTCCCCAACCTCCTTTTTTTTTCTCCCCATCTCTAGTTTCTACTATTACAGTTGGAGAGAAAATTCAGGCTGAAAGAAATTTGATATTTATTTTCTGTGAACTTTAATAAAGAAAGTGGTGGGTGCAGGACTTTTTTTTTAAGGCCCTTTGGACAAGTCAATTTTTAATTTTTTTAAATAGCACCTTTTGGCATAAAGCTGCCGGTGTGTGATTTATGGAACTGTGAAGGGGTTGTGCTGAGAGCTGTTCCCGGCAGGTTGGTGAGAGACTTTGAAGAGGCTTTTGACTCTGGGAACCCACTCTTCATGGGACCCGTGTTCACCCAGGCAGGCCTTTTAAAATGTTTAGTGCTCGAGCCTTCGCTTGAAGTCCATGTTTGTTTGGGTTTGTGGAATCCCTTTCCTTTCTTCAACATTCTCAGATGTCCTCGGTTTAGGCCCAGTGATCAGCCATAATCCACTCCAGCCCTGCCTAGGAATAGTCCACTTTGTTCATAAGCACATAACATAACTTCAGCCCCCAGGGACTCTGTCGTGAAATGGAATCCCAGACTCTCCAAGATGTCTTGGGAGATAAGCGCAGCCTTAATCCCAGGGTCACCCCGGCCCTGAGTGAGCAGGAGTTCACCTATACATCACGACATCGTTATCAGCCGGGGACCCAAGCAGCCACAACCTGCCACATTTTCCACAGGGTTTGGCGGTGTTAAGAAAATACCCTCTAGCCTGGTGTTATTTTAGGCTGAAACAAAAGTCGACATGAATGGCTGGGCGGAACAGAGGGGGCATTGTTCTCCCTGTGGCCGGGTGCTCAGAACTGGCCTGAAACTGGAATCCAACAAACGGAGAAGTAAATGCCATCACGTACAAATGAGCTCTCGAGTGTCCAAGGGATCAATTGAGCACAGAGGGCGGCCGGGCCAAGGATTTTGCCAGGCCCCGGGTCATGGGAAGTTTGGTTTCCAGAGGACAGACGGAAAGTGCCACCTGATTTGCAGTGGTATTACAACTGACTTCTAGGGGGAGCCACCTGCTTGTGAGAAACAGGAGAACCAAATATCAGGGGCTGGCTTTGGGGGGCACTGGCTGGGGCATGCCAGGCACTCTTGTAAGCCCCTCAAACAGATTGTCCCATTCAATCTTCCCAGACACCCTACGAGGCGGGTACTATCGTATGTCCCTTTTACAGATGAGAAAACTGAGGCAGAAGGTGGTAGACTTTCCCAAGGCCACATGACTGCAGTTGGAGGACCCACGATTTAAAGCCGGGCAATCTGGTTCTATAACCCACACCCCTTTGATCTGTGCCTGATCACCTTATTCTCCTTTTCCTTCTCCCTGTGTTTCTTATTCTTGGCACCTGGGTGATATGGCGGGTGCTGTCAGTACCCTGCACAGAAGACCTCAGCCCTTACTGTGTCAGTGTGAACTGGTGGCCCAACTTTCATCTGCCAGTATCTGCATGCTTTTGCTTGAAGGCTTTTTTTTTTTTTTTTTTTTTGCCATGGGAGTCTGCTCTGCCCATTTTTGCAACAGACCAGAAGTGCCAGGAAATGAACACCCTAGAAGTGCCGGGAAATTCACAATCAATGACAGTTGGTGTTTCAATACCACCATTTCCTTGTCTATCTGGTGGGAAAAATCTGAGGTGGGTGTTCCACGATGGTCCCCAGAGTTCTCTCCTGTGGTTGAGCCCACAGTGGTGACGTCCTTGAAAATGCATGTTTTAGTGGCCCCCTTTTCTTCCTGGCCTCACATCCTTACCCACCAGCAGTCATCCTGGTATTCCCGGATTCCCTTCTTAATGTCACCTTCTTTTTCTTTTTTCTTTTTTGACAGAGTCTGGCTCTGTTGCCCAGGCTGGAGTGGAGTGCTGTGGTGCGATCTCGGCTCACTGCAACCTCCGCTTCCGGGGTTCAAGCGATTCTCCTGTCTCAGCCTCCCAAGTAACTGTGCCGCCATACCTGGCCATTTTTTTGTATTTTTAGTAGAGACGGCGTTTCACCATGTTGGTCAGGCTGCTCTCAAACTCCTGACCTCAAATGATCCTCCCACCTCGGCCTCCCAAAGTGCTAGGATTACAGGTGTGAGCCACTATGCCCGGCTACCTTCATTTAAATCCTCATCTCTAAAACAGCTTCTGGAGGAACACAAGACAAGCCTGAGGATCGTACCTCTGTGTGATTATTTGATTAATATCTGTCACCATTATAAACCTACGAGTTTAACATTGTATTCCTGGGGACCAGCTGAATGCCTGGCTCATAGTAGGTGCCAAGTAAATACCTATTAAATGAAAGGATTTTGAAGTACAAAGTCTCTTTCTATCAAACAGAAGTTTATATTTTGATAGTTCTCTTATGACATTATCTTACATTTAAAGAATATTTATGTATTTATTTATTTAGAGACAGGGTCTCTCTCTGCTGCCCAGGCTGGAGTGCAGTGGTAAAATTACAGCTCGCTGCAGCTTCAACCTTCTGGGCTCAAGTGATCCTCCTGCCTCAGCCTTCCGAGTAGCTTGGACTACAGTAGGATGCCACCATGCCCAACTAATTTTTTAAATGAATAAAAATTATCCTTTTAGAGATGTGATCTTGCTATGTTACCCAGGCTCATCTCAAATTCCTGGCCTCAGGTAATCCTTCTGCCTCAGTCTCCTGAGTTACTGGGATTGCAGGCATGAACCACTGCATTTGGCTAAAGTAGTTTTATTTGAAGTAGTTTCATTCTTTATGGAGGAGCTACTTTGTGGGAGATTGGAGACCCCTTCCTATTCCTCTTCTGTCTCGCCTAGAGTTAGGGTGAACCAGCTTCTCCATTAGGGTCAGATTAAGACCTTTGGAGGTTGTTTCAGAGACTGGCCAGCTTTTACCAAATCTTTGTCCTCTTCCTAGACCATATTTCCCAGTTTCCTTTGTAATTAGCTGTGCCACGTGACTGAGTTTTAGCCATTGTAATTTGAGCAGATATATACCACTTCCAGCCCAGCCCACAAACATCCCCCACTGGCAGTCTTCTGTGCTTCCCCCTTCTCCACAGAAGGGGCTAAGGCCAATGAATGGCCCACATTAAATACAGCAGAGAACACCATACAAAAACTCTAGGTCCTGGAGTCACTGCTTGGAAGAGAGCTGCACATTAACCAGTAACAGTCATTTTGGACTTTACTAGTAGGAAATTTTCTATTGTATTTGAACGCTCACACATTTTGGGACTTGTTTGTTACAGCAGCTGATATGATCCTAATACTGAAGCTCTAAGTACTAACAAGAGTTAATGTTCTTTGCTTCTTCCCTGCTGTGTATAAAATAAGTATTAAATGTGTCCCACACAATTCCAATTTCCCTATGATAGCTACTCTCATTAAAAAACAAATCAATTAGCAAAGTCTTAATTATTTTCAGTACCAGTAGTGTCTTGCTTTACTGGCACCATAAGTAAATACTTATTTGGCCTCCTAGATAATCCCACAAGCTATTTTTCTGGAAGAGACTTGTCTAATAGGCTGGTCCACAGACACCTGCTCCATCCAATAACCTTGGGTTGAGCAAATGGAATTCAAGGGCACTGCTGTTTTCTACAGAGGTTCAAGGGCATTGCTGTTTTCTATAGGGGTTCAAGGGCATTGCTGTCTTCTACAGAGGTTTAGGCAGCTGTCCCCACCCTCCTATGGGCTCCAGGACCAAAGAAGGTGGGTCTGAGGATTAAGGGCAGAGACGCGCTGATCCCTCAGACTTGTCTTTCGGTTTCCAGGCTTTGGAAATGTTCTCCTAAGCTTCCATAGAACCCAGAGGGAAACACAGCCATGCATCCACCAGAAGGCTCTGTGGGCACTCTCCTCACCAGTTGCTACCTTTCTTGAGAGGAGCTGGGTGTGTTGGGAAGCTGGTGATTCTGGAACCAGGTGGAGATTAGTGTTTGACTCTTTGATCTGTCTTCTCCTTGTCATTATCCCCATTTTACAGATGATAGTTGGGGACAGATTTCTGGACCTACACCTTGACCCCAAATCAAGCCATACTTACATGGTGAGATGTGGCCCATTCTGAGGCAATGGTCTGGGCAGAGAGTGCTATAAGGTGCTTAACAAGCGTGGGCCTTCCCAGGCTTGCAGAATGGCTCTGCCTCCATGGGCAAGTTACTCAGCCTCTCTGTGCCAGTGTCTTCGTGTGTGAAATGGGATTATGAATAGTATCTATGTCAGGGGCCATTGTGAGGCTGAAATGAAGTGATGCCTGTGCATTTATGACAGTTCCTGCACATAGTATGCTCCTATACTTCTTATTGGAAGTCTATGGGGATTAGCAGACCCCATCCTTGTGGTCAACAGCCTTATAGCTTCTCCACAGAAGGAGCAGGTAACAGTGGTCTGAAGATATGTTTTCGGCCTGGCCTGTGAAGAGAATGGTCACTGGAGTGTTACATCTGGAGCCTTTGCAGTCTCAGGAGACCACAGAGCAGCACTTCCTTGACCTACTGGGTAGACACTTGATGCTCTGTCTGAGGGCTGAGCCTCCATCACAGGAAGGCGTGGGTCTTTCATTGGACCCTCCTTCCAAAGGCACAGTGACTGCTGAACAAGAGAGAGGAGCCCTTTGCTGGTTGTTGGGCTTAAAGAGGCTGTTTCTAGGAGGAGGACTGGGGAAGAACCCAGGAGATTCTGGTCTGAGTTGATCACCCATGCCAGAGGAAACGTAGCATTCCTCACGGTCAAGGACTTGGCCTTTAGCCACACATACCTGACTATGCCTTCCACACATCCACATAAGCAAGTCTTTAACTGTCTCTTCTCCAGCTTCTTAGCTGTAAAACGGGACTGTTGATAGTACTTCCCTGATAGGACGGACGGCTGTGAGGACTGTGTGGGATGATGACGTCCATATAGACACTTTGCATCATGGAAGCAGTCAATGTATCCCTGAATACATTTTTTCCCCAAGTGTAAAATTGGCATAAGACTTAAAGGATTCTAGCAGTATAAAAGGTTATGCAGCGAAGAGTAACTCTTTCCTACTCTTGACCCCTTAGTCACAGAGGGTGTCTACAGAGAAGACACTTGTTGTCAATGTCTTGTGTAAAATGCCAAAGATGGTTTCCATATACCAACATGGAAATGAGATATATATATATATAGCCATTTTTGATCTACAAAAATGGGAGTTTCATATGGTTCAATCCAAGTGGTGTGTGTGTATAAACAACGGTAGCCTGCTGTATACACTGTTCACATCTTGTTTATTTTTTAACGTAATAATATCTTTTAGAGAACATTCCATGCCACTTCTTACAGACATTTCTCATTCTTTTCAACAGTCGTGAAGTCTTCCAGCATGAAGGCATACCTTCCTTTATTTAACTCTTGGTGAATAGTACCTGGGTTTTTTTGTGTGTGACATTTTTGGAGGAGGAAAGGAAAGTCGTGCATTCAGGCATTCACCATCCCCTAGACCCCAGGCCAGCCCCCAGCCTCCAGCACCTGTTATTTCTTCTCCGTTCAGTAATTCCCTGGAGTGCACATTTTTCTCATCGCAACTGCACTAGACCCAAGTTTTGGGTTCCTGCTCTGTGCCTAAGCATGCCTTAGATCTCTTCATAACTCAGCTTGTAAGTTGAGGCCTCTTAATTTGGCCCACAGGACTCTTTAACGCCCTTTAAACCCCGTTAAACCCATGTAATGAGTTTCCCCTTGCTGTGCTCCTGGCCGTGAAAGCTGAGAGCCGGGACTCAGGCCTCCCACCTGTTCCAGAGATTAGGCTGCGCTGCAGAGGCTGTGGGGCCGGAGGGAAGGGACAGGGGTCGGCCATGAAGCGGGACTCCTGGTTGCAGTGGGTGTGTGTGTGCCCCGAGGCCATGGGCAGGCATTCACCGGAGGTGTCAGAGCATTAACCTGTGGTGGCTGGGGACAGTTTCAGCACCCAGTGTTCCCATGGTGTGGGGGCCACTTTGCGTGGACCAAGGGAGTGGGGCCAGAGCTGTCAGGGGTCTGCTGGGATGAGAGGCAGATGCTCGAGGTGGCTTCCTCTCTCTAGAGAATCTGGAGGCACAGAGACGGGTGTGCAATGAGTCTTCCTAAAATGCTGTCCTCAGCATGTCAGCACTGTTCTAGAATCTTCTTTCTATGGCTATGAGGGATGTCTGCTGGTTTACACGCATGGGGTCCTGCCTACTCCTTTCACTCTCACACACACAGTCTGCGTGAGTAGGGAGGGCTGACTCTATAGTTCCCACGTCCAGCTCTGTGCATGTGACCCAGGAGTAGCCAATCAGAGTATTCAAGACTGCTGCCCATCATGATTGGTTCAGGGGTAGTCCCTGCCCAGCCTGTGATTGGTTAAGGGGTGGGCCCATGACCCAGGTCTGGCAAATCAGAATATTTAATCCATTGGCCACAGTCACTGTTTTAGAGATAGATGCATAGTTCAATGGTGGTTCGAAGAGATTCAATCCCAGAATGCTCTGTGGGAATAATTAGGAAAGAGATACACTCTTTCCATGGAGGTAACTGGAGGTGAGAATGCCAGCTTAAAGGTTGGAGGCCAGCTTGTCAGCATGAGAGAAAGCCTGCTTGACATGGCTTAGACAGAGGAGAACAGGGGCTAGAGAGAGAAAGGGCAAGATTGAGGCTGCTGGTATCCTTGAGCATCTGGATCCACCCATACCTGAAGATGTATATTTACATGAACACATACACCTCTCTTTTTCACTTAAATCAGCTTGAACTGAGTTTGTGGATTTCTTTTAACTCAGAGTTCTAACTAAAACACCTCACCCACTACAGATACCACACTCTGCAATACGACTTTCAGAGTGACCTCAGCCTACCTCTCCTTCCTTTCCTCTCTGGGCAACCTTCCTTCACACAGCCCTAGAATTTGCCTTTGACACAACTTACTTTCAGTTCATTGCTCAGTCCTTTCTCGCTGCATTGTAAGTCATTTCCCACTCCTTCTCAACAAGTCGTTGCCAGCTAACATTTGGCTCCTAAAGCTCTCAGTCTGGGGAGAGCACAATTTTCTTCTTAACACACAAGAGTTTGTCATCCAGTTGCGGGTAGTTTTGCACAAAATGCATGCTCAATAAAGAACAAATGAAGTAATTGAATGAATGAGGAAGTGGGTCAAAGAGAGAGGAGGTGGGCTCATATTAATAATGTTTATATCCATCCAAGACAGACTTAGTTTCCAAATGAGAGGGACAGACAATCCAGGCTTCTGGGAGGGATCAGGAATACGAACGACAGGCACTAGGAAAGATTTGGAGGAAGCTGCCAGTCGAATGTCAAGCTAAAGCTTTTAGATGCTTCTTATAGGCAATGGACATCTGCTGAAGGTTTAGGAATGCGCGTGTAACATGCAAAGCTGTGTTTCAGAGATGCTAAGCAGACAATGGTAAGAGGGCTGAATTGGGCAGGAAAAGACCAGTGACAGTTGAACTAATGATGGGGGGATTTGAAATACATCCCCTGAAGTTTGATGGAAGCTTGGCGTATGGGGTGATAGAGATAGATCATGGGTGGCTTCCTAGGTTCCACTCTTGAAAAGTCTTCTTTAGTAGGTCTGAAGTTGGACATGATAATCCCCATTTCTAAAAGAGCTCACAGAGGATTCCAGTGCACACTTGTGTCCTAGGGTTTGGGTTCATGGGTACCACAAGGGTGATGGGAGAAAGAGAGACATAGAAGAGAGTCACTGGTTTGGAGGGAAAATAGCAAGCCTCCTATTTTAAAAAAAAATTTAAAGAAATGGCAGCATTTTGGGAATTGGTAGGATGTTCATGTGTAGGTCCCCAGCACATCCATGAAGAAAGACAAATAGCTAGAAGTCAGCAATTCTGGAAACCAGATCAGGAGGCTGTTCTTGTAGAGCTGATGGACTCATCAGAAATAGTTGCCAATAGTTTAAAATAGGAAAATATCATAAAACATTGGATTTCTGAATTTAATGGAAAAGTTAGCAGATCTGCCCTG
This sequence comes from Homo sapiens, assembly GCF_000001405.40. Lineage (NCBI taxonomy): Eukaryota > Metazoa > Chordata > Mammalia > Primates > Hominidae > Homo > Homo sapiens. Next base: position 54,439,805 of record NC_000016.10, read on the forward strand.
TTGGAGCCACCTTCCCACGTGGTGTCCCTAGGTCAAAGCTGAAATGTGGCTGCCCTTCTTAGCAAGAGCCTGTGCTCTTAGCTTGTCACAGTTTCCATCATTCCCTAATACCTCACATCCAACCCATGCGGTTCATTGACATTACCTGCCTGGCATCTGTTGGCATTTATAATAGTGACCCTCAGTGTCCTCACATGTGGGGATAAGCATGTGAGTGAGAAGGCAGCAAGGGACCTAAAATGTGACCCTAAGAGGTTGAGTAAAATAGAGTCTTGGATGCCCTGGAAAAATAAAGGCAGAAGTTAACAGTGTCAAGGGAACAGCTCTGATCATGAGTAAATGATTACTTCACTGGTCCCAATTTCTTCTTCTTCTTCTTCTTCTTCTTCTTCTTCTTCTTCTTCTTCTTCTTCTTCTTCTTCTTCTTCTTCTTCTTCTTCTTCTTCTTCTTCTTCTTCCTCTTCCTCCTCTTCCTCCTCTTCCTCCTCTTCCTCTTCTTCCTCTTCTTCCTCTTCTTCTTCTTCTTCTTCTTCTTCTTCTTCTTCTTTCTTCTTCTTTTCTTCTTCTCCTTCTCCTTCTCCTCCTCCTTCTCCTCCTCCTCCTCCTCCTCCTTCTTCTTCTTCTTTTTTCTTCTTCTCCTCCTCCCTCCTCCTCCGCCCTCCTCCTCCTTCCTCCTCCTCCTCCATCCTACTCTTCCTCCCTCCTCCTTCTCCTCCTCCTCCTCCTTCTTCTTCTTTTTTCTTTTTCTTTTTTTTTTTGAGACAGGGTCTCACTCTGTCACCCAAGCTGGAGTGCAGTGGTGTGATCTCGGCTCACTGCAACCTCTGCCTCCCGGGTTCAAGTGATTCTCAGATTCTTGTGCCTCCCGAGTAGCTGGGATTACAGGTGTGCACCACTGAACCCAGCTAATATTTGTATTTTTAGTAGAGACAGAGTTTTGCCATGTTGGCAAGGCTGGTTTTGAACTCCCAACCTCAGGTGATCGGCCTGCCTAGGCCTCCCAAAGTGCTGAGATTACAGGCATTCGCCACCGTGCCCAGCCTCAATTTCTTATTTATAAAAAAAGGCTTAATAATATGTGTTAAAAGAGCTGATAGGTGCTTCAGATGTCTTAATGCTTGTGAGACTCACTTATAGCTTAGAAAGGGCTACAGAGCAGTAAGCTATTGCTGTGAGAGGTGGGGGGGTACCCCAAGGAAGGATGGGTTTGCATCCCACTTCTGCAACTGACTAGCTGTGTGACATTGAACTAGATAGTTGATCTCCCTCAGACTAAACGTCCTCCACTGTAAACTGGGACAATGATAGCCACACATCAGGGCTGTTGGTAAGATAAAATAAGACACAGCAGAATTTCATCTCTGGATGGGTGTTAGGTTCTGAGAGCCAGCACAAAAGCCAAAAATTGTGTATATTTAAAATTATCGTTGCAAATTCTTATTCTTATTCTTATTCTTATTTTTTTTTTTGAGACGGAGTCTCGCTCTGTCCCCCAGGCTGGGTGCAGTGGCGTGATCTCGGCTTACTGCAAGCTCCACCTCCTGGGTTCACGCCATTCTCCTGCCTCAGCCTCCTGAGTAGCTGGGACTACAGGTGCCTGCCACCACGCCCGGCTAATTTTTTTGTGTTTTTAGTAAAGACGGGGTTTCTCCATGTTAGCCAGGATGGTCTCGATCTCCTTACCTTCGGATCCACCTGCCTTGGCCTCCCAAAGTGCTGGGATTACAGGCATGAGCCACTGTGCCTGGCCGCAAATTATTAAAAATAGTCTTGAGCAGTCAATTTTGAGGATAGACATAAAATATGTACAATGATGGACACTGTATAAATAGTGTAGATACCAAATACACTTATACAGAATGCCAAGTATTTTAAAGTAAAATTATTCGGCTAAGCTCACATTGAAGATTCATGTATACTTACTAATGGCTTCCCTATATAGGTGAGCAACACTTGAAAACTTCCCGCAGGACTTGGGCTCATGACTGAATACTCTGTATGTTCTCACTAGGTGACGGTTTTAGGAGGTTATTAGGAGCCTTCGTAGTTGCAAACAAAATCTTTGAAAGCAACTGTTAGGGTTGCATAATGCTTTGTAATAGCTTTGATAGTCAAGAATAGTTGACTTAATTAATGATGTTTTATTTTAGAGAATATCATTTTAAATGCATGAAGTACAGTTAAATGAAGTGCTTACCATATACCAGATACTTTTCTAAGTGCTTTCATTGTGTTACTTCACATAATCTTTGCAATGACTCTGTGAAGTAGGGGCTTTAATTATCCCCATGAAGGCATTGGGACATGCCATATTAAAGTAAGGTCACACAGCTAGACAAGAGCAGAGCCATACCTGAGCCATCACTGCTGGGTCCCAAATCCTGATTTTAGTCACGTACTGAATTGCAACTTGAAGCAGGTGTGGAGGGAATGGTTTAAATATGTGAAGTATTTGGAATGTATTAGATGGAAAAAATGTGTGTTTAAATAGGTGAACATGATTGCTCCCTCCGTAGACCCTGGGTGTATCATCTGTTGCCAAGGGATAGGGAATGCCTTTGTTTACACATCAAAGCTCCTGCACATAGGAGGGCGTCCTTAGCATGGTGGAGAATTTGGTTACTTTCTCAATAAGAGCTAGTTTAGGGGCCCAAGGAAAAATCCCAGGAGGCTGGAGGTCTCCCTGGAGGTGCAGATGCTCCAGAAAGGACAGTGACCCTGAGTGCCAACTTTCTATTTGTGGCTACTCATTCTCAGGCCATGAACATCGCTACCTTGGGGGGAAGGCGTCCCTGGGGTTGTGGGGCTTGGGAAAAGTACCAGGGAGACGCACAAAACCTCTCACTACAGACTGAAGCTGGTGCTTCACCAAAAACAAGGAGAGCAAGAGAGCTGTTGGGTATGTCTTTGGGTCTGTGCATCAGGGGAGGGTAACGTGAGCACAGAGAGGCCTCCATGGAGCTAGGTTACAGAGGGGCCCTGCGTGCTGGCTCACCACTGGGAAATATGGACATTTTTATAAGCAATGGATGGCTCTCAGATCCCTCCTGAAGATCACTGTTTATGCTGGAAACTTGGTTGTTGTAGCTGAGGTTGCCGAACCTCAAATGAACCACTCTTTTATGAAGTAAAGAGTTGCGTTGTCTTTCTTCTAACCCATGGTTCTCAGAGGTGAATTGTGCACTCTTCATCCCCCACGATCCCCAATGCATCCCCTTATCATATCACACATTGGGCTTTCTTATCTGAAAGTGCAAGAAGGCCCACGATGCTGATATGACCCTGGAAAAGACAATCTAATTGAGACCAGTGGCAGTTTTTAAACCATGGTTCCCAGATTCTGTGACTCACCTCCCATCAAGAGATGGAGTCCCTTAAATCTGGTGAAGCTAGGGACTACTTCATCCAACAGGGGCTGCTGGAAGCTATACCATGTGACTTCTGTGGCGAGGACAGAAAAATGCTATGCAGCTTCCTCCTGGTCCTTGGGACTTTTCTTTTGGGGTAGCCAGACACGTGCAAGGAGTTTGACTACCCTGAAACCACCATGCTGGGGAGGACACATGCAGATGCTGGGATTGCTCAGATTGGTAGCCCAGCTGTGCTTCAACTATAAGCCATGTGGATGAGCTTTTTGGGAGGTTCAGCCCCCTCAAGCCCTCAGATGTGTGCAGCCCCAGCTGACAGTTGATTGCAGCCTCACAAAAGACCCCCAGTGAGAAGAACCTCCCAGCTGAGCCTTTTCCAAATTCTTGACCCACAAAGTTGTAAGCAAAATAAAATTGTTATTTTAAGCTGCTGTGTACAGTGTGTTGTGTAACAGTGGTAACTGGAACAGGACCAAAGCTTCATGAGAACCTTCTGGAAATCTTGAGATGCAATATAGACAAGGGGAAAGAGCTCCAGGAACAGACAATACCAACATCTTCAGGTGTGCCTGACTTGGAAGGGCTAAGTGGACTGAAGTGCATGGAGGAGAGGAAGCTTTTATCTCATGCATCCTGAGTTAGCGGCCTTCCTCAGATTGCACTCAGGGCATCTCCCCAGAGAGAGCCTGAGGCTTCACCAATCTCCTGGCTTACTGGCACACTCAGCACATCGGGCATAGTCTAGGGGTACAAGGGGAAGCCTGGCTCTCCTCCTCACCTAGCAGGCCTCATTAGGTGATATGTCCCTGGTTAGGCAGTATTGACCCATGGCTAGATGACTGACTCTGGCTTCAGACAGATCAGGTTCAAATTCCAGCTCTGCTGACACACCTATGAGCCCATGGTTGTGTAATTTACTCCCTCTATGCTTTACTTTGCTCTCCTGTAAAGTGGGACTCATAGATATGCCTACCAAGTATATGGCTAGGTGGAGAATTAAATTAGATTGTAAATAGCAAGAGCTCAGAACATATAATAAATGCTGGACACTATTTGTTATTATTTAATTCACCATGTTGAATTTAGGGATCTAGTTCTCAATCTTTTAGGATTAGAAACTCAATTGTATGGGCCAAGGGAGAATGAAATAGACTCACATTAACCAGCATGGAGTCTGATGTATAAACCTGAATGTTTATAAACTAAATGACAATCAGAAATACAGCTATCCAACAATGTGGTATGGTCACATGGGCAAAGCAGTGTACTCCTTTTACTTGTGGGAGGACTAATTCTAACGCTTTGGAGAGTAAACAGTGGGAAGAAATAGGAGTAGAATCAGATGTCAACTAATCTGATGCCTCTCACCTCTCCAGAGAGAGGCTTCTAGAGGGAAATGCAATGTTCAAGTCTGCCAGGCCCTGATGTCCTTCCTTTGGGACCCACAAACTTTTGGCTGCCTAGGTTTTCTTTTTCTGTGATCTAAGTAAGCATGGCCCAGATTTCAGTCATTTCTGTTAGGAGATAATTCTCCATGGGCCTCTCCCATTTCTGCATCTTGCAAGGGAGGTACTAACTGGCTTTTGTCATCTCTGCGAGGAGAGCAAGAGATGCTGTTTGTACAGTAAACAGCTTTGGAAGATGGAGATAATGTCCGCCTCCAAAACAAAGGGCAGGCATGCTTATTGCCCATTATAAAAGATTCTGGTTCCCTAAGCTATGGGTTTCTCTTCCATGAGGCAACCCCCTACATGTGCAGAAATCCATCTGGCCATCTGCATCAGTCCTGTGGGTTTCAGAACAACAGGAACTTTTGCAAATATGTGGTACTCACACTATTTGCTGAGCCATAAGTAATCAAACTCTTTGTCTCTGACCCCAAAGTCTTGTGTCTTCTGCCAGCATCCATGAAACTGGCAAGCAAACTTAACTTGCAAGTAGGATGAAATTTCAGATCTTTTCAAGTTCTTGATAATTCCTATCCACTCTTTCTGATTTTTTTTGCCATGTCTGCAGAATACCTATGCAATTACTACTTTATATGTCCATAAATCAGACCCCTCTTTGAAATTGTTGATTTATTTAAAAAGAAAACTTTATAGAATGCCTGTCTTTCCCCTCTTATCTGTGGTTTTGCTTTCCGAGGTTTCAGTTACCCACAGTCAACCACAGTCCAAAAATAGGTTAGTACAGTATAAGAAGATATTTTGAGAGTGAGACCACATCATACAACTTTTATTATAGTACATTCTTATAAATGTTCCATTTTATTATTGATTACTATTGTTAATTTCTCACAGTGTCTAATTTATAAATTAAACTTTATCATAGGTATATGTATAGGAAAAAACAGTCTACATAGGTTCGGTACTATCCATGGTTTCAGGCATCCACTGGGGATCTTGGAACATATTCCTCATGGATAAGGAGGAACTACTGTACCTTAAATTAAAAACCAGTTGCTATTTCATAAATCTAAGCTCAAGATAAGTACAAGATAAAAACCAAAAAAAGCGTACATATTGTATGACTCTATTTTTATGGAGTTCTAGAAAACACAAAACTATAGGGACAGAAAACAGATTATTGGGTGCCAGGGGCTAGGGAAGGGAGGAGAACTGACATCAAAGAGCATGGGGGAGGTATTTTGATGGTGGAAATCTTCTTTATCGTAATTGTGGTTGTAGTTTTTCTACTGCATGTGTTTGTCAAAGCTCATAGAACCATATGATAAAAAGGGTAAATTTTATTGTATATAAATTTTACTTTGGTAAACTTGACTTGCAGAAGAAAAATTAAAACCAAGGTCATTAAATTCTGGTCAAGCGTTGTTGCTTGCCCAAGGCCTGAGCCTAAAGTCTGTTCTTTCTTTGCCAGAAAGGGAGGTGATGATCACGTGTTGAGGTGGTATTAAAGATCTCTTAGCACCAAACTGAGACTTTGTCCTTGTCCTAGTCAGATGGACCAATCCCATGAATCATGGGATTCAGTGCTAGGAAAGACGCATCCTCAAAAAACCCCAAACTACCTCTGTACTACCTGGAACAACAGTGGTATGTTTTGGAAACTGTGCTTCTAAGCTGACATCTCTTCTTAGCTGTCCACTCACTCTCAGGTCTGTCTGCTTGAAATTACTCCCAGACAACCCAATTCTCCTGCCCCATTGTACACTGACAACACTTGGTTCCTCCAGAGGGAGTCTTGCATACCTGCTGCCTATGGAATGTATTCACCGCACCCTCTGGGGGAACTTGCCTTGGTCAGTGCCAAGTTCTTGGGATCATTTTGTTGTTGCTTGAACGAACAATTAATGCAATGAAACTGCATATACCTGTGCCTCCATTTCCCCTTCTGCCTCAGTCGACCCCCTCTCCCCACCCCCTGCTCCAGCCACAAATCCATCTGCCAGTCTCAGCAGTGCCCCACTGGGCCCACCAGTCAGTCTCCCAGACCACAGTAGGGGAAAATGGTGGCTTCCTTTCACTAGAGGGTGTGATAAATGCTACTGTGTTTTTCTTGACTGCTCCTCTATTTTTCCTGGCATAGGCCTGGAGCAGGGTGTGCTTTGTGGCTGTGTCACTGCCAATTATTAATGTGAACATCATCATCGGTGGCTGTTGCTGCTGCCTGGTGTTGCAAGCTAAGCTCAGCCGGGCTTTGCACGGCTCCGCAATGATCTCTATAATTAACTTAGATGATTCACTGCTGTACACCCATTGTGCTCTTTTCAAGGCCGGCGACATCCATTTACATGAGGAGCTAAAAACAAGTATTGCCTTCTCGTGGAGGAGTTTCCAAGTGCTCACCCACCCGTTCTCTCCCTAATGAAACAACTTGACCTCACCCTGCCCTCGCTGCCTGTCGGAAAACCTAGTACTTGAAACTAGGCCACTGAGGATAAACCAAGTGTTTGGTCCCCCTTTTTTCAAGGCTGGGGGCCACATGCACTCCCCCCACTCCCACGTTTTTTAGAGACAAGGTCTCATTCTGTCACCCAGGCTGGAGTGCAGTGGTGCAATCATAGCTCACTGCAACCTCAAACTCCTGGGCTCAAGCGATCCTCCTGCCTTAGACTCACAAGTAGCTAGGACAATAGGCACGAGCCACCACACCCAGCTACCCCTTATTATGGACCATGTTCAATGCTCAGCACAAGGCCCAGCAGAGAGTAGACATGCAGAAAATGTCTTATTTGAATTTTTCTCTCCCAAATTTCCGCTGTCCAAGAGGATAGAAGCTTAGAAGCGTGGTCCTCAGCCCAGGGTGATTTCGTGCTGCAGGGGACACTTGGCGATATTTGGGGACATTTTTGATGTAGGGGGGGTGCTACTAGCGTTAGTGGGTAGAGGCCAGGGATGATGCTTAGACATCTTGCAGTGCCTGCCCCCTCCATACACCAAAGAATTATCTAGCACCAAATGGCAGTAATGCCAAGGTGGAGAAACGTCAGCTTAGACGGTGTTGCACCAAGCTCATCTCGCCTGGATTTATTCCTGTTGGCATTTGGCTGGGCTCGGGGAAGCCCGGAGAAGTTTTTGAAGCTCTGGAATGATTGACATTTTACTGCCTGGATTTTATGTGAACTGCTGCTAATGAACACGGCCTGCCTTGATGACTCTGCAGAGGGCACCATTCAAACGAACCAATTATGAAGGATTTTTTAACGTAAACTTTTAACCAGGTAGCCTGAGGGCTTGCTGAGCATAAAAGTACAATTTAGAAAACATGAGGTTTCCTGAGGTTCCGGGAGGCCCCGGCAGGATCAATGCTGGTGCAGGAGCTTCGGGGTTGAGAACACGGTTCTCTGAAGTCCGTGGGAGGCTCCAGCCACTGGGCTGCCCCCAAACCTTCCCCGGCAAAGAGGGGCAGAGGGCTTTTTCTTTGGGAGGAGCTGGGTGCCAGGGCGGCTAAGTCTGGAGTGGGGCACCTGGAGGTTGGGGTCCCTGGCACACACTCCCCAGGCCGCTACCTTGCTCCAGCCCTTGCACTGAAATCACTGATTCCCAGCGCTTTGCTGACTCACTGCTTTCCTGCCTTTAGCCAGAGTGCTGGGGTTTTAAGTAATTTAATGATTCATTCCCTCCCTCCCTTGGCAGTTATCTGCTCTGACACCTTGTGTGTCATCCATCAGAAGCTGCGACTCAGCTCCCCCAAGATGACAAGAAGGCCAGGGGCCTCTCTTTGTTTTTCCTGGTTCCTCTTCTCTCTCCAGCCCTGATTCTCCGGCAAACAGGGGATGCTGCCCAGGAAAAGCACTTCCTTCGAGGAACCTGCTAAGGACCCTCCTGCCTGCCTCTGTTTTCTGCGGTGTTATTTCTTCTGTTGCTCCACACTTCTGGGCTTTTCCTGCAAAGTCCCCCACTCCCGTCTTCTTCATCCTCCCTTTGCCACTTGGTGCTGTGCAGTACTACCCCAGGCCCTTTGCTTGGCAAACTGACATTGGACCTGGTGTGGTGGCTCATGTCTGTAACCCCAGCATTTTGGGAGGCTGAGGCGGGATAATTGCTTGAGCCCAGGAATTCAAGAGTGGCCTGGGCAACACGGTAAAACCCTGTCTCTACAAAAAATACAAAAATTAGCTGAGCACCGTGGCACATGCCTCTGGTCCCAGCTACTCCGGAGGCTGAGGTGGGGGGATTGCTTGAGCCTGAGGATTGCTTGAAATAGAGGCTTCAGTGAGCTGAGATCAAGCCACTGCACTGCAGCCTGGACAATAGAGCAAAACCCTGTGAAAAACAAACAAACAAAAACAAAAATAACTGATGTCAACACAAATCACAGAGTGGTGCTGGTGTGACCCAACCATGGATTTTATTTTATTTTATTTATTTATTTTTTCTTGAGACAGCATCTAACTTTGCCACACAGGCTGGAGTGCAGTGGCACAATCTTGGCGCACTGTAACCTCCTCCTCCTGGATTCAGCGATTCTCATGCCTCAGCCACCTGAGTAGCTGGGACTACATACATGAGCCACTAGGCCCAGCTAATATTTTGTATTTTTAGTAGAGACGAGATTTCACCATATTTTGGCCTGGCTAGTCTTGAACTCCTGGCCTTAAGTGATCCACCCACCTTGGCCACTCAAAGTGCTGTGATTACAGGCATGAGCCACCACGCCGGGCCCCAACAATGGATTTTAGACCCAGCACTAAACTGGTGGCTTTAGATATTTTCTTTTCTAGATCTGTGGCCTTTAAAATGTCTTTTTATTTATTTGTTTTCCCTAGCAGGAGAACCTACTCATTCATTCTACAAATATTGAATGAGCATCTGCAGTTTGCCAAGCACTAGTCTAGCCACAGGGGACAGAGCTGTGAACAAGATGGGCAGGATTCCTGCTCTTCTGAAACTTACATTCTAATGGGGGAAAACCAACAATAAACAAATGAAAAACTATATAGTATGTCAGGTGGTGACACATACATTGAAAAGAAAGAAGCAGGGGAAAGGGTTTGAGAATGACTGGGGAGCACATTACTGTGGATGGGGTGCACAGGGAAGCCTCTTTGAGGGGAGATCTTACTTGAATGAAATCTTCCTTGAAATTTCAATATTTAAAATAGCTTAAGGCCTGTCTCAGTGGTTCATGCCTGTAATCCCAACACTTTGGGAACCTGAGGTGGGTGGATCGCCTGTGGCCAGGAGTTCGAGAGCAGCCTGGCCAATATGGCGAAACCCCGTCTCTACTAAGAATGCAAAAAATATTAGCCGGGTGTGGTGGCGGGTGCCTGTAATCCAGCTATTCTGGAGGCTGAGGCATAAGAATCGCTTGAACCTGGGAGGCAGAGGTTGCAGTGAGCTGAGATCACGCCACTGCACTCCAGCCTGGGCGACAGAGTGAATCTCAGTCTTAAAAAAAATAGCTTAAAAGGGGAACTACTCTGCAGGGAGAGAGGAAAAACAAGGGTGATTGTCATAGAGTCCTCTAGGAAGGCTGTGCCGAAGACTGCATTTCAGCTGAGCACTGAAAGGTGAGAAGGAACCAGGATATGAAAAATAACTTTATTTTAAAATTTAAAATGTAAGAAATGGCATGTTTTTTTAAAAAAAAAAAATCTAACAGCACAAAACAGTATACGGGGAAAGTATCCTAATTCCCTGGGATACTGGTCTCCTAGTCTTATTGCCCTCCCCTTCACAAATTTTATGTGTCTCCTTCCAGTAGCATTTTTTATTTACCTCAGCATTTATGTGTCAGTATCTCTGTCTCTATTATCCTTCATTTAAAAACCAGTAATACCATATTACATACAACCTTCCGCACTTTCATTTTTTTCATTTAACATAATACCCTGGAAATTTTCCTGTACTAGCTTGTAAAGGTTTTTTCCATTCTTTTAACAGTTAAATGGTATTTCCCTGTGAAACTGCATTTTCACTTATGCCACCCATCTATTGCTGGTATTAGGTGGTTTCCTGAATGATTTCAACATTGATTTGCAGATGTGTGACACTATATATATTATATATATATGTCATACATCATATCATATATATGGTATCATATATATCAGATAAATATTGGAAATAATTACATTTATTAAACATATTAATTGGAGATATCTATATAGAGAGAGATAGATAGATACGTGAAATTCTTAGAAGCAGAATTGCTGGGTCAGAGAGGATGTGTGTTTTTCATTTTAATAGGCATTGACAATTTGCCCTACAAAAGGATTATTTATATTCCCCACTGATTTACAAAGGCACCTTTTACCTCCAATACTTATCAACAGTGTGTTTTTAAATGTTTTCATCTCTCTTGGCTATACCGATTGGTGAAAAAAATCTCACTTTTGTTTTCATTTGCATTTTATTGACTCTCAGTGACGCTGAACACCTTCAGCATGTCTAAAAAGCCTGTTGTATTTCTTGGTCTGTGAACTGCCTAGTCATGGAAATGTCAAGTTGAGAGGCCTGTTAGACGTCCAAGAGGAGATGTCAAGAAGGCAACCAGATATACAAGTTGGAGCTCTAAGGATCTTTCTGGGCTGGGGCTATAATTTGAAAGTCAGTATTACATAGATGGTATTTAAAACCATGGGAATGAAGGAACTCACCTAAAGAGAAAATGAACTAAGAGTGAGAAGAGGGCTGAGGATTAACCTAGGGGCACCTCAGCGTCTAGAAGGTGGGGGCAAGGGTGGTCAATGAGAGACTGAGAAGCAGAAACCAGAGAGAGGAGAGGGCAGGAAAGCAGAAACAAGGAGAAGAGATGCCTCAAGGGGGAACAAGGGGTCCCCTGAGAACACAAAGAAGAAAGATTCTCTTGCACCTGAGGAAATGGAGCTCATTAATAAGCTTGACCGAGAACAGTTTCCATGGTGTGGTGAGGAAGCCAGGTTGCACTTGGTTGAAGAAATAGAGACAGGACTTGGATACACTTGTGAGATATTTTGCCAAGATGGGAAATAGCAAAACAGGACTTAAATGGGGAAAGATGAGGGATCAGGGGATAGTTTTTGTTTTGGTTTGGTTTCTTGAGATGGGAGATACTGAAGTATGTGTGATTGCTGGTGAGAAGGATCCAGGACAGAGGGGGTTGTTGATGTGTGTAACTGGAAGGGTGGAGACTCGTAGAAGGAGAGAAGGTTCCGGATACAAGTGGAGGGTAGCCTATGGTGGGAGGAAGAACATGTCTTTCACTATATGCAGAAAGATGAAGGAGAGTGGGGCGCAGGTGTGGGCAAGTTTGTGGCAAATGAGAGAGTGTGAATCTGATCACTTCCAGTCCCTCCATAAAGAATGAGGCAGGGGTGTCAGCCCAGGGTGAGGGGAGAGGAAGTGACACAAAATTTGAGGAGGGAGGAGAAGGCATGAGACGAGCATCTTGCTGAGCAGGACAGGGACTTCACCAAGGACCCAGCATAGAGGTGCCAGGCAAGTTTCAATGCCCGTTGGAGCCCTGCCCTAGGCAGCTCTGCAACCGAGAAATAAGTCTAGCCCAGTAGTAGGAGCCTTTGTGTTGCCGGGAGTGGTTAGTTTTGATGTGTCTGATCTCGACACTGTTCCTGGAATTATTTATGTCTGAAATGATGAAAATTCCCTCCCCACATAAAAAGCGTTGGGGAAGTGGCCAAAATACCAGCCTGCCTCTCTGGGTCGTGCGGATTACTGCTGTCACGGGCATGTTTCGCGCCCCCATCCATCTTCAGCCCAGACTCCCCAGCTCATGCCTGTCAGGACGGGGCACTGACCCCTGCTGTGGCCGAGGTTCCAGGCTTTGGGCACCATGTGGGCCTGAACACAGCTTGTGAGCAAGTGCTTTTAATAAGCATCAAGTTCCAGAGCCTCTTTTTCTTTCCTGGCCTCCTTCTCAGCATCTCAAGACAGCCGACCTCCGGCTCCCACTGAGTGTGGGATATGGTTTCCTACCTAAGTACACACTTGCCACGGGATGGGGTATGTCCTGAGGCTGTGGGGGTCATGTACACGTGGGTTTTGTGTTACTGTGTTCTACATTGTCCAGATTCAGGATCCTCATTTTCTGGGAAATCCTACTCAACGAAAAGTCTGGGTGGAGGCTTGTCTCAGACCCCACCCCCCGCTGTCTTGAGCATTGCCACATGCTTCCTAGTCTTACTGCATCAGTCCACTCCTCTGTAAAGTGGGATGATAATATCTGCTCTCAATATCTACTGTGTGTGTTTTTTGGGGGGGGCATAGAAAATTCAAATTAAAGAATGAATGCAAATTTGCATTCCATCAAGAATGATGATGATTATGGGAGGCCAAGGCAGGCGGATCATGAGGTCAGGAGATCGAGATCATCCTGGCTAGCATGGTGAAACCCCGTCTCTACTAAAAATACAAAAAATTAGCCGGGCGTGGTGGCGGGTGCCTGTAGTCCCAGCTATTCAGGAGGCTGAACAAGGAGAATGGAGTGAACCCGGGAGGCGGAGCTTGCAGTGAGCCAAGATTGCGCCACTGCACTCCAACCTGGGCGACAGAGCGAAACTCCGTCTCAAAAAAAAAAAAAAGAATGATGATGATGATTATTATTATTATTTTTGAGACAGTCTCATTCTGTCACCAAGGCTCGAGTGCAGTGGCAAGATCATAGTTCACTGCAGTCTTAAGCTCCTGGGGTCAAGCAATTCTCCACCCCAGCCTCTCAAGTAGCTGGGACCACAGGCACACGCCATCATGCCCGGCTAACTTACTACAACTATTTTTTGTAGAGAGGGGGGTCTCATTATATTGCCCAGGCTGGTCTCAAACTCCTGGCCTCAAGTGATCCTCCCACCTTGTCCTCCCAAAGGGAGAGCCCAGGAGTTGAGACCAGCCTGGGCAACATGGAAGAATCCCATCTCTACAAAAAATATTAAAAAATTAGCCAGGCGTGGTGGTGCACGCCTGTAGTCCCAGCTACTTGGAGACTGAGGCAGGAGAATTGCTTGAACCCAGGAGGCAGAGGTTGCAGTGAGCCGAGATTGCACCACTGCACTCCAGCCTGGGTGACAGAGTGAGACTCCATCTCAAACAAAACAAAACAAAACAAAACAAAACAAAACAAAACAAAACAAAATGGAAAAACAGAGTATCTAATGCCGAGCCAGGCCCATCATAGGTGTTCAATAAACATTGGGGAATGAGTGAATAAACAGAAGTGTAAATTTTCCTGTTGGTAAGTCTATGTATGTAATAATAGCTATAATTAATCAGTACTTACTATGTGCTGGGCACTCTGCTGAGGAGTTTATAAAATCACATCATTTATTCCTCACTGGTAGTAAATGGTCCTGTTCCCAGTTTATAAATGACAAAATAGCAGCTCAGTGAGGTGGACTTGCTTACCCAGTGTCTCCTGCTATGTAAGTCCTGGAGATGGGATTCTAACCCAGCCCTTTCTGGTTCCAGAGGCTACATTCTTAACCACTAGAGTAGATACTGTGTGTGACAGCAGAGGCACCAACTTAGAAAGTGACACCAAGGTCCTGTGCTGAAGTCACGTGCTTCTCCCTGGGGTTGGAAGAGTTATTCCCATGAGTCAAAGGCTGGCTTGTGAGAGCATCAATATGCAGGGATTGAATGGGTAAATGAGCAGCTTTCTGTTCAGAGGAAGAGGAAAAGGAGTTGTGTGTGGACACACCGGGGGACATTGTGCTGGTGTGGACACCCGTCAGCCACGTAGGCTCAGCCACCGCATGCTCAGAGCTGCCCCAGGTCAACCAGGACGCTGAATGTGTTGGATTACAGAATGAATCAGGATAAGCCAAAAGAGTTAATTTCTTGGCCGGGCGTGGTGGCTCACACCTGTAATCTCAGCACTTTGGGAGGCCGAGGCAGGCGGATCACCTGAGGTCAGGAGTTTGAGACCAGCCTGGGCAACAGGTGAAACCCCGTCTCCACTAAAAATACAAAAATTAGCCAGGCGGGTGGTGCACACCTGTAATCCCAGCTACCTGGGAGGCTGAGGCAGGAGAATCGCTTGAACCCAGGAGGCAGAAGTTGCAGTGAGATGAGATCGCACCACTGCACTCCAGCCTGGGCAACAGCGAGACTCCATCTCCAAAAAAAAAAAAAAAAAAAAAAAAGATTAATTTCTTGCTGGCTCTCTAAATCAAGTAGATTTGGATTGAATAGGGCTTGTTGGCTTTTGTATCATTTCCTTCTGCATCTCGGTTGGAAACAGGATGTGGTATGGTAAGGGTGGTGTTTGCGTCTCCTCTCCTTTCGACTCTTGGCCTACTGTGGCCATTTGCTACCCAAAGTGGCCCGTCAGACCAGGAGATCCCTCACCAAGCTTTGAGGCAACGGACCCCACAGGCTGAGTGGTCTCGACTCCCACCCTGTGGTCTATTATCCAGAGGATGAAACAGTGGGAGCAGGCAGGGGACAGTGATGATCATTTGAGGACCTGCCTTCTTCAGCTCTCTTCTGGCCTTTAGAGAATAAAGGGCTTAACCTCAACCTCGTGAAGCCAGGGTGTTTACTCCAGAGAGAGCACAGGGAGCTGCGATCTGAACTTGGGTGTTGTGGCGGTGCAGTGGGGCTGGATTCAGGAGGAGACCGGACAGGCTTCTTCCACCCAGGAATGACGGCCCCACTCTGCCGGCGGGCACGCACTCTGTGTACTCTGCTGGCTGGCTGCTGTCTCGTTCTAATAAATTAAATCTGTTATATCATCGCTGTTATATTCCTGAGACAAGCACTTCCAAGGCAGATTAGAAAGGAACTTAAGGGGATTAAAAGCTTCTCTTAGTGAAAAAACAATGTTTCAGATGGGAAATCCATTTACCAATATGAATTTCAGCAGAAATGCATGTTTTCTTTAATGCATTGCTACTGCTCAAAGAAACTGGGATTTCCCCCCATGCTGGCTGTCCTCTGTTTTGCATAAGTTATAATGCAGATTCTGTTGAGCGTGGCAAACCTCTCAGGGAGATTGATGGCTTCCATAAAGTTGCACGAAAACATTTCTCCTTTGTCCACAAGGGAAAAGAAAAGTGTCTAATGGATTTAGAGTATTAAAAGAGTGTTGGCTTGTACTGCAAACCAGGGGAAGTCTAGGAGTAAATACCAGACACCAGAGGAAATAGATTAATTGGAAATGGAAACAGTCAATTCTCAGTTATCTGCATGTGGCTTATCTGCAATAAGTTAAAAAAAAATAAAAAGGAAAGAATCCCGGTGTTTCAGCTCCCCTGCCTGGCTGTCTATCACTGTGTGCTCAGGGAATTGAAAGCCATTTTAATAAGCTGGACCCAATATAATTTGGAATGTAATTCTGCTGCTACAGCTATATTTTTAAAAATCAAAGAAGGCAGTCCAAAGGATATGTAATTAATTTTTTTTCTATTATTCACAGATTGGGATGCATTAACTTAAGATCATGAACTAGTTCCCAAAAGCCAATGTGGAGCTCCTACTTAAGAGGGACTTAAAAGTTTGGGAAACTGTTGTCAGCCCCCAACACTCACTTGCAGGGGGTCAGAGAGACGATTTCTCCAGGAGGTGGGTGGTACCCAGAGATCGTCTGTCTAGATCCATTGTAAGTCAGAACCTGGGCAGAGAGAAAGGCCAGGTGCTGGCTGTTGGGTTTGGCCACTGTTGGTTTGTTTTAGGTGATTCTCAGGAATCCTAGGGGTGCTGTGTGCAAACCCTGCTTCCCACTGCGCTCTGTGGAGCTGGGTGTCTGTGAACATGGGTTCTTTGCCTTGGTCATGCTGTGGAAAACCCCTCCCTGACACTTCATATGACTGCTCAGAGTGGCGGGTACAGCTCTTTTGGTGACCAAGGAACAGAAGCCCACTTATGATGATTCAAGCCAGAGGAAGGTTTGTGGCAGAGATATGACTCTCATGGGACCCAAAGTAAAGGAGCAGAGATGGGCTAGAATGTCGTGGACTGAAGATGGCTCGCTTGCTTTCTACCTACCTTCCTTCCTTCCTTCCTTCCTTCTTTCCTCCCTCCCTCACTTCCTTCCTTCCTTCCTTCCTTCCACAGGAAAGTTCCCTTGTCCTCCTTGCAGGGTGTGTGATGGGGGTGTGGCTTGCTTCTTCAGTGCCCAGACCTCTAGGGGAGCATGTAGATAGGCAGGTTATAGGGCTCTGACCCCACGGCAGTGTCTGGGGTGAATATTTACAGCTGAAGCCCCAGTGGGCGTGCATTACAGGGTGATCTTTTACTTTAGCCATCTATAGGCAGCTTATAGTAGTCAGCTCAATTAGACCCCTGCCTTATCGCAAGGGCAGGGGCTTTCTGTAACCTGGGGCTTCTTGTCTTGGGGTACTGGAAGAATCAGATCACACGTGGGCTTGGAGAATTAGTGCCGGGTTTTATTGAGTGGAAGTAGCTCTCAGCAGATGGGGGAGCCAGAAGGGAGGTGGGTTTTTCCTGGAGTCAGGCCGCTCAGAGGCCTGGGCTCTCCTCCGACTGCCCCGGCCAAACTCTGAGTCCTTTCGCCAGTCAATGGCCTGCCAGTGTCTGCCGGTGTGCTCTTCCACAGGTGCACTCCTCTCCTCGTCCAGCCGCTTGTGTCTCTGCCTGTTAAGGTCTCAGAGTTTTTATAGGCACAAGATGGGGGCGTGGCAGGCCAGGGTGGTCTTGGGAAATGCAACATTTAGGCAGGAAAACAGAAATGCTTGTCCTCATCTAGGTTCGTGGGCACAGGCCCCGGGTGAAGTCCTAGCCAGGGACCACACCCTTCTCTACTCAGCACTTCTCTACCCCTCTTCCCTATCACTTCCTTCTTTCCCTCTTTTTCCCCATCCCTCCCTCCTCCTCCGTCCCTCCTCCTCCCTCCCTCTCTCCTTTCTTTCCTTCCTTCCTTCCTCTTTTTCTCCTCCTAGTTCCTCTCTGCCTTTCTCTTGCCTCCTTTTTTTTTTATTTTTTTGACTGAGGGAGGCCAGAACAGAGTCTCTCTAAGTTCCCCAGCCTCCGCTGCACATTTGCCTGCCCCAGCTTCTTTGGGAGGTGAGCATGAGCCCTCATGCCTGAAGCCAAGATGTTCCTTTCGCAAAGCTCCCCAGCCTTGGCTAAGGGGCCCCATATTTCACCACCTAAGAACTTCCATTTTGTCTGAACTGTGCTGCTCCCACATCTGGAAGAGGGCTTTGCCTCTTAAAAGGAGAGGCTGAACTCCTGGAGTTAACTCTCCTAATTCTCAGCTCTAATAAAGAACAATATTTGCCCACAGTTATTGGGTGCAAACTAGGTGCCAGGCCACTGCTTTAAGCGCTTTGCCCAGAACATCTTGTTAAAGACTCTTGGCAACTGTAAGAACAAGGTGCCATCACTGTCCCAATTCACAGCTGGGAAAACGAGGCTCCAAGAAGTTAAAGAATCTGACTAAGGTCACACAGCTAGCACACGGAAAAGCAAGATTGGAACCCAGGTCTGCTGGCTCTAGAGTCCACACTGTTAACTGTCTTATTATATGGTCTTCATGATCTTCTAACTGGAGTTCTTGTGCACGGCTTTACAGAAGGTTGTTTTTTTAAAAGAATCTTTCAGATTAAAAATGCCAGTCTACAGACCAAGAAGCCAGTTTTCTTCATTTATATGGATGGAGGTGAAAATAGTAGATTAAAAAATAAATATTGTTAGCTGGTGCCTGGGGATTCTGAATAGCATCTGTAGGATTTCTTACCTATGTTGCAGGGAATCCCTACCCCTTCTCACCGACACCATCACCCTCTCTGCCCTCCTCCCCTGGGCCACCGCATGTTTCAGGATCCTACTGGAAAACCTGGTGCTAAAATGTTGCTCAATTTTAATTACACTTTCAAGTGCCTCGCTGTCAGCTGTCCTTCTGAAATTGTTTTAATTGAAGTTCCATGAATCCTGGCGAGTTCAGATGGAGTTCATCTCTGAGCCCATCCTGATTTCATTAAAGATTTGATCTTTCTTTTTTCACCAATAAAACATTTATTATCGTTATCTGTTTTGTAACCATTTTCTTTCACCAAAGTAGGGGAGAAAATCAACCTCATTTTCATGCCAATAAAACTAAGGAATCATCTGTTGATTTTTCCGTATGCAATAACAGTAACATTTAAAAAAACTAATAATTAATTATTTTTCTTGTATATGAAGACAATCCTCATTCAAGAGGATTCTTTAAGCCTGCAGGTGAATATTTATTATTAAACTGCACACAGGGCTTAAGAAAGAATCCCCTTCCTAAACATAGGTGTTTTGTTTGTTTGTTTATTTTTTTTATTCTAGTTGAGGAGATGGCAGGGTTTTTTAACAGCTGAAGCAGAGATGGTTCTCAAACACTCTGCCCCCACCATCTCCACTACCCCCACCACCCTTACCACCCCCACTAAGAAGTCAATTATGTGAAAAATAAGTAAATTATGGGAAAAAAAAGTTACAGATGAAACAAATAATACAAAGGTAAAATGTTACCCAAAAGTAGTAGTTTGTTGACCCCAAGTGTTAATAATTAACAGTTAATTACTATTAAATCATCATTGCCCAGCCTTGGCTGGGATGACAATTTATGCTCAGGAGTCAGGTCTCAATTTGTGTTTGTGATTATCTGCTCTGGGACATTCTCAGCAAACTCGATACCTGTCTCCTGCTTGGTGGATTTGAGTCACAATGTTTTTGTTAAGATTTCAGCTGCAGTTCCTTCTAGGTCTTTGTTTCATGTATGTAATATACTTAAAATGCACTAAATGACAGTTTATAATATCATTATCTACAGTTAAAGATATTATAACTTCAAAAATGAAAAGAAAGTGTAGCCATATGTGGAAATGGTCTATTTTGTGCCCTTTTAACCCTCTTCTCTCACAGTTTCAATAGTTTCGACGGGACCAGACAGGCAACAGCGCAAAAATCATAGGTCTGCAAAATCATTTTGCTCTTTTAGCCCACAGTTGTCATGAAAGGAAACTGGGTTATTTAGACAGTAAATAACAACGAGGACTAATTTATTTTTCTTTTCTTTTTTCTTTTTCTGTTATTTTTGTACTGGGTTTCAATATGTTGTTACATGGTTTGATAATTCAAGGATGGTTCAGAAACCCACGTTACCCTGCCACCACCCCTCAACGCCCGCCGACCCAGCCCCCAATAACATGGGAGTTGATTTAAAACTTCACTCTGAACAGCCCTGGGGTTATTAGGAACAGTGTGGACCGAGTATGGATTAGGTTTAAAAGTAATAAAAAAGTAGACCTGTTGGTCAGGTGAAAAATTCACTATCAGATTCTTGAGTGTAGCGTTCCTTTTCATGTGCAAACGGCACTAAATGAGGCATTTAATTCAACAAATCCAAAGTTCTGATCCGCCAGAAATAGAGACTGGGTTAGTTCAATTTGTAACAAACGATCTCCGTATGATCAAAGTCCTGAGCGCTGATTTCAACATGCTGCTTAAATTAGTCTAACACCAAAGTCTTTGGCTCAGAGACAGTATTTGGAATGTCTTACCAGAGGAGAAATTCCTTCTCACACATGGTTCTAATATCATGCCATGCCAGCTTTGCTTTTTAATGGGCTGACAAGGAGGCGCAGTGCTAACTTTCTGACTCCAGAAAGTTCTTGTGCTGTCACCCACAAACCAGCTAGGATAATTTTTCCTTGGCTTCCTTATTAAAGACTGAATGAAGGGATTGTGAGGCTTTCTTAATGTCACTTGGTCTGTTTGCCATAAATTCAGGCGCTCATGATGAAAGCTGCACTTATATTTCGCTGGGAAATGGAATCAAGGAGAATGCACCCGGGTTCACAATAAATAACTATGCATGAGTTATTAAGTGAATTTCATATACCAGGGCCTTATTACATCAGCAGTTTAGATAATGGCTTCTGAAAAACTGCATCTACGGCTTTCGCGGCCAAAGCTTGCGGGGGTGGAGTAGGGTCTCCAGAGGGCGCCAAGGTGGACAGACAGAGCCAGCTAGGGCGAGAATGGAAAAGGTGGTATTTGAAAAATAATATAATATTTACATTTTTGCATGCTGTTTGCCTTTTCAGCTCAGCAGGGAGACTAGCAGGCCTGTTGGCCAACATGACATGCATCACTGCAGGCTTCCTGCCTGCGATTGTTTGTTTTTTTGCAGAAGGAAGACTTGGGGTTGTTTAGACTATGAGCCTAATTTTAGAGGATGATAATTATGTTGCTTCTAAACCACATATTTTCCAGAATTTGCTGCCCCATGAAAATAACTCGCATGTGTGTCCAGCCTGGCTGGCAGCCAGCCTGATGCCCAGGGCCTCAGTCTCTGTCATCCTGGGGTCCTCTCAGTGACTGGGACAGGGTAGCTTGGTGTGATGAAAAGGCCTTAGTTTTAGGAAACAAAAAAGCTAGGTTAGGGCTCCCACCCCACCATCCTTTTAGGTCTTGGGGAGGGTCACGTAACTTCTAGGGCAGTGCTTTTTAAAGGGTGTTGTTCTGCAGAACATCAGTGCTATGCAATGCTCTGCAGGATGCCAGGATCAAAAACGCTTGGGAATCTTTGCCGTTACACTCTCTTTTCTTCATGATTTGCCATGCACATAGATTCATCCTCCATGCTGTCTTTAGCCTAGGCTTAGCCTACCCATCCATCCTCCAGGTCTCTGATTCTCAAATACACTCTTTCATTATGGTATAAATCACAAATGTAGCTAAGGAACCAGTTACTTGAGAAGTAATTTGTGGATGTTGGTGTCCACTCAAGACTAACTCCATGAGATCAGGTATGATTATCTGTCTTGTGATGAATCCCTAACGCTCGGCACAATGTCTGCCATGTAGTAGATCAGGGTTGTCCAATCTTTTGGCTTCCCTGGGCCACATTGGAAGAAGAAGAATTGTCTTGGGCCACACATAAAATAGACTAACACTAATGATAGTTGTTGAGCTAAAAAAAAAAAAAGATTGCAACAAAAAATCTCACAGTGTTTTAAGAAAGTTTACAAATTTGTGTTGGGCCACATTCAAAGCCATCTCAGACTGCATGCAGCCCATGGGCCACGGGTTGGACAAACTTGTAGTAGTTGCTCGATAATGATTTGAGAAACCATTGACTTAAGACAAAGTTCCTAAACTTCAGTGAACATTCAAATAAACTGTGGAGGGGGGACTTATTCAAATGCAGGTTCTGATTCAACAGGTATGAACTGGGGGCTAAGAGTTTGCATTTCTAATATGCTCCAATGTGATGCTGATATTTTTTGCATTTTGAATAGCAAGGAGTTGAAGAGTTTAACTGTGATTAATCCTAAATATATCAAAATCTGTTTGCCTTTTTCTGGTGCAACACCTAGTAACATCTATGAGCTGAACCTCAGTTTATTCATTTGTAAAATGAACTAAAAGCTCTTCAAGGACACTTGCAGCTTAAAACATTATAGCCTTTGGGTGCATTGCTTTGAAATTGTTGCTGGGGCAGCTCTGGGATGAGGGGAGCTCCCTCACCACACATGATCTCATGAGGTACATGGGCAATTTCTGAAGTTTACTGGGGTCCTTGGGGATGTCCAAAAGGGTGGGCTCAGTCTGACTGAGCTTTTTCAGGCTCATCCAGGACTCTTAGGCAGCTAAGTTGTGGTCACAGCTGGGGAGCTCCTCCTTTTTAATTCTCTGAGCTTTGGTATGCAAGGTTGGGAACATGAAACATTTCATGTATTCTAAACTCAGAATGATTCAGATGCAGGGAGGTAGGGACAACATGAGTGGAGCTGGCCCAAAAAGAATGGCAAAGATAAGAAAAAATAATTTATTAAAAATACACAAAGCACTCTTAAAATTGAACCGTGAGAAAGCATAATGACTCAATTTAAAAATGAGCAAAAGGTTTGAACAAATACCTTACTAAAAAAAGAGATGCAGATGGCAAATAGGGGTAAGAAAGAATACTTGGCATCATGTGTCATTATGGAATTGCAAATTAAAATAACAATGAGACACCACTACACATCTATGAGGAGGAGTAAAATCCAAAAACTGATGATACCAACGGCTGGTTATGCAGCAACAGGAACTCTTATTCATTGCTGGTGGGAATGCAAATGGTGCAATCCCTTTGGAAGACATTTTGGTAGGTTTTTTTTTTTTTTTTTTCAAGACAATGTCTTGCTCTGTCACCCAGGCTGGAGTACAGTGGTACAAACATGGCTCACAGTAGCCTTTACCTCCTGGGCTCAAGCTATCCTCCTGCCTCAGCCTCAAGTGTAGCTGGAACCACAGGTGTGTGGCTAACCAATAAGCCTGGCTAACTTTTTTTGATTTTTTGTAGAGCTAGGATCTCCCTTTGTGGCCCAGGCTGGTTTTGAACTCCTGGCCCTAAGCAATTCTCCTGCCTTGGCCTCTCAAAGTACTGGGATTACAGGCATGAGTCACTGCACCTGGCCTGGTAGTTTCTTATGAAGCTAAACCTAGTCTGACTATATGATCCAGCAATTCAACCCCTAGGGATTTTCCCAACTGACTTGAAGACACAGCTACACAAAAACCTGCATGCGAATGTTTATAGTAGCTTTATTCATAATTACCGAAAACTGAAAGCAACCAATATGTCCTTCAATAGGTGAATGAATAAATTAATTGTGGTACGTTCATACCACAGTTTTATTGTTTTCAGTAATAAAAATAAATGAATTAGCAAGCTTCAAAAAGACAAGGCAAAATGAAAGAAGCCAATCTGAAAAAGCTACATATAGATTTCTTCTATATGACATTCTGGAAAAGGTAAAAATAATAGAGACCGTAAAAAGATCAGTGGTTGCCGGGGATTTATGGTGAGGCAGGGGGATGATTGATGAGATGAAGCACAGTAGATTTTTTAGGTGAGAGAAACTATTCTGTATGGCACTGTAATGATGAACATGATATTATGCATTTGTCAAAACCCACAGACCTTTACAGTGCAAAGAGTAAACCTTAATGTCTACAAATTAAAAAATAATAATTTAAGAGGTTGGGGAATCCCAAGATGGAGTGCCGAATGTGAAAAAGGAACCCAACTGTATTACAAATGTATAAACCAACTTCACTGAAATAGATGGGAGAATAAGATGCTGGCTTAAGTAACTGAAAATGAGTGGAGTCTGTAAGACAAGGGAAATGTACATAAGCACCGTACTGTAGTTGATACAGTTGTTTCCTACAAAGGGAGAGGTTAGCAATTTGGAAACTACTAGACATGTGCATTGGAGCTGAAGTACTAAGTAAACAATGGCAGAGGGTGGGAGCCAAGGTTTTCATGGTTGGAGTGGTTGGTTAAAATACCAACCACTGTTGGTTGGTTGGAGGGTCTGAGGTTAAAATAAAGCCATATAGTAATGGTTTAGAGTTAGAGATGTCACAGTGGACTCATGTTTAGTTTGATATGGATACACATTTACATGTAGACATTTTTATACATATGTGTGTATTTATAGGTTAATATACATTCCTATGTCTTGTTGCACTGCCAGCTGAAAGGACTTAGAAGTAGTGACACCCATATCTAGTTGTGATGTCCATGTCTAGTTCCCTAATCTTGGTTTCTAATACCATTCTCCAATAAATGGAATCAGGCTTTAGAGAAATGGGTGATTCTAGGACTCTAGGTCTGGGGCAACAAATCTGTAAGTTGGAAGCATCTTATAGTGCTAGAAAGTAAGAAAGTGCTAAAAGCAAGACAAAACCAAACACAAATCTAGCCATCAGACCAAACCCACAATGATGGGACTATGTCCGAGGGATACAGGAAAGAGCTGCCAATGGCCAGAGCTAGAGCAATTTGAGTAACAAAATAAAGTAGCATTGGGTTATAACCTAAAGAATAAAATAAATATTCACAAGTTCATGATGATATGAATAAATGGTTGAGTAAATAAATAAATGGGGAAGAATAGATCAATCTTCTGTGCAGAAGAATACAAAATAATTTACGTAGATATTCTGCACTTAAAGAAGTTGAGGATAATTCTCCACTCCTCAAGTGTGGGCTGTACATAGCAACTTTAAGAGCACTGTATGAAAAGGGAGAAAAGAAAGAATCACTTCACAATGGTACTTGAAGCCAGATGATCGAGGTTAGCATCAACAGTGGTAAGTCATGTTGGCAGCATGGACCCTTGATATGATGTGATGGGAATGACACTTTATCTCTGTCATCTTCCTCCCCCAAACACATCATCCCACTCTAACCAAGAGAAAAATATCAGACAAATTTCAGTTGAGGGACATTCTGCAAAAACCTGACCGGTCCTCTTCAAAACTGCCAAGATCATCAAAAACAAGGAAAGCCTGAGAAATGGTCACAGTTCAGAGAAGCCCAAGGAGACATGAGTACTAAATGTCATGTGGGGTCCTGGATGGGATCCTGGAACAGAAAAATGACATTAGGAAAAACTGAGAGAATCTGAATACAGTATGAACTTTAGTTAATAATACTATATTACTATTGGCTCATTAATTGTGACACTTGTCCCATATTAATGTTAAAGTGTTAATAATAGAGAAACTGCATATGGAATATGCAGGAATTCTCTACACTATCATTACCGGTAGAAGGTCTGGACCGCAAGTTGTCCAGGTTCTTGGCGTTTTAAACAAAGAATTGGACAAAATGCACAGCAAAGAAAGGAAAGAGTGAAGCAATGAAAGCAGAGATTTATTGAAAGTGAAAGTACACTCCACAGTGTGGGAGCGGGCTGAGCAGCAGCTAAAGGGCCCCAGATACAGAATCTTCTTGAATCCAAATACCCCCTAGAGGTTTCCCATTGGCCATGGTGCTTACCTCATGTAAGTGAAGTGGTGGTCTGCAATCAGTATCAGAATCAGTAGCCTCTAATCCTTTTGTTACTTAGGCATGGAAAGTTGGGGTTTCCTTTCAATTTAGTTCTAGGAAGTCAGCGTGAAATGGTATTAGGTTCCCTACCTCCAGACCGTATTCTCCTGCCTCACTATCTTCATGATAACTCTGCAAATCTAAAAAAAAAAAAAAGTTTACTTAAAAATGTGTCTTCGTCAAAGAACAAGACTTGCCAGTTGAAATAGACTTAGAAAGAATGACGTTAGCTTAACCTGAGCACCCAGTATGTATCAGGTGCTGTGCAAGATTCGCTTTGCCCTGAGATCTTTTTAAATCTTTACAAGAGCTTTATAGGAAATGTAGTGTAATCCATGTTTTTCAGATGTGGAAAGGAGTAGAAAGGTAGGAAAATTGTCCAAAGTCAGATAGCTATTATGGGAAGAATAGAATTCTACAAAGTCTAGAGTTTGAAATACACTTCTTGTGCATTTCCACCAAAATACTCAAGAAATTATTGTGAACTCTCTGGCCCCCACTCTCTTCACCAATTATGTGGTGGACTGGGATGGGAGGATATTTCTGTCCACTATCTGGAAGCATTAACAGTGACTTTCAGCTGAACACCCTTGAGGTGGAGGCCTCATGTTTGGACATAGGGTGGTGTAGAGTCCCTGGCATAAGTTGAATAGCCAACTTGGAGGTGATTCCCGGATACATAGGAAGGGCCTTTTTGTTTTGATTATTTTGCGTGGTCAGCACAAGGGCACTACATTAGCAGACTCTTTGGCAGGTGAGACCATTCAAGTGCTGCCTGCAGATAGGTGTGGCCAGAAAGTCTTAGGGCCCTCTTGCATGGCCACTGTTGCTCATGAGCTTTCACAAATTCTTTAATAGGGTGTTCAAGTCCTTCCTAATTAGAAACCCAAACTCTGCCTTTTGCTATCATTTCTCCCACCAGGTGCTGTGATCCTGCAGAGAGCGGGACTGCAATTATGCCTCTATGGGTGCCCTTCTATGCTATGTGTTTGTGCAGCTGCCTAGTAACGAATGTGTACTGCTGCTGATCCCAGTGCCCACACAGCCACTCTAGCCTTGCTGGCTTTTCACCAGTAGGAATATCTGCAGTCAGACTGGGTTTGTATCCCTGCTCTGCAGTTTACAGGTTGAGTGACATAGGGAAAGCTACGTAATCTCTTGGAACCTCAGTTTGCTCATCTGTAAGATGGAGCCAACAACAGTCTCAATCCCATAGGTTGTGGGAGAGTTAGATGACACAGTACATAAGTGCATGGCTAGAACAGGTGCTCAATAAATGCAGACATTACCATAATAGCATTATTATTCCTAAATAACTCTGCCTCCTCTATCTGACTCTCTCACCATTTTGAAGGGCCATTTCTTCTCATCTTCACTCAGCCAAATCCTTCCCTAAGTTGGACCTTTCTAACTTGTGTTCTCTGCTTTGTCTACACATCACAGGGGCTTCAGGGACTATGGATGACTCCACTGAGAATAAGGATAAGATGCTGGGCTCCAGAGGAGGCAAATGGTAAATGAGGTAAGGGGAGGAATGTTCCCCAGGAGCTTGAGGGAAGGATGGAGGTGTAGTTTTGCTGCTAAGGTGGAGAACTGCTTTCCCCCTGACTTCTAGCCCCAGAGGGGGCTGCCTTGGGCATGAGTCACAGCTGTCGGCGTGGGGACAGTTATTCCTATCATTGGCTGCTGGTATGGGTCCCTGTCTGTCAGCCTGTGTGCTTGCACTGTAGCACAGAGCCTAAAAGACTTCCTCCTGCTTGCATGGGGTGACACTCATGAAGCTTTCTCACCCCAGGTCTCTGTCTCATCTTCCCTGTCTTCACAGTGGTGGCTGCTGTCTGAGGGACAGAGGGTTACCCATATGGTATTCCTAGAATTCCACTAGAAGCAACCCTGGAGCCCACTTCTGAAAATGGGCAGGAGTTACTCGGAAGGGGCTGTCCCACTCCATTCAGGATGCTACACATCTGGGCCATGACCATATCTCTACTTCAAGCCCTGCGTTCTGACAACTGCATCATCTTTTGTGAAATAGCCATGACAGGATTTGCTAATTTTCCTTTTCAAAATGTTCTTCTTTAGGAAAAAAAAGTAACTTTAGGGTAATCACCTCAATGAGCGTATGAAAAAAAGTTTAATGGCCAATGAACCTAAAAATCTTGGCCCATTCCCCAGGTCACACAAACCTTTACTCCATGAAATTTACTCAGTGGGTCAGAAACCAGAAGGCCATGACAAGGAGATCTCTGTATTGCTTAACCTACTTGCTGTTGAAAATAGACACTTATGTTTCTGTGGCTCTCTTAATAATGATAATGGTAATGATGATAATAATAATAATAAATAATGTTAAAGAATAAATGCCTTCCTCCTTTTCTTTTTTAAATGGTGGGGGAGGATTCCAGAGCAACAGGTTTTTGAATGCCTTTCAATCCGCTCTCAGGAGAAAGAGTTCAGAGACACTCTCGGTCAGATAAAGCTTCTCCTCTCCTTAAAACAGCCACTCGGAAGGCATTTAAGTGTCTTTGTTCCCTCTACTCAAGTTGCAAGAGATACATGTCATTTCGAGAAGTATGGAACTAATTGAGGAATATGTCCAGCTCTTGTAGAGGTGAACAGGGCAGATAAATAAAAACTCCATTGCACATAAATCTTTGGTCCCAACATCAAAGAAGCAGGATCCTGCTAAGTGTATTTGTATAATGCAGTAATTTATGCAAAAAGCAGCTTTGATAAATGTCCCCTAATTTATTGTCATGTATCTCAAATCAAAGTCAAACATTTACAGCCTGAGCCTGAAGGAAGCCAGGCCTCAGAGAGCCAAAGGGGTTTGAAGTAGGTAAAGCTATGTTGGGCAAAAGGTTAAACAGGATCTGGTTTGAATGTTATGAACTTTCTACCAATATGGTGAAAGAAAGAGGGGACTAGTTTGGCTTCTAAAAACAAAGCGAGGCAGAACTCTCAATGTTTTTCTTCCCAGTACAGACATGATCCATGCACTGAAATGGTCTTAAGGGAACAGAACAAAGGGATGCCCTATATCGTTTTATAGATAATGGTAATAAGACAAACAATAAGAAGAGCCAACGTTTATTGGATTCTTAACTATAGGTCAAGCTTCACGCTAAGCATTTTGCATTTATTATCTTATCACTTCTCAACACAACCCAATGAAGGGATAATCTTAGCATCCTCATTTTATAGCTGGGGAAATTGAGGCAGCACATGGAATGTGGAGTCAGAAGACCCGGGAAGCTGTGTAGCCATGTGTTACTGAGCACTGAGCCATAGACCCTTTTCTTCTATTGGAGTTACTCATTTCTTTTATGATTATTTATTCCGAGGGTGGATATTGTTCCATAGGTGGATGGGAATCACTATGAGTAGGGAAATATACCCAAAGGTAAAGGCCTAGGTTTTATCATTAGGAACACCTTGATTCAAATTTCCTCTCTACCAATTTCCAGGTGTGTAATTCTGGGAGAATCCTTAACACCTCTAAGCCTTAAAATACCCATCTATTGAATGGATCAAATATTGCCTACTTACACGGTTGTCATAAGGATTAAATGAGACAGCACCTGCTAAACACATGGCAACCATTCAATCCATGGTTGTTGTCATTGCTGTGCAATTCTCTCTTACTACCAACACTTCCTCATTCTGGCCCCAGAGTATAAAAGAGCCTAGGGTTCCCCAAGCTAAACTCCAGGGAGCAGCTACAATCCTAAGATGCTAGGAAGATGAACCAGCTTTTGTAACATGGTCATTTTGATTTTTAGTCTGAAGGGCTCTGTTTGTCTACAATCCCTATAAAATCAACTTACAACACAAGTAGTGGCATAGCCATAGACAGCAGCTGTTTAAAAGATTTTACTGCCCATCTGGTGGCTTGGCGTGGCCTTCAGGCTGGTTCCAGGAGAAAGGGCTTTGCTCTCTGATTCCACCAGCTGGTAAGTGGTATTGCAAACCCACAGTCAGCTCTCAGCCTTCTGGTTAATAAAATTGAGAAAGGAACGAACTTGTAAAGGGCAGGATTTTTTCCCTACCCAGGGGTTTAGCCTCCGAGGCCTGGATCATGATGCCGGGCTGGTTTCTAGCCAAGGCGAGGCCCTTGGCAATTGCAGATCTCATGGTTTAGGGCATGTGTGGGTTGGGAGGAGGTTAAGGATGTGTTTGCTATCGACTTGTTGGCTTTGCTCAGTTCCGGTTGCCATGGACGGCGTGGGAGGGCAAGGCTATTCCCACCCAGATGGTGGCTGGGAAGTTTCACCACTTGACTTTTGAAACATGCTAACAAAGAACTTCCTGTCGGCCAGGCATGGTGGCTCACACCTGTAATCCCAGCACTTTGGGAGGCTGAGGTGGGTGGATCATGAGGTCAGGAGATGGAGACCATCCTGGCCAACATGGTGAAACCCCGTCTCTACTAAAAATACAAAAATTAGCTGGGCATGGTGGCACGTGCCTGTAGTCCCAGTTACTTGGGAGGCTGAGGCAGGAGAAGTGCTTGAACCTGGGAGGCAGAGGTTGCAGTGAGCTGAGATTGTGCCACTGCACTCCAGCCTGGGTGACAGAGTGAGACTCCATCTCAAAAACAAAAAAAAAAAAGAAAGAAAAAAGAACTTCCTCTCCATTTACACCCTCATCCAGAGTGGGAAAAGGTTCCCTGTCCTTTCACATGGAATCTGGGCCTTTATAGATTAGCCCAGAACATACGCTCTATAGTGTCCTCACCTTGAGAGAGCAGCAGAATTGAAAGAACCTAGTTCTTGAGCTTGAATCCCAGGAATACCACTTCCTGGTTTTGTAAACCTTGAGTCTGCTCCTTGACTGCTCAGGACTCTAGTTTCCTCATCTGTAAAATGGAAATGAATAATAACAGCCACCTCACAGGGTTGTTTAACACATGAGATGAGCAAGCTATTGTATTGCTCGGGGGAGAGTTGACATGATAAATGTTTCTTTCTTGGCCTCAGTTTCTATAAAGCACTGGATAGTCGTGCTGTGAGAATTCCTTGATACCATGGTTGTAAAGCACTTAACTCAAACACCAGAGTGTCCCCGCCAGTTTTCACGTCATCCCTCTATCCCACGGTAAACTGGCGAAACTGGTTACTTCAAACCAAAATCAAATACCAAAATCCACACTTCTTCTTCCCCAGTTCTGGCGATCTGGGTAAAAGTCCCATCTTAAAACCAGGGACTTTTTAAAGGCAGTTAAAGAAAGGGTGGTGATATGGTTTGGCTGTGTCCCCAGCCAAATCTCATCTTGAATTGTAACTCCCATAATCCCTACATGTCGTGGGAGGAATCTGGTGGGACATAATTGAATCATGAGGACAGGCTTTTCCAGTGCTGTTTTTATGACAGTGAATAAGTCTCACAAGATCTGATGGTTTTATAAAGGGCAGCTCCTCTGCACATGCTCTCTTGCCTGCCGCTATGTAAGACGTGCCTTTGCTTCTCCCTCGTCTTCTAGCATGATTGTGAGGCCTCCCCAGCCATGTGGAACTGTGAGTCCATTAAACCTCTTTTTCTCCACAAATTACCTAGTCTTGGGTATTTCTTCATAGCAGTATGAAAATGAACTAATAGAGGTGGCCAGTTCTTTCTTGAAGAGGGATCCAGGCATCACACCTCCATTTTGACCCTCTCCTGGTGGAGAGGATGTAATACTTTATTAAGGGCATTGGATAAGAGTCCCTGGGGTCTCTGTTAGAAGTCAGATGTGCCCTTTGGCACATCTGGCTGGAATTCTGCCAGTTCCTGGGAAGTTGCCATTGAGCACCAGCTACCATTGTCCACAGAGTCGCCATGCCAGACTTCCAAAGGGAACAGAGAGAGGACTTCCTTCTCTTTGCTAGTGGTCATGGGAGGGTCCCAGCCGAAAGGAGAGGACAGATCCCTCCCAGCAAGTGCACCAGGGCTCAAAGAATCCTTCAAAGCCACACAAAAGCAAGGGCCAGCGAAATCTGGGTATCAGCTCCCACCCTACAAGCAGCCCACAAAGCCCCATTTCGATCTCAATCTGTACCAGTGTTCCCTCAGTCTTTCTGGCTCCCAATTCCACCTCCAAATAGATCCCAGAAAATTGCCACCACTGGGCCCTCTGCCAAGGTTTGAAGGAATATGTATCATGTCCTGGGGGCCAGCACGGGGAAATGAGCCACTCCATTTCCAGTTGCACGTCATGTACTGATAGCCACCGTATGTGGATTTCGCCGACGATCTTCATGTTTGTGTCTCCACTTGCCTCTGGGCAGTGAGCAGACCAGTCTAATTAGAAGAAGTGGAAGAGTGTTTGTTTTTTTGCATTGTTTTCTTCCTTTCTTTTTTTGCTTTTGGTTACACTCTTAAGTTCTCTCAGCTGCTTGGAAAGCTTCCTTTGTCTAAACTATACCATGCTTTTGTGCAAATTAGAAAATGATGCCCCCCTCCAGGCAGGCACATAGCTTCTCAAGCAGACAGTGGTGTCCTTTCTCCTGGCAGGTGCCTCCCTGTAATAAGTACACCGCATGGTAACTGCAGCACAGGCTGGATTTTAGTCCTTGCTCATCCCTCAGAAGGGCCTTTTGCAGTGTGTGACCTACACATCTGTCTGTGGCTGCCCTGTTCCTGGGCTCCCCTCCTCCTCTGCCATCCCAGTGGTTTCAAAGCTGTGGCTTTCTCGCTCATTACCCTTCTGAAAGCTCTTCATAATGTGACTATACTCACAAGTAATACCCTGCAAGGGGTCCTGGAGATGGGAAGAGTCCCACAGAGGGGTTTGGGAGCAGGAATGGGACCCACTTGGAACCAGTATTCTGGAGTATCTGGAAGGTGGGCTAAGAGGAAGAAGAGGTGCAGGAGAAAGTGCGGCCTGAACAGTGTCTGCTGAGGCTGGCTGCATGGTGTGATCCCCAGGCCTTGGCCATCTCAAAATAACTCCTCTAGCTGTCTACTATGGCTTTCCAGGTGGGGCTGGCTTCATGGGAGGGAGACCTGTGCGGTTGCATGGAAGGGTCCTGCTCTTGGTCTAATGCTTTGCTGTCATTGTCTTGAAATTTAGAATACTTTTGAAGAAGGGGCCCTGCATTTTCATTTTGCACTGGGCTCTGCCAATTATGTAGCTGGTCCTGTTCTCGGTTCTTGTCAGCCTTTTTGGGGAGTTGTTTTCATGTAAGTGTATTTGTTACCTATGCCTGCATACAACATGTCTTTGTGGTGCACTTACTGTGTGGCAGGTGCTTGAGATACAGCAATGAGAAAAGCAAGGAAGGTCCTGGCTCTTAGGAAGCTCATAGGCTGTAGGTGCACAAGGGAAAAAGAATCAATATCAAATGGGCAAATGGGACAGTGTCAGAGGCTGAGGAGTCAAGAAGGATGAAGAGCGGAATAACCTGGTGGAAAGGGCTTAGAGTGCGGCTCCTTTGGATGAGGCCATCGGAGCAGGCCTCTTTGAGAAATGACATTTGAGCTGACATCCCAATGATGAAATAAGAACCAGCCATGCCCTAGTGGGAGGCAGGGGAAGTGGGACCAACATCCCAAATGGAAGTAACAGTGAGTGCTAAGGCCCTAAGGTGGGACAGATCTCTGCTGCTTGGGGGCTGAAGGCACAGAAATGGGTTTGGATTTTAAATACAAGGGAACAGTAGTAAGTAAACAGCGCTAGTAAGAGCAGTAAGAACTACCTTTTGTTAAGTGGTTACTCTGTTCCAGGCATTCCACAAACATTCATGCTTCTGATCAGCCATGTAAGATGTAAGATATGTATTATACCCATTTTCCAAATGAGAAAACTGATATCCAATGGCCCAAAGTCAACCAGCCCGTGCATAAAAGACCTGTGATTAGAACGCAGATCTATCTGGTTCCAACGACACTGCTCACTCCTCTACATGGCAGTCTTGGTCCCACGTTGTAACCTGGCTGCCTGAGGGTGGGGCTCTCCACTGGGGTGATGGCTCCCTCCCTCAATGTCTTATGTCCCATTTTGGGCTAAGGGACTTGTGAACACCAGCCCTGGAGTTGATAGATGAAGGCAGTCTTTCGTCATGTTCACTGGTGATTGTGATGAAATTTTATCCCATGATCACTTAAACAAAGCCAGCTGGAAGTAGCTGTTGAGGAGACACAAACAAGAATTTGGTCCAAGATATCTTTGTTTAACACCATATTTTGGCTGTGCCCAGCTTCAAGTCCAGGAGAAAGGGAGAGACCAAAACATTAATTAGTTGTGATGGGAACTCTGCGTTTAAATGCGTGCCTTCCTTTAGCCCAGTGGTTTAGAAATGGTAAGTTGACTTGAATTTTATGGAAAAGCTCCGAAACCTCTTGATCTATGTATCTATGTTCCTGCCTCAACTGAATTTTAGAACCAACGTGGGCAGGATGTGATTCTAAGCACTGCTGCAGGTGCAAACACAGATGCCTTCAAAGGCCTTTAATCTGGTAGAAGGGGCTAGATGGGGTGGGATGGGGTGAGTGTGTAAGGCAGAATGCTAGTGCCATAAGGTGTGTAAAAGACAAAGCATGGAGGTTTTAGGGAAGAAAGAGTTGAATCCACAGTGGAATTCATTCATACATGCAATATACATATATATATGTATATATATATATATATATATTCATCTGTGTATATCTATATACCTATATATACACTGAGTGCCTACTGTATGACTGGCACTGGGAATTCAACAAAATGGTCAAGGTCAAGGATCCCTGTCCTCACAGATCTCACGTTTCAGAAAGTGAAAAAGACAATAAATAAGTAAACAGATGAATAACCACCATCATTTCAGACTGGGAAGGAAACAAGAAAGGTGACAGGATGTGACTAGGATGTGGTGGGGAGAAGGTAACTTTGGACTGGGTCAGTAGAGAGGGTCTCCTGACTGGTGACCTTCAAGCTGAGACTCAAAACATGAGCAAAATAAAAGAGAAATGGCTTCACAAAGGAAGCAGCCATCACAAGTTGAGGAATCCCAAATAATATTTGTCATTGTTTTTATATGAGTTTTTGGTTTATTTGTGTAATGCTTTGATGTTTGAGAATACATTCTCATAACAATTTCTCAGAATTAGAGTGGTACCCAAACCAAGCATGGTGCGTAAGTAGAAGTGGTGTGTGGTTCACCTTATTTCTTTGGCAACACTGACTGCAACATAGCTATTAATATCAAAGTGCTGGTTTTGACGCTGCTGTGGCTTCACTGTGTGACCTCAGGTAAATCACTTAACTTCTCTGGGCTACTACTCCTCTGAAAAAGGGCCAGGCAAAACCTAAAGATCTCAAACTTTAAAGATCAAGGATTCCACGATCTAATAGATCAAAACAAAACCTCCTGATGGGTCACTGGGAACACATGGATTCCCCCACTTTGGCAGAAAATTACATTACCAGGTTCTGACCTGGGATCACAGCAAAGGTTGTGAGCTAGGGGTGAGCTCTCAGCCTTGATCCCCAGCTTGGGCTGCCCATGAGCTCTGGGGACATGTCCTGGCCAGCACCCACATGTGTCTTGTATTAGTGTTATTTTCTTAATGGCAGCAGCCCTGAAACAGACCTATTTTACTATTGAGTTACTCAGCTTAGTCTTTGTATCACTTACACATAAATACCGGCTCTGGCTGATGAGTCCACTGTTTTGTTTTTACTTTCTCTGCCTCCTCCTTCCTCACACAGGTGTGTGCAGCAGTGATCAAAAATAAAGTAGATCAGTCATCTTGCTGCTTCTAAACAAACCAAGACATGTTTTTGAAATTTTGCTTTAAGACAGAAGAAAGGAAGGAAGGAAGGAAGAAGGAAGGAAGGAAGGAAGGAAGGAAGGAAGGAAGGAAGGAAGGAAGGAAGGAAAGCAGGAAAGCAGGAAAGCAAGAAGGCACACTTGTTGTGTGCCTTCAGTAATCTATTCTCTTGTCCACGTGGGATTCATGAAGAAAAACAGAATAGAGGGTGGTGTTTTGGACGAGGGCGGACAAAAACAAGGAAAATGAAAGAGCAGAGGGAACAGCTGCCTTTCTTTAACGGCTGCTTGGTCTGCAGCTGGAGTTCAGATTGATCCTTAATTTCAGCTAAATTATGCCCTTGGCAAGCACCCCTCCTGGAGACCTGTGACAGTGGCCTACACTGCCCTGCAGGATGGAAACGACCACTTTGGCTTTTTGTGGGAAGAGAGTATTCATTATTAAAACCAGCTTCTTGAAATAGCTTATCATACTTGAGGATAACAGGAAAATGGACACCACTTGAAAGCCTCTCCTAAGTGCCTTGCCTCAGTTTCCCAAATTTTCTTTCCTGCATGCTATTTCTACTGTGGGTTCCTTAGCTCACACCCTTCCCCCTCCCACCGGCCTCCTTACTTAGAAACACATTGTCCTAGGTGACCCTACGTTAGGGTTTCTCTCAGATTGTGTTTGTAGAGCTCCAAGTCAACTGTCACTGTGAAGCAGAAGAGTGCCCTAGCTAATTGATGAGTTCAGCAGACCATGCCAAATATATTGACCCTTGTTTTAAAATTTTGCCAGTTTTTGACAGAAAATACTCTGTACATCACCATCATACCACTCCCAAAGGCCAGTTGAACAGCCCAAGTCAATGGTTTCTTGTTTTTCTTTCTAAACTTACTGTATTTTCAGTTTTCAAATGATAACATGTTCACATAGCTCAATAATTCAACAATATAAAGTATTAAGTGAGAAGCCTCACTCCAGTTCCCTGCCCAATTATCACATACCCTGCACAGTTCCTTCATGTAAATATAAATACAAACGCATGACCTTGCATCTTCCCTTTGTTTCACTAAGGCAGCAGCTTACACAAGCTATTCACCTTCTGCCACGGCTTTGGAAGGAGGGCCCTTGTTTGAAGCTGTATCTACAAGGCTGCCAATGTTATTTCTAGGGTCTAATGACATCGTAGAAAAAGATTTTGAAAAATGATCAAGAAAGCCACACACACTCAGGAGAAGGAGGTAGAGGGTGGCTCCACACTTTGTTTGGGGAATTTTAAAAATGGAATACTTATATGTCAGAAAAAAAGGAAAGAAAGAAAGAAAAGAAAGTTCTTGAATCACAGCAATTCAAACTTAGATGGGCCTTTAGACCCAAATCAATGTTATATTAAGCAATCTCAGACAGTGATCATGAAATTTGAGAAAAAACCAATTAGGAGGTAAGGATAAAGTATTTTTTTCATTAATTTTGTTTTTGAGAGAAAGAGAGGGGAGACAGAGGGAGGGGGGGTGAAAGAGAGAGAGAGGGAGAATGAGAAAGTGGTAGATCCAGGCTTTGCCCACATAAAGAGAGGCCTGTTTGGTGAAGTTGAGCAGCTTGTTGATTTCTTTGATGTTTCTGTATAGAAATAACCACTGTTTCTATCTGAGACTGAATAGAGGAATGATGGAAGATGCAGTCATGTGCCATGCCCAGTGTCACAGTCCTTGAGATGGAAAGCCATGTGTCCATCCACATGTATTAGTCTGTTCTCATATTGCTATAAATAAATACCCGAGACTGAGTAGTTTATAAAGAAAGGAGGTTTAATTGACTCACAGTTCCGCATGGCTGGGGAGGCCTCAGGAATCTTACAATCATGGCAGAAGGGGAAGCAGGCACGTCTTACATGGCAGCAGGAGAGAGTGAGAGAGAGGAAACTGCAACCTATAAAACCATCAGATCTCGTGAGAACTTACTCACTATCAGGAGAACAGCATGGGGGCAACCACTCTCATGATCCAATCACCTCCCCTCAGGTCCCCTCCTTGACACGTGGGGATTATAATTCAAGATGAGATTTGGGTGGGGACACAGAGCCAAACCATATCACACAACTGTGTATAAAGTGGAGCAGGTTTAACTTAAGGATCCAGGAGTCTTCAGTGTGTATAAGTGCATGCGTACACTCCCCTAGACCCTTACCTGCATACAAGCACTCACAGGGCTGAACACCCAGCCCCAAGCATCAGGACACACAGGCATGGCCAGCCAGGGTACAAGTGATCCACCAGTGAGAACCTGAATACCTTCATGCCAGCTCAGAAGAGATGCTCCTTCTCTTTCTGTAAGGGTGGCATCCCAAATTACAGCTTTCCTCTGCTGAAGAAACTTGCTGTTTATTATGCTACTAAAGAAAAAATTGGAGAACTATGTAGTAGAAAGTTCGGGTGAATTACTAACAAGATATTTACAGACAACCTCTTGCTCCTGCAGATTCTCCTGTTCGTTTAAGAGCCATAAACTCTGAGAGAGGGAACTAACTATCGGCTTACTCCAAAATGAAAGAGTATCTCTAACAAAAAAATGAAGGCGATAGAGCCAACTTCTTTATAGGATGAACAGAACAGTGGGGCAGTTTTTTAAAATGTGATGTTCCAGATCAAGAACATTTGGGCCTGTTAATTACTTGAATGCACCTCTCTTTGTCGTCTGAGTTTCCTTGCAGCTGTTTTTGTTTTCTGATGTAGTTTGACATCCCTGGGGTTTTCTGTCCTGGGATTTGACGTGGAGAAAGATCCTCTCAGCATCGGGCTGCTTACCCAGTGTTTATTGTGTGCACAGATGAACCCCAGCAGCAGGCGTCCTGGCCACATGGTATTGGCAATGTGTTTCTAATGAGCACGGTGTTTCCGAGCTCTGGTTTTCATATGTTAGAGAGTGGAAAAGACCTCAGAGCTCTGTGCTCCATGGGAACTTGTGACCCAAACTCAGGGCAAAGCAGTAACCTATTTTGGGGGTGATAAATGCTACAAGTTAAGTTCCGCTAACTGGCCTCTTAATATGGATGGAGACTGCTTTTTAATTCTCTCTTTCTCAGAAAAATCAATGGAAAAAGAGTTTCTTTTTGCCTACCCATTGGTTGTCTCTCAAATTCCATAATCACTTTCTGAGATTGCTTAATACAACATTGATTTGAATTGTTCAATTGGCAATTTGGAGTTATATGACTGGGAAGTGTAGAATATTTTCAACCTCATGTTTCATGTTATATTAGTCGAAAACATATTTTTAAGATGTGTATTATTAATGATACAATAAAATCATCATTAATGGATGGGGTTGATAGATGTGGTTTATCTAACATTAAGCAGAAATTGACATCTTGAGGGTAGTATCAAGATTCTGTGATCCCAGAAACTGATATTGAACAAGCAGGGGCCAGGAGCAATCCACTATTGATTAGATGGTGCAAGTAATTATATTTACCGAGCCGTTTTATTGGGTGGGGCAGAAGGTGAGGTGGCTCTTCTTTAGAGTGGAGAGAGAGCAATCAACAAAGATGTTGACAGCAAGAGCCCCAGAGCCAGTGTGATTTTCTCCGGCTTTCCTCTGGCTTTTCCCTGGTCCTAATCATTATTTAGAACTGCAGCTTATGCTGGAAGGGTCCCAGTGGCTTCCATGGTTCAAACACTTGTATTTCCCAGCAATTTCCTGGTATGCCTCTGGTAGGGCTAAACCTTGCATTTTATTCACTCCTTGCCTCCACTCTCCTCCATACTCTTATTATTGCCATCACCACCATCACCACTACCACTGTGACCACCATTACCAACACCTGCAGCTCCAGCAGCATTAACATGACCACTACCACCATCGGGAATCATGGCACCACCATCACCACTGCTATAAGACCACCATTGCCCCTACCATCACCATGGCCATCACTGCCACCAACCTTACCAATGATGCCAACATCAACGCAGATATCATTAACCACTACCTCCACCACTGCTATTACCAATACTACACCATTGCTTCCACTAGCACCACTAGTATCGCCACATCCACAACCACCACCATTGCCACCACCATTTATCACCATCATCACCACTAATACCAATGGCATTCACACTACCACCACCACCACCACCACCACCCTGCAACCAGTGAGGAAGAAGTAGGCTTTGGGGCTTGACAGTCATGGGTTTGAGCTACTGCACTGTCCTAGAGTCCTCCTCATTGGTTAATTACCACCTGACTCAGAGGATGGTGGTGAGTTTTGAATGAGTTAAAGCTGTAAAGTAGCACACAGCAGACATTCAGTATATAAAAGGCATTGTACTATGTCTTTGATGAAATATTATGAATTCTTAGCTTTTTTAAGATGCTCCTTTCCTACTTCAAGGGAGGTTATGGGCTTTGACCTTCCCTCATTCTCTTCCATCTTCCCTCCCTTCCTTATTTTCTCTAGATTCTTTAGTCCTATGGCTAAGATGTTTGTAAAAATCTTTCATTCATCAGAAATACCATTATCCCAACTAGATGATGAGTTCTTCGAGGCAAGATTCATGTCTACCCTACCAGCATACCCTCACCACAGTGCCTAGTACCTGGTAGGGGGCTTAATACATGTGCTTTGATTAAATAGTCATGTGTGTGTGTGTTTATGTGTGTATATAAATGAGGCTTTTACATATATTGGGCCTGAAGGCAGATTTTATTTTTTTCCTATTCAAAGTTAATTCCACAAATGACAAATGCTCAAAAACATGCATAGAAAGAATTTTAGCACAACACTGTGTATAATAACCACAAAAAAGGGAAATAAGGTAAATGCCCATCAAAATCAGGAATTGGTTAAATGCATTTCTGTTCATCCGTATAACTACGTACTTTCCGGGTATTTTGAAAGGTAAGCTAAAAATATATTTATTGATAAGAAAATTGTTTGCAATATGTTATTAAATGTAAAATGAAGTTACAAAAACAGCAATATTGTAGGGACATTTTTTTTCCTGTTTTGATGGGAAATGCATCGGTGAACAGAGGGGTCTATAGACAAATAGCACAGAAACAGTCTTGGGGGACACAGACCAATTCAATAGCATGTTAATCTCTGGTAGGGGCAAGGTGGGATTACAAGCAGTTTTCTTCTTTACATTTTTCCGTTCTCCTATGGATTAATTTTGCCAATGAACAATCATTAGTTTAGCAATCACCAGGTAAAGAACTAATGCTAGAGTAATTAGGGCTTGACGTCGTCCCATTATTCAGATTCTAGGTCTGACTTCTTTGCCACAATCACACATATTCCCAACCTCAGCAGAAATGCGGTGGTATGCTCTGGGGGTTTCCAAGGAAATTCAAAGGGAAAGAAAGTGCCAGGTGGTCACAGGACTTGGGACTTCCCAGACAGGAGTAGTAGGAGGCATCAGAATTGTTTGCCCTTGCTGGGAATCGCTTGCTGGCTGTCAGAGACCCCCCCAACATGGAGTTCTAGCTGAGAGGCTGAGTCTGCCACTTGTGAAGTATGTCATTTAAGCTCTCTTAGCACTTCCAACACTTTAAGAAAACAGATGCCAGAATCCTAAGACAAGAACAGGAAATGTCTTCCCATAGTCTATCACCACCATGTGTGCCAAAAGGCGTCCTCCTCACCTTGGCCTCAGCCGTTTCCTCCTTCCCCACTGACCCCTGAGGCCTGGAGCGAAACATGTTTTTTGGACAAGCTCTTAGCTTCAGGTTGTATGAGAAAAATTGTCATGCTCCTACATTTTTTTTTTTTTGGAGATGGAGTCTCACTCTGTCACCCAGGCTGGAGTGCAATGGCACAATCTCTGCCCACTGCGACCTCTGCCTCCCGGGTTCAAGTGATTCTCCTGCTTCAGGAGACCCACCTGGCCAACATAGTGAAATCCTGTCTCTACTAAAAATACAAAAAAAAAAAAAATTAGCTGGCGTGGTGGCACTCACCACCACACCCGGCTAATGTTTTTTGTATTTTTAGTAGAAACGGGGTTTCACCATGTTGGCCAAGGTGGTCTCAAACTCCTGACCCCTGCCTGCCTCGTTCTCCCACAGTGCTGGCATTACAGGCATAAGCCACGTTGCTCAGTCCATGCTCCCACATTTTAATAGTCCGTGTGCTCTATTTGATGAATAGAGAGGTTTCCGCACCATAGGTTGAATTCGTTTGATTCATCAGAACATTCGCGTTTAACCCGCTATGTGGTAGGCACTGTAGTAGGGGTTGAAGGATATAGAATTTTATTCATTCATTCATTCATTCATTCATTCAACAAACATGGATCAGGCACTTTCACGAGCCAGGCTCTATGCTGGGAATACAAACAAGGACAAGGAGATCCCAAAGGAGGAGACAGACTCACGAATAGATCATCTCATTACAATAACCTTTCTCCCCGACATGTAGGAGGGGATCTAGTAAAAGTGACCAGTTGACTTTAGGGATAAGAAGTGGGTTCCTTGGTGCGGGACTGCCCTAGCCTCCATGGTGGCTTTGTGTTGATTAGAAAATGTTCCCAGTCTCAAGATATTTTAGTTCCATCTGTCAGAAAAGTGTCTATACTGATTTTTTTTTTTTTGAGACTGAGTCTTGTTCTGTCACCCAGGTTGGAGTGCAGTGGCCCGATCTCGGCTCACTGCAACCTCCACCTCCTGGGTTCAAGCGATTCTCCTGCCTCAGCCTCCCAAGTAACTGGGACTACAGGCGCATTCCTCCACGCCCGGCTAATTTTTTGAATTTTTAGTAAAAGCAGTTTTCACCATGTTGGCCAGGCTGGTTTCAAACTCCTGACCTCAAGTGGTCTGCCCGCCTCGGCCTCCCAAAGTGCTGGGATTATGGGTGTGAGCCACCGTGCCCAGCTGATTTTATTAAAACACATTATTGTCATTGTCCAGAAAGTTGTCATAATAAATATAGAAATCTACAAAAGCTATGATGTGAATGGCACCCCTTAAATATGGCCTCGTGTGCAGTGCACAACCTGCACAGCTGGACATATGACGGCTCTGTCTGGGTGGACCCAGGGGCCCAGATTGGAGGTGGGAGCATGTCCTGGCCTGGTTGAAAGTCAGGACTGACCTTGCTCCATGTGCCTTTCCCTCCGCATATGAACTCATGTCAAACGGTTTCTTGTGAAGATACTCTTGGTTTTACCTCTGTCCTGAAGCCTGATCTAACTAATCTAAACAGATTGCATTGATGAATGTACAGTCTTTCATTTCGTGGCTCAAATAGACTATGTGAGCCCATGGCTGGCATACTAGCCTCAAGAGACAGAATTGGAAGGGGGGTCCTGGAAAGGGGATTATTATCAAGTTCATGAAGGTGACAGATATTAGAGGAAGCAAGGAATGGATGAGGAGAGAGTAACAATTCAGCTACTTCCGACCCAAGGAGAAAATCAAAGACATCTAGCTCTTAACAGGTCCACAATTTATGGCCTCCCCAAGCTAATCTAGAAATTACCTTGGCATTGATTAACCCTGACTTATGCAGTCAGTAAATCTCCATTGGGCCCCCCAAAAGGTCCTGGGTTGAAAGGCACCTGCCAGGAAGAATGGGGGTGTGATTTAAGCCTTTGGGGGATGTGGCAATGAACAGAAGGCCCTCCTTTCTGGCAGGCCTGCCGTCTTTCCTCCTGGAGACCCAAACCTTTACCCCACTTCCAGTGGGGCCTGGGAAGGAAATGTTCCCCCTTTCTGGGGCAGGGAAGTGTCACACTGAAAACATGTCCTCTCTGAGTTGCCCCTGATGGGAAGGGCAACTCAGATAAAGGAAACAGATACATATCTGTTGTTGGGAAGCTTTGTTTCCACACATGATATATGGTTCCGGAGGAGGAGTTAGAAAACAAATTATTGTGTCTCTTCACCACCGACAGGTCTTTAGTGGTACCGACCACAGAGAAGAGATGCCAGAGATTAGCAGTTACCTCACAATAGGTCCGCAGTACAGGAAAAGTGTCTTAAGTTTATCTATTGTTAAGTGATATAATTTATCATCGCCAAGGGTTAAGGAGCAATTCCAGTCCTTTCCTACTTCAGGAACAGAGATTTATAAGATGATGCCCAAATTTAGACATTGAGGCACTGCTGGCAGAAACGTCCCCAAAGGCTGATGGCTTGTGTGTGCGTTTGAAGTCAAGTCATTCACAGAGCTAATTTGAGGCTCTCCTCGGAAACTATATTTGCTTTCTGAGTGCATGGTGAGTTTTCATTTGGGCCCTGACCAGCTGACAGCTATGCAAGTTTGTAGATACCAGTAATTGAATATAGATAACCTTGATGGTTGACCTCGTCAGAGCCAGGCCTGCCTGTTCCCCATTGTTTCTGGTTTTGCCAGTAGATACTAAACTGCTGCTGGATGAATTTATATATTAAGAATTCGCTGCAGTGAGAATTGCTTATCGTTCCCTGGTCTATCCTGTAAGCTTCTATTT
The DNA here is from genome assembly GCF_000001405.40 of Homo sapiens. Taxonomy (NCBI): domain Eukaryota; kingdom Metazoa; phylum Chordata; class Mammalia; order Primates; family Hominidae; genus Homo; species Homo sapiens. The sequence continues at coordinate 54,483,564 of NC_000016.10, forward strand.
ACTTGACGTAGTGAGCTGGGAATAAAAGCCATGATTTGACTGTTCACTATTAGTGGCAAGGGGCGGTCTGTTGGAAAAGCTCTATTAATTTCTAAAAACAAAGGAGGCAGAGAGATCATGGTTTTGCTTTATCCAAATCGCAAAGAAAGGTTCTTATCTCCCAAAGCTGCCTGTGGCTGTCCGAAATTGGTTCCCAGCCATCTTTTTAGTGTTCAATTTAGCTTAAAAGCAGAGTTTGAATCAAACACTGTACTGTCACCCATGTGTAGCACTTGTGTTTTAAGGAAAGCATTTGGAAGAGGTTCAGAATTTATGTTTAATTCAGAGAGATGCTTTAAGAAGTCTCTAAGTGGGAAAGGTGACCACGATCCCCCTGGAGAGGGGAGAGCAGGTGACAGGGCCACATTCAGAGTGGGGTCCAAGCGAGGTGGAGTGTTAAGCTACTTGGATATCTAGGCATACGTTCACCAGCAGAATATTAACTGAGGGAATCTCTCCAAAAATGGCTCTGTAGCAATCTCTACTTTCTCCTTTATATCCTTCTGAGTTGTTGAAATGTCAACAGTGAGCACAGATCACTTTTGCAATCAAAAAAAAAAATAGATGAAGCTGCTGAAAAAAATATTTTCTGGAAACCATGTTTTCCAGCCTTCTGGAAATGGATGTGATGTGTATTTCTTGAGACTCGTCTTCCACAGGCTTTGAACTTTGCAGCTGGTGCAGACAGGGGCTTAGGAAAGGACAAGTCTGTGTCCCTGTCAGAGGTGTAGGGGTCAGAGGGTGGCTTGGTAGACAGGCAGGGAGGAAGAGGGATAAATGCAAGCTAAGGAATAGCCCAGGTAGCCACTGTCTAGCGAGTGGGATATTGGCCACTAATAACGCAGGGTCGATTCAGAGGGTCTGGGCTTTGAATGGTGGGGGTGGGAGCTCTGGAAGCCTGGCTGCCAAGCGACTGTGTGTCACTGCTCAGGTGAGGGGATCAGCCTTTGATGCTTTCAACATCAGAACATCAGAGCTGCTCTTCATCCTGAGAAGGAAGGTTTGGGTTAGTCAGCCAGGGCAAACAGCTCAAGGGAAATTTCATTTTCCCTTTGTTGGGCCCCTGGCTTTCATCTGCTGGCGATGTACATGTACATTCCCACTACCACACGGAGGGAAGGAGGCTCGCTGGACCCAGGCATGCGCAGCCAATTTGGGGCCTGAGCGGAGCAGGTGACTATCTCAGTGTTGGAGGCCTTGTGAAGAGCCAAGGCGCAGATTGAGCCTGGAGGAAGCCTGAAATTACCTCTCCACAATGTCCCCTGCCGTCACCAGCCAGCAGTGTGGGGACTGGCCGGGGAATTTTTCAACCCTGGCCAGTCCAACCAGTCTGACCTCCCTTCCAGCAAGGACATCCCTGTTTCTGTGTCTGCTGATTAAGACGCATTTACCTTGTAAAGAAGGGAATGAAAAGCATGTGAGTGAGCCAGTCGTCAGGGCCTTCCATAACTGTAGTGTGTGATGCCATATGTTCTGGGTTCAAATCTAGACTCTGCCTGTATGAGCTATTTAAACCTAAGCAATTTATTTCATCGTTCTCTGGCTTAGTTTCCTCGTCTGTAGAATGGATATGGTATTAGTATCAGCCGGTGAGGCCGTCGTGAAGATACAGTGAGTTAATATGCCTACAAAGCTCATTGCTCCACTAAAAAGGGCTCTTCAAGCATCAGTTGTCATGACAAACAGCCATTTGATATTCATTTGAACACAGTCCAGAAATCCTCAATATTTTAAAAGCAACTTCAAGAGATGACTGCTTTTTCCAACCGTGGAAATAATGGTTATAAAACAGGGTGGCTCACACCTGTAGTCCTAGCACTTTGGGAGACTAAGGCAGGAGGATTCCTTGAGGCCAGGAGTTCGAGACCAACCTGGGCAACATGGTGAGACTCCCCCATCTCTACAAAAGTAAAGATAAATTTAAAAATTAGCTGGGTGTGATGGCACACACCTGTAATCCCAGCTACTCAAGAGGCTGAGGAGGGAGGATTGCTTGAGCCCAGGAGTTCAAGGCTGCAATGAGGGATGATGGCACCACTGCACTCCAGCCTAGACCAGACAGAGAAACCCTGTCTCTAAAAAAAAATCAATAAATCAATAAAAATGAAAATATAAAGCAAAACTGAGATTAAACAAATGAATACAGCTTAGCAACCCTACCTTCTATTTTTTCATTTCCAAATGTGTATTGAGTGCTTTTATTAGAGTGACCTACACTGGCACTCAGTTCTTGGGAGCTCAGTACTCTCCAGCTAAGGCAGGGTTTGGAGGGAGGTAGGAGTGGGTGCAAGTGGGATGACAGCAGGAAGGGCAGGATTAAAGGCGATGGTGAAAATCAAGCCACTGACCAGGAGCCCTGCAGTCCAGGGAGAAACTGACTGTCACAGATGGGACTTCAGAAAGGCAGGAGGAGCCACCAGATCCTGAGTCCCAGGCAGGCCATAGCCTGCAAGCTTAAGAGGTCTGATGAGGCCAAGTAGAGTGGCTGCTGAGGTGAGCTTGACCTTGGACTGTAGACTATTTTCCTCTAGCCTGCTTAATGATGTCTGTGAAATTTGGAGGTCCCAGGTGTTTTCAGGATGAAAGCAGGTCCCAGGGTGACAGCAGGTGCCCTGAGGCTCCCTGGAGGAGCAGTAGATGGGACATCACCACAGGGGGCCTCTGTCTCCTCCTCTTGGGAGCCCAGTGTGGCATCAGAATGTAGGCTCTGAGAGCCACACTATGTGAACTGTGGCTGAGAGTGTCAGATGAGCCTCCATCTCTTGGGACCATGTGAGTGTGAAAATCCTATAACTAACACCTGAGATGCTTAATTTATTCAACCAACAATATTTATTGAATACTACATGTAAGGAACTATGCCAAGTACTAGAAATAATTTTCTCTAGAGCCAGAATTATCTACAGTCTCACACCCAAGGCCAAAAATGACCAGGGAAAGTATTCAAAATGCAGATTCCAGGCCTCCATCCAGGTAATTCTGATCCAGTGAGCTGAGACTGGGGACTGGTTATTTGCACTTGGACAAATGCAAAGTTTGCCTGCTGAGGCCAATGAGCCATGCATGACATGTATGTTTGTCCCTCTATCTGGCTATCATTTACTGAGCACTTGCTATGTATCAAACCCTGAGTAGGCACTGGGGATTGGAATAACCCTTGCACTCAAGTCACTCATGGTTATTGAAAAAGATTGGGTTCGGCAGCTGTAATGGTTCCTGCTATTTCAGATACTACAATCTTTAAAAGGTGCTTTTGCAAAAAATCTTAAGCAAGAGGCAGAAACGTATTCACTAACTTATTGGTCCAGTTGTTGTAAAGTTTATGGTGAACAAAATGTACAAGGCATTTATTATAAGCCAGGCACTTTTCTAAGTGTTATGCCTACTTAATTTAATCATTAGTCTTTGCATCAACTTTATGAGACCGATGTTATATGGGTATTCCCATTTTACAGGTGAGGACATTGAGATGCAGTAAGGATTAGTTACCAAGGCCTTGCAGCTAAAAAGGTGAGCCTGCTTTTTGAACTCAGAGAGTCTAACTTCAGAGCCTTCACATTTATCCGTTATACTACTTCCCAACTCAATGTGCTATTGCTGCAGTTTTGAGGCTGCAAAATGCTGTTGTAAAACTAGTTATTCTGGAAGTGGATCCATACAACCAAAGGAGAAAAGAACCATTGTTTGGAATTTTTTTTTTTTTTTTTAACTAAGAGACAGCGTCTTGCTGTGTCACCTAGGCTGGAGTTCAGTGGTTCAACAAATCATAGGTCACCGTAACATGGACTCCTGGGCTCAAGCAATTCTCTCGCCTCAGCCTCCCAAGTAGCTGGGATCACAGGCATTTGCCACCATACCCAGCTAATTTAAAAAAAAAATTTGTAGATACAGTGTTTCTTGCTATGCTGCTCAGGTTTATCTCGAGCTCCTGGGCTCAAGCAATCCTCCAGCCTCAGCCTCCCAAAGTGGTGGGATTATAAGGATGAGCCAACGTGCCCAGCTCTTGACTTATATTTTAAAGGACCTAGGGCATCTTTATTTTCTTGGGTGCTGAGGTGGGAGTGAGAATGTGGGGCTAAGAGAAAGGCTTAATTTCACAATGACAAGTTCAAGGGTTTAATTTTACGAACAGCTGAAAATCCTCACTTTGAAAAGTGCATTTGGATTGGCAAAGCTTAAAGAATTTGATGGTATCAAAATGTTGTCAAAGATGTGAGGAAAGAGCTATTCCCATATGCCATATAAATGTGTTCAGTGATCTTGGAGGGCAATTTGGCAATATCTAGAAAAATTTCAAGTGTGTGTGTGCCCTACGATTGTCCAAAATCACGTTTAAATATGTCTGTGTGTGCCCACAGAGAGAGGTAAAAGCATATTTATTAAAATATTGAAAAGACTGGAAACAGCCTAAATATCCACCAATAAAAAGGGATGGTTTAAAAAAAAAAAAGGTTTCAATCCATGGAACCCTTCTAGCCAGATCTCAGCTTGCTGTGCCAAACCCATGGCTTGAGAAACTCTAACTCTGAGAGACTGTGTTGGCTACCGGTCAGAACCAAGAGTTCTGGCTTCCATTGCCTGCCACGAATCTTGGCTCCTTCTTTTGCTCACAGTGTGATCATGGGCAATTTTCTAGGCCTCTTTGTGCGTTAGTTTCCTCATTTACAAATTAGAAGTGACAATATTAATATCTTGTTCATAGGTATAACTATTGTTATAAAGTTTAAAGGTATCAGTGCAAGCAAATCTAGAATGGTGTATGTTTCATGGTGTTTGTTGCATAGTATTGCTAAATAATCTCAATAAATGTGAGATAGGATAAGGTGATGGTGATGATGATGATGATGATTAGCTATGGCTTGGATGCATGTCAGATAGTAACTGAAAAAGTAACAACAAGCAAACAATGACAGAGAACAAAGTTCAGAGAAATGATCTAGGCTGTTACAAACCCAGGCAAAGATTTGATCCTTACTCACAAACTAGAGTAAGAAAATAATCAGTGGTGGCATCTAAAAAAGGGGAGATGGGGAGCCTTTCTACAAAAACGAGATTTTAAGGGTTCAACATGGAGGCACTGATGTTTATGAGGGGCGAATATGGTGGCCATATACATTCACATGACCGTGGTGAAACTAACAAAAGTTTAATCCCTGGGGGGCAGAGAGGCTATCGTGGCAAACACCTCCATTCTGGCTGCAATGCCAATACATTTTGTCATCCTAAGAGTCTGAAATGTTGTTCAGGATTTTCCCACAGTGAGAGAAATGTTTTTATTTCAGTCCCCAGTGAATCCCTTGGATCCAACAGAAATCTTGCTGCTTTCGAAAACATCCCTGAATTCCACTATCCAAATGCAAGTTCTTTCTCAGTGACCTGCTTACTTGCAGCCTTGCCTACTGCCTCCTGGGGTTCCTGAGGACTAGCAAAGGGGATTTCTTGATATTTAGCAATGAGCAATCTCTCTCAGGAAACATGAGCACCTGGCATGGAGGAGATCGCAGTTCCTCTTGCAGAAATTTGCCTAGTCTTCTTCCTCCAAGATAAGTGACAGATTCTTTGGGGTATTAAGGTAATACTGCACCTCCAGTTCCAGCACCAAGGCTTCTGCCCTGCCATGAAGCAATTTTCATTTCAGTGAAAGATGTAGGAGTCACGTTCCAAATTGCTGCTGAATAATTCTGAGACATCTGCAGAGATTCCAAGGCAGCCACTGTGCTCTGTTTACCAACACAATTAAACCTCGACCATTCCCTGCTGCAGTACAAATATAATCTTATCTACTTAACGTCAGCCGATTAAGTCATCGGGGCTGCAAAATGGTAAACAGATATTAATAACCAACCTATAAGTGAGTCATTTGAGTGAAGTGGAATATCATGGCAGGTTCTTAGGCCTTAAGGTGGAAAAGTTCACACCTTCCTGACACTGCTATAAAACACTGCAACATTACAACTTTTCAACCATATCTAAAAGGCCAATTTAGGTTTATTCCCATCCGCGTTTATGGCCATGGTTCAGCAGGTGTAAACCGGTAATAGCTGCAGTCCAGCTCTGGGTGGATGCCAGCACAGATGTGTTCAGTCAAATGACTAATTGAAAACCTTAGACAAAATCAGCAGCCTGGCCATTTTGCCTGCATAATAAAACAGTGCTGATAAAGGCAGTGGAGAAAAAAATCCACCCATCTCATCATCAGTGCCATTAACAATCATGAGTAAAGATGAAAACAACGCATGGTTTATTCTGCAAATGAAGGCATATAACTAGATGGTTTCCCAGGGGCCCATTACCCATTTTAATAATACATCAAGGAGCCTGAGCAAACAGTTTGTATGTGCAAACCAAACAGAACAAACTATTTACAGTTACCGCATACAGAGACAACTCCCAGCACTCTGGATTTAACAAATTTATAAAGGTACATAACATGATAGCTATTAGCAAAATTAAAAGAGAACCATTATAGACTTAGAGGCTGCCACGCTCACCAGTGAAGAAGGAAAGGCAACACCAACTTTCTATTGAGAAGAATCCACCTCCACACTTTTTTTTTCTTTCTTCCAAGAGAGCAGCCTGACTTGGACTCAAATTATGTGCATGAATAATAAAATACCATCTAATTAAAAACTGTAGTTAAATATGCAAAAATTAATGGTAATGAGATTGTGCAATACCTTCGAGTATAAGTACTTTATGAATTACTCACAGGAGTTCCTTTGCTTGACCTAAGCAGAAGATAACAGAAGCGACTTGGAACACTCTTGGTCCTGGTAGCCCATGGTACCCATAACACTCATGACCAGGGCAGTCAATGGACAACCTGGGGTGGAAGGTGGCTTGGCCAAAGCCTTCTTTTTTGATTACTGGAGATGACAAGAACTGGAAGGATTGAGGTAGGCATTGTTCAAAAGGCTGGGTAGCGGTCCAGGCTGGGGCAGTGGCTTTTCACCCTAGAGTAAGAAGGGCCTTCACACAAAATCATGATAGCTGGACAGAGACCCTCAATAATAAGAAACAGATGAAAATATCTATTTTTGGACTCACTTACGGGTGTTTTCCTATGAGCTATCCAGAACGTTGTTGCCTTCCTAGTCACCAGTGCAAAGTTTTACCCATACTCTGGATTGTACCAGATCATTCTAGGAGAGCATCCCCATGCCAACACTATTGCCCGGGACAAGAGCTGCTTCCAGAACCTTCTTCCCAGTGTGCAACCTGCTTTTCTCCCTTGTAGTCTCTGAAGCCTATGCGACATTGTCAGCACAAGCTCTTGTGCATATTTTCCTCAGCACCATTTGAAGAGGCCACTGGTCTCCTTTTTGCCTTTCAGCCCTTTGGGTACTTGACCATACATTTGCGACTGGCTCAGCCTCCGAGGGCCACCCTGACATTTGCTCTAGAGGCAAGGGACTAGATCTTACCCATTGCCTTTGCTTAGAGCTTCTGAATCTCAACTTCCCCTGATCTCTATCTTCCTATTTCTCCATGGCTGGCGATTCTTCTTGAGGAAAGTAGATGACAAACTGAACATGATCTTAGCACAGTAGACAATTTCAGACCTACTCAATATGACTCCAGTTTTTGCCTCTTCGTCTGTCAAGATGGAGGTTGACGTGCTGAAAAATAAGCATTTCTTTGGGGAAGTATGTCTCATTCAGATGAGGCTGATGGAAAAACTTCTCTCTCAGCACCTTCTTGAATATACATTGTCATCCTGCTTATGATAAGGGTTTCTTGTCAAGTCAGTAGTATCTGAGCTAATTGATACATTCTCAGCAGCCATGTATACCAGGCAGGTTCATCAGCTGTGCAAAAGAATAATCATTGTGATGTCAGCAGAGTGATCATTTTGTTCACTGCCAGCTGATCTTAACCAGTTCCCAGATTTGTGTTGTATCGTTTGGGGCTTATGAGAAAATGGTGAACTTGATCTACCTTCTTTTTTTTTTCTTTCTCCCATTGAAAAAGTCAGAATTTCTCCCTTCCTCTCTCATAGGTTCTACCTGACCTTCTCAATAGGTAGCCAAGTTTTAATGGTAGAAGCACAGCGAGCGGTAAGAATTGTTAGTGTCTCATATGGTAAAGGTACAAATTTAAACAGGCTGAGCCTTCTTAAAATCAATAAATAAATCCCGATTTATTTAGGAATCTTAAAAAGACTTGGTGTCCCAGCCTGCACAACATGATGACACCTCGTCTCTACAAATTAGCTGAGCATGGTGGTATATGCCTGTAGTCGCAACTGCTGGGGAGGCTGAGATGGGAGGATCACTTTAACCCTGAGAGGTCGAGGCTGCAGTGGGCCATGATTGAGCTGCTGTACTCCAGCCCGGGTGACGGAGTAAGACCCAGTATAAAAAAAAGAGACTTGGTGCCTAATAAATATATTTCTTATTGATATTGATTAATTGATTGATTTGTTATTTACATCTCCCAAATGAGTGGGAGATGTAATAAAGTTTAATTTACAGATTATACACGTAAGAGATCAACAACAATAACTAATAATAAAATAGAACAATTATAACAATATACTGGGCTAAGCATGATGGTTCACAATTGTAATCCCAACACCTTGGGAGGCCAAGTGGGAAGATCACTTAGGGCCTGGAGTTTGAGACCAGCCTGGGCAACATGGCAAGACTCTGTCTCTATAAAAAATTTAAAAATTAGCAAGTGTGGTGGCACGTGCCTGTGGATTAAGCGGCTCAGGAGGCTGAGATGAGAGGATCATTAAAGCCCAGGAGGTCGAGGCTGCAGTAAGCTGAGATCACATTGCTGCACTCCAGCTTCAGAGAGGAGCAAGACCCTATCCCCCAAAATAAAAAATACTCCCCCAACACCAATCTACTGTAATAAAAGTTATGTGAATGTGGTCTTTCTCTTGCAAAATACAGCAATAATTTTCTACCAGAGTTTGTCAAAGATAACTGAAACTGTGGAAAGCAAATCCGGGGATAAAGGGGAACCACTGTAATTATCATCCTTTTATAGATTTCCAAAGTGTTTTGTTTGTTTGTTTTTTGAGACAAAGTCTCGCTCTGTTACTCAGGCTGGAGTTCAGTGGTGCCATCTAGGCTCACTACAACCTCTGGCTCCTGGGTTCAAGTGATTCTCCTGCCTCAGCCTCCCAAGTAGCTGGGACTACAAGCATGTGCCACCATGCCTGGCTAATTTTTGTATTTTTAGTAGAAACAGAGTTTCACCATGTTGGCCAGGCTGGTCTCAAACTCCTAAACTCAGGTGATCCTCCCGCCTCAGCCTCCCTAAGTGCTGGGATTACAGGCGTGAGCCACCATGCTCGGCCTTTCGAAGTGTTTTGATGTACATTATTCAAAGTAACTAACGGTTAACATATTTTTGACTACAAGAAGTAGAATATAAACAGCTTAAAAGTTTAGGATATATGTTGTCCTACATAGCAAGAAGCCCAGAGGTTTCCAGGGGGTGTTTGGCAGTTCCTGGATTCCAGGGTTAGCTCCCCTGGAAGTGTCTTGGCTTCCTATTATAGTTCCAAGATGGCTGCCACAGCTCCAGCCCTAACAGTCCCACAAAAACCTCATCCCAAAGAAGGAAGACTTGGGAGCAGGGGATGGGGCTGATTTTCTCCCTGCTCATCCCTCATGGAAGAAATCTCTTCCCAGGCGCTCCAGCAGGCTTCTCTTTATGACTCATTCACCATAACTGGGTCACATGTTTATCCCTAAAGCAGTCACAGAGAAGGGAGAATGAGATTCTCATATCTGGCTCATTCACTAGAGGGGCATTTCACTACACTTAGCTGCGCAAAGATGTTAGATTAGAAACTTCAAGCTTGCTGGTAAATGGTGTAAAAAGACCAAGAAGATGAACTTGGTGGTTCACTTCCTTATGATCTGATCAAAAGGAGGCATACATTTATCTAGAGAGGAAAATTTTTCTTGGCGTTACATTCTTGGAGGAATTTATTGCAGGGATTCTTCCATAAGGGACATAATAACATAATGCATAATGTAAAAAAAAAAATGAAAACTGGCAAATGCTCTGCCATTATGAAAAAGAGCAGTGGTTTTTAACATTTTGTTTTCTGCTGGGATATACGTGAATGTCACGAACCCAGGTTTTGACTAACGTTAAAAAATTTGTCAAAGAAGCTAATCTCTATGGTAATGGAATAGATCAGGATGAATAACAGTACACTGGAAACAATCAGTACATTTTTTGGCAAAGATAAACTGGGCTTTGGATTATGTGTAATTCTGGTGTATCATAAACCACATCCTCTTCTCTCCCATTCAAACAGGCAAATGAGTGAGAGTGAGGCTGTTCTATTGATCTCTTTGATTTGGCTTTATTTATATATACAAGAGTCAATCACTTGCAAAACTTCATTGGCTCTTATTAGTTTAACTGTTGTGCTATATTCTATGTACCAGTCATAAAGTAGAGACAAGCCTCCCAGATTCCAGCTCAATCTTCAGAACAGTGAACAAATTCACCTTCATGAGAAAAGGTGCATCGTCAAAGAGAACATTCTGGGTCTGGGCGTGGTGGCTCATGCCTGTAATCCCAGCACTCTGGAAGGTCAAAATGGGAGGATGACCTGAAATCAGGAGTTCGAGACCAGCCTGACCAACATGGTGAAACCCCATCTCTCTACTAAAAATACAAAAACTAGCTGGGTGTGGTGGCGGGTGCCTGTAATCCCAGCTACTTGGAAGGCTGGGGCAAGAGAATCACTTGAACTCAGGAGGCAGAGGTTAAAGTGAGCCAAGATCGAGTTGGTGCACTCCAGCCTGGGCGAAAGAGTGAGACTTGGTCTCAAAAAATAAAAATAAAGAGAACATTCTGACATTTCCTGATGTTTGCCAAGTCATTTTTCTTTAAAATTACATTAACTAGATTTGTACACTATCTCAATAGCTGAGACTTATTCTATTGGAAAAGGATCATAGCCCACTTTATCTCTGGCTAATATTTTTTTAAAGCTCTGTAATCATCTGTGGTTATTCCTACTTATCCACATCTTCAAACCTGTATGACCTTCTATTTATTCATATAGAGAAGAGTTGGTTTGCACAGAGCATACACACAGCCCCGAGATCCCTGTAGTCACCATGGAAATACCATCATTGGCCCACATCATTGCTTGGGAGAGACTCTGGCCACCAGATACAGAGTAATCTCATGATTTGATCATGAGTGAGCACACTTACCTTTTAAGAAAATTCTTATACTTATTTATAAGAAAGGAAATACAATACTTACTGCTGTGGAAGAAAACTTCTGCATCAAAGTATTTGTCAGTCTGGTTCTAGAAACAGTAATTGTTAAAGCCTTTTTCTTTTTAAAAAAATTTTCATTTTTTGTAAACAAGTTTAGGGAGATACCTGATTGATTAAGGGGAATCCCTCATGCTGAGAAATTTCAAATTTTCATAAAAGTACAATACATGAGATTCAACAGATTGGTAATGAAGTGGGAAAATGCAAGGAACTTTATCCAATTGTTCTATAATTATTTATTGAGCACCTAATGTATGCCTGCTACTGAACTCAGTCTTGTATGGGATATGGAGAGGAGGAAGGCTTAGTACTTAACACCTTCTCTGAAATGGTTCCGTCTTTCAATGGCCAGCATAAATGAGTGTTGCAGGCCAGGAGAGGACCGGGCAAATGTGCGATCCCATGCGGTACCTTAAGGGGTGGATGTTACTCAGCTCCCATGATTTCCATCTGGGAATGCTATCCCGACAGAGTTAGATCACTTCATTTTAGAAGAATAATTGGAAATCTAAAATTTAATGTAATCTCTTTCCACTTTTCAATGTTAAGTCATTCATTTAAATAAAATAAAAACTGTGAAGGAAAACTAAAACACACCGTAAGTTTGCTGTTTTTTTCTGAAGAGATTTTTTGTTTGTTTGTTTTGGCAGCATGAAAATGCAACTCTTAATGGCATTCATTTTCTGTCCATTTTTTCTTGTGAAGAAATTGATTATACTTATGTCAGCCAAAAATACCTTTGGGACTTTAAATCACTTTTTTCTTACTGTTTAAAGAGGAGAATATTTCTATGTAATTGACCAGCACTTGCCCTTATGAGATGGTGGCCCTCATGAGAGACATTGAGAGATGGTGCAAAGGCTGTCAACACATTTCAGTGTGGTTTCAGCTGCCATTTGAGACTTGCTTTACTTCTTTTTACATAGGAGTGAGACTAATGGTTGAAACCTGATGGCAAAGGGGAAGAGTGAGAGAAGAGGAGACAAAAATAGAGAGAGAGAGTAGTAATCCTGGAGGGCTGGGAATGTGTAAAAGGCTGAAATTAACTATTCTTAGGTATTTATTGAGCATCTATTATGCAACAATCTTTGTTTTAGGTGTAGAGTATTTGGGTGCTTAGGAGCAAAGTCCCTGCTGTCATGAAACTTACATTCTATCAGGGGTGTGGAAAGGACAGACATGAATAAGTGAACAAACAGGGTCATTTGAAATGGCAATACAAGTGCTAATGAATGAAATAAGACAGGGTGGTGGGATATGACTGGGAGCTACCTTCGTAGGAGTGGTCAGGGAGGCCTCTCTGAGAAGGAGAAATTGGAGCCAAAACATAAACAGTGACAAGAAGCTAGTTAACTCAGAGGTGTACAGGGAGGTGGTAAGGAAGAGAGGGCCAAATAACCTGGAGTTATTACACACTGAGTCAGTTATTCCCATTTTCAGTTATTTTTGTAGTCTGTTTAACAAAGGGAAAACATCTCAACGTGGTGTTTGTAGGTCTTTTGATTAGCAAGATCTTTCTAACGGCTGTCTCTTTAACATAGACAGAGCAGACCTCAAGCCTAGAACCATCAGCAAGCACCAATAGCTGGCTAGCATTCATAATGTTATTTTATTTGTTCTTTATTTTCATACTTTCTTTTTTATTTTCCACTTGCCATTGTGATATCAAAATTCCTTTATGAATAAATGTAGTTAAGTGAAAAAAATGAATCAAATATGAAGACAAATATTTATTAAACCACAGCATAGGACTTTCCAGAATTAAGACAAGGGAGTGTTTTTCTTTCCCCTTCTCTTCTTGGGAATTAATTCCAAATATTCAGGACAATAAAAAACCAAAATGCAGCCTTCATCACTGCTGGAACTGGAAGCCATCTGCTTAACCATAATACATTAAAATGGAAAGCTAGTAGAGAAGAGGTGGCCAGGTTAGCAGAGTCAGGGTGATAAGCCGCAAAAAATAAAAATAGATAGATAAGTGAAAGCCTAGGTACATGTACACTAAGATGGCCCAGAGCACTTTGTTTGCCCAGTCTCCAGAATGCATCATCAGGCTTATAGCCCATAAATCGGAGGTGGAAGACTTGAGAATTCCTCTCTGGAGAAACTAGAACCAGAGAAAATATGCAGGAACACATTAAAAAGCTGGTTTGTCACCTAATTACCCACCAGTCAACAAGCTCTCTCAAGGACGTGGAACCGCCGGTCAATTATTATTTTTTAATTATTTATTTATTTATTTATTTTGAGATGGAGTCTCACTCTGTCACCCAGGCTGGAGTTCACTGGTGCGATCCTGGCTCACTGCAACCTCCGCCTCCCGGGTTCTCTTGTCTCAGCCTTCGAGTAGCTGGGATTAGAGGCACCTGCCACCACGCCCAGCTAATTTTTGTATTTTTAGTAGAGATCGGGTTTTGCCATGTGGGCCAGGCTGGTCTCGAATTCCCAACTTCAGGTGATCTGCCTGCCTCGGCCTCCCAAAGTGCTGGGATTACACGCATGAGCCACCATGCCTGGACTAAATGTTGCATTCTTAAATAAAAACTGGCTGCAAAGGATTCACAGATATTAAAAGAAAATTCTCAACAAGATAGGCAGAGATCAAACAAGAAATCAGAAGTAAAGAAATTCTAAGGTATCCAAGTTAATGCAAGGGATAGAAGAAAAAGTCAAAACATTATAATTAGTATTTTCAGGGAGATGAAAATGTATTGCATCCATGAAACAAGAACATGATACCATTGCTTTTAAGGTTCATAAAGAACAAACAATTAAAAACTATAAATTCAAAGTAGAGTTGCAGAAATAGCAAATGCAATTTAAGGATTAGAAGGTACAGTTGAATAGATCTCTCAGTTAATGAAACAAAAAGACTGAAAGATGGAAAGAAAATATTTAAAAATTACAAGCTGTAACAGGGAAGTCTGACTTCTGGCTATTGGGCATTCTAAAAGAAAAAACAGAGAGAAAAAATAGAGAGGACACAAAGTGAAAGAGTAAAAATTATCAAGGAAATAACATTAGAAAATTTTTTAGGACTAAAGAGCATGAGTTTTTTCATGAAAGTTGAAAGAACCCAGAGTTCAGCACAATGAAATTTAAAAGGCCCACCTTAGGCAAATCAGCATAGTATTTCAGAATGTTGAAGATAGATGCCCTCACAACTTTATGAGAGAAAATAAGAAATTATGCCACATGCAAAGGACTAGAGAGAATAATAAAATATGATTGTTAGCAAAACTAGGAGAGAGGAAATATGATCTTTAACATACTGAATGAAAATGAGTTTTCAACCTAGAATTCTATACCCAGACAAACTATCAAGGGTTGGGGTGGAATCTTATAGACAGAAAATTTATCTCCAATGGGCCCCTTCTCAGGAAGTGACTAGAGGATGTAATTCATCAAAGAAAGGAGCTTGAAACCCAGGAAACAAATCTAGTACATGAAAGTCCTAACAGGCAACCAGCCCAGATTGGAGCAGGAGGGCAGAAGACTCCAGGAGGAAAGTTGCCAGAAAAAAAAAAAGAGAGAATTAAACCAATAGATGATCTGATATGTTGAACACTTGGATAACTGAATCAAGAAGTTATTGGAGGAAATAGGAAGAATTTGAAGTACATATTTTGAAAAAGAAGAAAATGGTCACGGCAGCTTAGAGTGCAGGCTGGAGGTATGCATTGGATTCTGCAGGCAGGAGTGGAGTGAAGACCAGTTGGCTTGCTTACATGCTTTTGCATTCATTAAAGCCATCAGATGCCCGCCGTGTAGCTGTAAAGTGGGCGATTCTCTGTGGGCATGGGTTAAGGTCACCTTTCCAGTGGCCTGCTGGGCTCCTTTGCATCCTGGGTTCTGCTGTACTGGCAGGCCCTGGTAGTAGGATGACTGAGCAGGAAACCTGCAATATTCATTCCCGCACTCTCCCTAAGGAATTCTATTCCTCTAGGAAATGTTTCCTAACAGATAAATCCTCAGATGGTGCAAGGTCTCATCAAATGCATATATATAATAAACACATTTTTGTCAGTTTATCACTTTGTCATTTGTGAAATGTTTTATGACTGTTCATCTTTTTTCCAGGCAGGAGAAACAGGTCTGGAACCAGCTTCTGTGAGGGGCTTTTATTGCCCCCATCGAGCGAAAGGGTGTTTCCGGTCCACACAGACTTCACTCCACACAGCTGGGACCTGACCTTGGAGCAATTTTAGGGAAGGAAGTGTCTTCCTTCTTGACTGCCAGCTTCCCTCTGGGCAAAGGCTGGTGGTTGGACAGAGGTTATAATTGCACTTAAAGAATTAAGGGATGACTGGCGGGAAGGGTGGCTCACACCTGTAATCCCATCACTTTGGGAGGCCGAGGTGGGCAGATCACCAGGTCAGGAGTTCGAGACCAGCCTGACCAACATGGTGAGACCCAGTGTCTACTAAAAATACAAAAATTAGTCAGGCATGGTGGCACACGCCTGTAATCCCAGCTACTCAGGAGGCTGAGGCAGGAGAATCACTTGAACCCGAGAGGCAGAGGTTGCAGTGAGCCAAGATCGTGCCACTGCACTCCAGCCTGGGCAACAGAGTGAGGCTCCATTTCAAAAACAAAATAAAAAATGAAATAAAAAGAATTAATGGATGACCTAGGTAGAAAACGATGGAACTGACCCAGAGAAAGATTGATGGTAGTGCCAGAGTGGGTGAGTCATGCTTCTGATTTTGTCAACACCAGACTTGAAACTTGTCCCAGCTGCAGACAGGGGGACCTCGGACTGAGGTATGTTGGTAGCCAGGGAATCCTCGTGTGACCTTGAGTGTAACCAAATTCTTCAAGGGTCCCCTTTTCTTTAATATCCATATAAAAAGGCTTACACACCCACCTACTAAAGAAAGAACAGCCTCTTGGCAAGAAGTCTAAAGATTCCTTAGGTCAGGGCCTGTCTTCTCTCACTCTGAAGTCCTGCACCGTGCTGGAGCTCCATCAGCCATGGTGTCCCCACCACATCCGGCTCAGCACCTTCCTGCCATCTTCAAAGGGCCATAACCTGTCTGCTGTAAGATGCAGACCCTACTGAAAATTTCTAATAATGAGGGCAGGCCCACTCTTAACACTTGTATACCCTGGAAGACAAATGAAGGCCCACTCATCAGAAATCTAAGGATTTAAAAGTTTTCCTTGAATTTAGAATTCGTGGACTCCTCAGAGTTAGGCCCGTAGCCCATCCCTCTTCCCTCCATCACACAGTTCCCTTGCACACTGGGAGGTGCCTCTAGCTCACGGGTGTAGACCCTCACATCAGTCTCTGTCCACACTCCCTAAACACAGCCACCTCTTGGCTGCCTTCAGACCTAGGGCACAGTTAACCCTTGGAAAGCAGCCCCAGAAATGGACTTGGGGCAATGTGGCCAGGAAATTCAAGGGTCCTGGGTATGGGCCAGACCAGTGACAGATAAACTATGGCCGATGGGTAAACCCAGCCCACCATCTGTTTTTCTATGGTCTGCCAACCTCAGATGGTTTTCACATTTTTAAATGATTGGAAATAATATAGAAGCATAATATTTTGTGACACATAAAATGATGTGAAATTCAACTTTCGGTGTTTGTAAAAAAAAGAGTTATTGGAATCCAGCTACACACATTCATTTACATAGCAATATATCATCTCTAGCTACATTTGTGCTACTACAGAGGACTGGAGAATTTGTGACAGAGATGGATGGGTTGGCAGAGCCGAAAATACTTACTATCTGGAGGATAGTAAGTATTTACAGAGAAGAAAAAACTAGAAAAAAGGTTGCTGGCTCAGGTGGACACTGCAATCTCCTTGCCTATGGGGAGGGGCCCCAGGCAAAGAGGGACACTCTAGCACACAGCAGCCAGGACTGGGGCCCCTCTTGCCAGGGTCTGAGGGTACAGAGGTGGTGGAAAGAAGTCCCATCACAAAGCAGAAAGTGATCATCTTCAATTAGAGTGTAGACATTGCAGTATAATAGAACACCTGTCTAGAAGTTCACAGGCCAGCCCGTGGCACACAGAAAACTCCTCCCTGGATGGGATCCTCCTAGGGTCCTAAGTTGCTGTTCCCTCCCCACCTGCCCACCCCCCTACCAAGGACAGGATCTGTCTCCTCTCACTCCAAATTCCCGCTCCACACTGGAGCTCCACTGGCTGTCTGCCATGATGTCCCCATCCCAGTCCGTACCTTCTCGCCATCCTCCAAACCAATGATGTGGGACACAGACCCTACTGAAAGCTTCAGAATAATGGGGGCAGGGCCACTGCCCTGAGAGCTTCTCTCATCTCCTCCCAGCCCGAATTCCAAACCTTCTCTCAGGTCACCAGTGCTAGCGAGAAATTCCTAAATTCACGTTACTCTATTACACAGAGTCACAGCCTCTCTCTTTTTCTCACTGGCTTCTCACTAGAGCAGCCCAGATAACTTCACTTTAAAAATTTTTTTAAAAATTAAATTGTGGTAAATACACATAATATTAAATTTACCATCTTAACCCATTTAAGTGAACCATTCAGCAATGTACAGTCAATAAGTACATTGATACTGTCCTGCAACCGTCACCACTATCCACCTCCAGACCTCTTCCATCTTCCAAACTGAAATTCTGTCCCCATTAAACAATAACTCCATTCCCTTTCCCTGCCCTCATTCTTGCACTGCTATAAAGAAATACCTGAGGCCGGGTGCAGTGGCTCACGCCTGTAATCCCAACACTTTGGGAGGTCGAGGCAGGTGGATCACCTGAGGTCAGGAGTTCGAGACCAGCCTGGCCAACATGGTGAAACCCCATCTGTACTAGAAATACAAAAAAATTAGCCAGGCATGGTGGTAGGTGCCTGTAATTCCAGCTACTCTGGAAGCTGAGGCAGGAGAATCACTTGAATCTGGGAGGCAGAGGTTGCAGTAAGCCAAGATGGCACTACTGCACTCCAGTCAGGGTAACAGAGAGAGACTCCATCTGAAAAAAAGAAAGGAAGGAAGGAAGAAAGGAAGGAAAGAAGGAAGGAAGGAAGGAAGGGAGGGAGGGAGGAAGGAAGGAGAGAGAGAGAAAGAGAAAAAGAAAGAAATACCTAAAACTCGGTAATTTATAAAGAAAAGAGGTTTAATTGGCTCATGTTTCTGCAGGCTGTACAAGAATGGCACTGGCACCTGATCTGCTTCCATGGAGGCCTCAGGAAGTTCTTGCTCATGGCAGAAGTGAATAGGGAGCAGGCTCATCACATGGCCAGAGTAGGAACAAGAGAGAGAGTTGGAGAAGGTGGGTGGGGGGAGATGGGTGGAGGCCCACACTTAAACAACCAGAACTCCAGAGAGCTCACTATCATGAGAACAGCTTCAAGCTATGAGGGATCTGCCCCCATGACCCGAATGCCTCCCACCAGGCCTCACCTCCAACACTGGGGATTACAGTCCAATATGAGATTTGTCAGGAACAGACGTTCAAACTCAATCTCACCACCTCCTGGCAGCCACCATTCCACTTTCTGTCTATGAATTTGATCACTCTACATACCTCATGTGAGTGAAATCATACAGTATTTCTTTTTGTGACCAGCTGATTTCACTTAGCTTCACATCAAGTTTCATTCATGTTGTAGCACGTGTGGGAATTTCCTTCATTTTTAAGGCACAGTAGTATCCCATTACAGGTCCATACCACGTTTTGTCCATTCATCCGTTGAGGAACACGGAGTTGCTTCCACCTCTTGGCTATTGTGAACAGTACTGCTATGAACACAGGCGTATAAATATCCCTTTAGGACTCTGCTTTCAGTTCTTTCAGTTATATATCCAGAAGTGGAATTGCTGGATTATATGCTAATTCTATTTTTTACTTTTTTAAGGAAGCGCCATACAGTTTTCCATAGGGATCACACTATAAAATATTCCACCAACAGCAGGCAGCCTTACTTTTTACAACCAAAAAGGCTCATGGAGGTGTTTGCCCAACAAAAGTGTCACCCATCTTAAAAAAAAAATCCAATCTATTTTAAACAGTAGTTTTTGATGGTGGCTACATATGAGAATCATCTAGGGAGCTTCTGAAAAAAATACCAACATGAGTTGGTGTTGTGGGGGAGTACCTCAGGCCAGTGAAATTGGAATCCCTGGGGGTGGAGTCGGGCACAGGTATTCTTTTCATTCTCTCCATCATTCCCCAAAGCACAGGGTCAAGAGCCCCTGCCCTTGGACAAGCAGTTTGCCCTGCAGCCAGCTTTTAAAATAACTTGTCTTTTCTCTTGTGGAGCAAGAGGACCTTTCTAAGCACCCAGCTCCAGGAAGCAATAGACACGTCCCTGCACTCATGACGGGTGTTGGGCATGGAGGTGGTGACACATGGCTTCCTGGTGTGATAGCGGGTGTGTCAGAGACAGACGCCATCTGGAGTAGAGGGGAGGGGGGCTGAGATTGAGCTGGCCACACCCGGTCCCTTCAGCACCTACTCCCATCCAGGGACACTTCTAGGGCCTCTCTGTCCCAGTCTCCTCAAATCTGTCTTTCTGGGGGGACACTCCCCCTGACGCTAACACACAAATTAAGCCTTTGAGGATGAGGTCATCTTCTTGATCCCCAACTAAGCCCAAATTCTGAATCTTCCTCCCTCAAGTAACATTAAAATAAGCTCTCGGGTCACAGTCAAGAGACTGAAAAGAATTATTTTTACATTTTTCCTTGTGAATCCAAATAGCCATTTTATTCTGCAGTGGTAATTTCAGGAGCAGCATGCAGCTTGGATATCTTCCTAGAGAGGTACAGATGCCAAGAGAGATTTTGCAACATTGCTTTGGTGAAATAGATTGTGGCAAGGCCACCGTATGTGCTTAAATGATCTAAAATGATGAACACCGCACAGAATTTTTTTGCTTTACCAAGAGTGGCCCTTGTAGGTTTAATTGTAAAGTATAATTACTTCAAGACATCATAATTTGTTGTGTACAATATAAATCAGTAGAACTCCATGGAATCATGTTTTTAATGTAGACCCCAAATAAAATGTTCTTTTATGACATAGCAGATGTTTCTTAATTCACTAGCGCCATGCATTGGGGTATTAAGATTATTCCTTGGCATTTTATTATGAATAACATACTTGCTCCATCATTAAGTGGGCCATTAAAGACATAAACAAGCTTTTATGCCCTGGTTTTCAACAGCTGCTGGTGGTCTACCAAGTGATAATCCAGCTTTCAGCAAATATTCTTCAGCTCCAAGAAATAAATACATTTAATAGGGCAACCTCGGGTCAGTCAGTCCACAGCTTCTTGGATCCTGGCTTTGGGAAATTCTTTACCCAGGAAAATGGACTGAAGGGGTGTGCTTTGGGTGAGCTGTTTTTGAGAGCCCATTTTCTTGAGAATGTTTGTGTGTGTGTGTTCCTTTAAAATAAGAATTCAAACAAATAAAAAGGAAGAGAAACGTTAGAAAAAGACTACGCCTTGGAGAAGGTGCTGGGACTCTGAATTCTCACAAATCCTGGAACCCATGCTTTGGAGGAATCAGCTGAGTTGATTTTATGCCACGAACAAAGGGAGGGAAGGACAGTGTAGGTCACAGGCCTACTTTCGGTCACTGGCTCGAATCTGAGCGGATGTGACCCCTCTGTGACAATGTTCCCAAGGTGTACAGGGAGGAGCCTCGTGCTTTATAACTAGGATGGGAGCCAGATAAGCTTTCCCTCTTCGCCACCTTGGACTTCCTAAGGATAACAACTCCAGGCAGCCGAGAAGCAGAGCTGGGGAGAGTGCTGAGATAGGAAATGCCGAGGCCTGTATTATCGTTGGCTCCCCGTTTCCGTGTTTCCTGTGCCAGAGGTAGCTCCGAAGGGTGCTCAACTTTACAGCCCTAATGTACACAACAACATCCTCCTACAAGCAGATGTTAGAAGGAGAAAAAGAAGCCGGTGGGGGTGCATGGGGGCGGGGTGTTCGGGAGGGGAACCTGATGAAAATTTGCATTAAGCCTGCATTGCTCC
This sequence comes from Homo sapiens, assembly GCF_000001405.40. Lineage (NCBI taxonomy): Eukaryota > Metazoa > Chordata > Mammalia > Primates > Hominidae > Homo > Homo sapiens. Next base: position 54,504,850 of record NC_000016.10, read on the forward strand.
CACCCCAGGAGACACTTGTGACAATGAAGGAAAAAGGGGGGAGGTGGAACTGACTTTCAAGTCTGGTCAATTCCAAATCTATTACAAGATCTGTCATCAACTGGAGGCTGGAGAAAGAGTTATAATTGATACAGTGAATCAGGTAACAGAGACCCACCTTAACAGGATGCTTCTTGGGTACCTGGGTAAACATGATTACAATACTGTAATTCCATAGGTTACAGGGGAAAGGACAGTTGGGGGAGATATTAAGCACCTCATCCTAAATGATGACAGCTACAGCAGAGAATGCAGAAAGGCCTTTCGTGTTTTGTTTCTTTTCTATAAGTAGGGTTTTAGTAATTTTATTTTCCTCTTTTTTTTTTTTTGGTTGCTGATGAGGGTTTATTTTTCTTTTTGTGTTCTATTTCGTTTTGTAGTTGGATGTACCATTGTTCTGGGCTGGCAAAAAAAATAAAAAGGAGAAGGGAGTGGGAGGCAGGAACCACATTGTGAGTGAAGCTGGCAAAAGGAGAATTAGGAGGTCAGCTCCCTATAAGGCACAGTCTCTGAGGTTTGCAGTGTAGCTGGCACATCAGTTCTTCCATGGGCATGTCTAAAATATTCCTGTGCCCTGGTGGAACCATGAATGTACATAGCCTGGTCTTTTTATTCTTATTTTTCTACTCACTTGATTGGAAAGTCAAGTTTGATACTGCTTTTCCATTATGTTAATTACACCTCTAATAGGATTTTATGGTGTCCTCGATGACATCACTTTGGAAACATCATTCAATTGGGTGGCCTGATTTCCTCTCGATGATTGTACAAAATAAACACGCAAGCCCTCTGTTCATAGCCACACACTGTGTTTCCAAACACACACACACGCGCACACACACACACACACTCATTTTTAACCACGTCAAAAAGGAAACAGGGCTGCCAACTTCTCAACATTCAACATGATTTTGAATTAATATTAGTCTATTAAAAAGAGCTGTAATCAGAAGAAAAAAACTTAGCCCGAGTCGCACAGCAAACACATTTCACAGTTGTTTTGGACAAATGCCCTCAGTGAATATGTTTAAAGTCATGTACAACAGGAATATGTTATCACAAGTAACCATGTTTTAATAAACACTTCATCTTCTTGTATTGCTTTCTTTTCATCACAATAATAGAAATACAACACCATACATCACTGTAAAACACATTTCCACATAAATGCTGATAAGCACAAAATATTTTTCATCATTTACATTTTAACTGTAATAATATATGGCAGGATTAAAGCTGCATCCATCATGTGTCTAACTAACCTTGCTGTAATGAATTTTTAAATGTAATGGTTTCTGTCGCAAAGTAAAATCGTACATAATGTCTAGTGACACAGTACGCTGGCGGATGGGTGGGTTTAAAAATGTAAATGCAGCTTCATTTTTAATTAGATTTATAAACTTCACCACCTCCCCTCCACCCCCCTTCCCAATTATTTAAAGTAAGAAATACAAGCAGCATGAAGATGTGAGGCACTGCCAAACAGCACACTCCTTGAGTTATTTAAAATCCCTTGCTTGTTGGAGATTTTGTGAAATCTGTGTGTGTGCGCGCGTGTGTGTTTTAAGAGTGAGGCACCCAATTGAAACAAAAGCTTATGAAAATCATAGTGAGGAAAGCTTTCTAGGGCGTCTGGAGGGGCTTCGCTACCTGGGGCATACTCTTTATGACAGTTCTCGGGATCACATTTGGGGTTGGGGGGGCATCAGGGGTGCGAGCTGGAGGGATCTAGGTCAAGGACAAATGCATTCCTCTCTCTGCTTGAAATAACAAATAAGCCGACTCACCAGAGAAGAATCATTAAAAATAATTTGCACAAGCTTTCGGTTGTGTGAGCTCTTTTTTGATACAATATTTCCTTCCATGATTATCACTGCGGACATGTCCCAGCCATATGGAAGTGAGCTGGGCTGGGAGCTTCCACAATACCTGAGTGGTTAATTAAGAGCCGTTGCCCGGCCACAAGAAGCAGGTTTGAAATCCCTCTTCAGTCTCCGACAATGAGTAGCTTTTTTAGCAGCAGAAGTCACCAGGGACAGCCAGAAGCGAGGGTAATTATTTGAGATAACATACAGCTGAAGAGAGTGTGTGTGAGTGCAGAGAGGGGCGGGGGATCTGGGGGGAGCAGTGTGCAGTTGAAAGAAGGGCAACAGTAGAGAAAAGTCTATAATAAAAAGGTCAACATCTCCTATTTTTCTGTACAGTGTCGACAGTCTGTAATGCCTTTTTAGCATGAATGACAACGGATTCTGTCTTTTTTTTAAAAAGGGGAATATCTTATTTTGTATTCAAACTTTGCAATTGTGAGTTCAGGCCTGCCAGCTCCGTGTGAATAAGCTATTCTCACTTTATCAGGGTTTGCTGAACTGACTTTGATTGCATTGTTGCAAAATAGCAGTAATTTTTCCATTAACCCATACAAACCCTCAGCGAGCAGGAGAACAAAGAAATATCAGAGGGATGAAAGCCATGGAGTGCCGGGAGGGAAGCCAGGAGTTTCCTAAATGGCTGTAAATGCAGCTGCACACACCAGCTTGGTAGCCTGGTGGGGGGCTCATGAGGGATGCCATTTTAGGTTCCCTTTGGGGTCCCTTGGGGTTTGAGTCCCAGTGGGCACCTTTCATCCTCTCTGCCAAATTCTATTGTTTCCTCTGTGTTAGGAGGTAAAGAAGGGTCCTGGGAAGCAAGGGGCTGGGTTTCCCTCCCTTCAGAGGGATAATAATTTTATCCTGTGTCTTACCCATGTCAGGGACCTCAGTCTTCATCTAGAACTCAACTCAGGAATACTCAAAGCCCTTTCAGAATCCAGGCTTATATCAGAACACAGAGGGGCCTTCCTCTTCTCCAAAGCAGAGGCCAGGAGGCAAGAGCGAGAGCCAGTTCCTTTGGCCCCTGGAAGTGAGCAAAGAACTCCCAAACTCTCCTATCTGACATTCTGGCAGGTTCAGAGTTACCCCCACAGGCTCTTGGGGCAGGTGTGGTTGCTAGATTTCTGGTTCCAAGGTAGCAATGGGAGACTGTTGTTTTGCATAAGTAGAGCCGCACTCAGCACTCATGTATTGTTTTAATGATAGGAGGAAATTGAGGACAAACTGGGTCTTCCATTCTCTTCTCCATTCGCATGGAGTGCCTTTGGGAGCCTCAGATAGGGCTGGGATGCTGTGTTTCTGCAGGAAAATCCCAAAGCCAACATATTGATGGTTACGTTGTTCAAATCAAAGCCTGCCTTTAAAAAAGAAATGTTGAAATGTCAAGAAGCGAAGCTCATTTATTTTGGTATGAGGCCGTCTGCCGTGGGACTGGGCAAAGAGCTAAGGTCTGCAACAGCTTTTGATCTCCCAGTCCCACACACAACCCCGCTCACACCGTGGCGGTTCCGGAATCCGCATCTCAGCTTTGTTTAGGAACTGCCCAATATGTTAATTTTCTCCTTTACCTCCGCGGCAGGGTACTGTCAAACCGTACACCAGTCTTTAGAAAATGAAAGCGGAGACGGTGCGCCCGCTGTACCCTGCTCCCTAATATCCAGTCCCTGACAATGCCTGAGCTGTCAGATGAGAGGCAGCGTCACCGGAATAAAGGTGGGCAGATGTGTGGTAATGAGACAGAAGTGTGCAGATGCTAATAGAACTCCTCGCCAGAACAGGCCTGCCTTAGTTAGACGGGGCAGGCAGCAGCTGCAGACTGTCAGGAAACCCGGATGCTACTTTCTCTTGATTCTCATTTAAGAGCTGCTTGTGCACTGCGCCTGTCAGTGAACTTTTCCCTCTCAGGAGCTCCAACCCCTAGGTGATCAGTCACATTTCGACATAACTAGATGTCAAAAGAAGTTTAAGTTGTATGACGAACTGTGATGCAGTCACTGCCAGCCTCTGGCCTCCAAGGTGGCTTCTTAATGATCCTCCTGGAAACTCTGGCGCCTTTTCCTGCGTTTTGTTTTCTTATTAAAATACTAGCTAAGTCTTTGTCAATATCCATGTCAGCAACTGTGAGCTCCAGACAATATTATCCCAAGCATAATTTAATTTTCAATGCAGAACTCAGACCCAAGCTGGCCGGGTAGCGGGAGGTATGTGTTAAGCAAACAGGAGCTCCCTTCGAACAGCACATTTTAGCATCATCCATTAAAATGAAGTCATTTGGGGATGTCTTGTCAGTCCCATTTGGGACATTGACCATCACAGAGGGAAACCCAGGACTAAATGAGGGGTGTGTCACTGTGAGCTCTTCCCCAATCCCGGGCATGAGAGTGAAGCTAAGAATGAAAGATTGGACCCATGAAAAGTGGTTCCAACCTGCAAAAGTCAGGAAACAGAAATAACCTGAGAATTGTCATCTCTCATTCCAGCAAAACCTTTGAACTCGAGTCTGAACTTTATAAGGTCCGTACTGGCCCCTGGGAGCCCTGGGGTCCCTCGGATGGTGCACTTTGGTGATGGGTTGTAGGGACGTTTACCAGAGGGGGCCTGGGGGCACTCAGGCATAAGTGAGACGTGCCATTGCAGACGCAGTGAAGCCCACCAGCTCTCACCCTTCTTTGTGTGGCAGGCATTTTCTTGGAGCATTTAATTGGGTCGGGTCAGTTTGTTCTCTAAATATTTTCATCTTCTCCAGCCACTGTTTACATTTCCATTGGGAAAATAAATACTGCATGTCGCTTCTGCCTGCTATATTTTCTTAGAGATTTTAATCCCGATTCCTCATGAAAGGTTTACACACACACACACACACACGCACACACACACGTGCACGCATACTCCAACCCTGGTGTGAAGGCACCGCAGTTCATAAAATGCTTTTCTTTCTTCTCTTCAGAGGCTGAAGGGATGTGCTAGGGAAACCTAATGCCGCGTTGACATAATGAAGCGTTGGGAGGAATCTCACGTTTGACAGTTCTCAATCAGAGAACCAGCCAGTCTCATCCAGAATGTTCTAAGCCACCAACACTGCCTTTTTCATCTCTCCTCGCCCCCATCCCACACCCGCTGCCTCTCCCCAGTGTAGTTCTTCCATAACATCTCATAGACTGGCTGGTATGTGGCCACAGGCTCTCACATGAAACAAGGCTTCTCCCCTAGATCTGCTATTTAGTAGCCTGAAGCTCATTAGTACTTTGCTCCTTTACCCTGGAGTTTTAAATTTTTAAGCAGCTAGGATTCCTCTAAGAGGTCTTAACCTTATAATTTGTAATAACTTAGAGATCACGTATCTAAAGTGTGGGTTATTAAAAAAATGCTCCTTTTCCTTCGCCAGTCATTGATTTGCTTCCTCTTGCAGTCAGAGTGAGCGCTATTAAATCAGGAGATGGAAGATGCTCATTTATTTCTCCGTAGTAAAACACAAGCAATTATGAGACATTTCTTAACATAGATTGGTCTTGCTTAAAATGAAAGCCCCAGCTGTCAGAAGCAACTGTAGGGGCAGCAGAGATGAAAGAGGTGAGGAAGAGAAGGACCAGTGAGTCCAAGTCCATTGAATGGGATAAGAATATCTGTGAACTTGAACCTTAGCCTTCCACCAAAATGTGAACAAATACATGCTGATTTCTGACTGTGCCGGGCTCTGCACTAAGCAAGGTGGCATGGTAGAAAGCACATCATGGTTTGAATTTGGACCTATGAGCTGTTTAATCCTGGTCAAGTTGCTTAACCTCTCTGGGCTTCAGACCTTTCTCTCTATTAAATAATAACAGAACCTGCTTCCTAAGTTTGATATGAACATCAAAGGAGATAGTATAAGTATGTCAATTATCCAGTGTCTTGCTGGAGGCCTTATAGCTAACAATAGAAAAATCACCCTCCAGGCACAACAGGGAGAGTACATACATGGTTTTCACTTGGCCCTGGGCCCCAAGAACCTTACAGTCTTGAGGTGGGGCAAATGGGACACGCAAAAATAGGCCTCATTGTAATGTACAAGGAACCAGCATGAGAAGGCAGATTTCCTTTTACTTTCGCTGCTTAGAACAGGGCTGGGCTCCTGCTACACTGACTAAACTTTGTCTAAAAATTATCTAAGGACCACCTAATGTGTGTCGATGCTGCACATGTCAGATGTGTCAGCCTCTCCCAGTAATGACTCTCTGACATAAACAGTAAGGAAGAAATATTACAATTACCGAGGGGTGCCAAAGCCAGGCATGCATTTTCATGAGAGGCTTTGGTGAACGGCGGCACGGCTCGGCCATCAGCTTTCCCTGCCTGCACAGCCGGCCAGAGAAAGCTTCTGTCCCTGCAAAGACAATTAAAATGGGTTAAATGAATTAAAAGGGCCCTCCCCTGTTAAAGTACAGTCAGAGGTTAGAAACAGTAGTATTTGGATTTATGGAAACGCCACAGCTGCCAAGCCTTAGGAATTGTGGGTCACAGGGGAGTCATTTCAATGGTAACCTAAACAGCTTATGAAATTGAAGGCAATATGCATAATTTTACATTTCTGGGAGGCAGTTTTCATTCCCTTGTTTATTTTGGCTTCTTAAGTCAAGAGAAAAATATTTTCACCTAGAGTCAGATTGAGAGAGAGAGAGAGAGAGAGAGAGAGAGAAACTGCATTCTTGGATTCATTAAAACAATGCTACAACTGAACAGGAATTTTTCCATTTCGAGACAATGGGAAGACCAGGCCTGGAGACAAGGTAGCAGAGGGAGGGTGTAAGATGCTTTGAAGCCCCATATCACCACTCACTGGTTGTGAATCACTTGCAAGGGACTTAACCACACTGTGCCTTGGTTTCTTCATCAGTGAAATGGGGTCGATCGTTTCAACCATACAGTGTGGTTATGGTAACTGAGATAAGGCCCACATAAGGCTTAGCCAGGTGTCTGCTGAAGTCAGAACTCTGCATGTCAGCTTTTATTGTTATTGATGTTATCGTTATCACCCTTGACTCAGGAAGACAGGAAGTTTAACCATGAAGGTATGGGAGAACGAGGGCCTCGGGACCTCCACACTTTCCCGAGTACCAGATGTTGACAAGCCATGGGGCCCCCAGGGGGCTGAGTATTAAAGGCCTTGCTGCCGTTGTCCCAAACGTCCCCGTCCCCTGCACGTCCAGATCTGATCTCCCGGACTCTTGACTGATTCCGTCAATTTCATAAGAAATTCTATGGAGGCTTCTGACCGCGGGGGCGTAAGAATGCAGCCTCCCCCGTCCTCCTCCCGCCCCCGAGTTGAGTATGTGTACTCTCTCACCCATTACAGGCACAAACTCCATCAGAAAGCACTTGTCTACACCCTCTTTATTCACTTTCAAAGGGTTAAACAGCCTATTTACTGGGCTGTCAACAATCCGAGGCCCAAATCGTGAAGAAAGCCCCGTCCAGTTTTGTGCGGCCAGAGGCCTTGTCTTTTCCTGGCCTGTTCTTGTTACTGTCATGTAATATCCATGACAATCGTGTTGGGCTTTTTTGAGGGGCTCTATGGGGCTCAATCTGAGGAGCCACTTTAAGCCAGGAAAGGCCTTTATTTATGTGGATTTGAAAGAGCCTGGAGACGGTCCTTCCCCTCAGAACCCTCTTCAGCAGGTCACTGCGGTTTCAAAAGGATTTAAATGCGGAGGCTGCGATCAGTACTTCCATCACGTTCTAATAGACTGACATGAGCGTTTGTGTCTGAAAGACAGGGGAAAAACTGATGCAGATTTTCCCTAAATTGGACTGACGCACAATGCAGGGAGAGCAATTGAGTGCCGAGGAAACCCCTCACACCCTTTTTTACACTTCTAACCAGCGCCGCACAAAGAGAGAGCCGTGGGAAGCTGCCCAGGAGCCGGGCCGGGCCATTTCCATGGGCCATATGGAAATTCTGTTTTGTGTACAGAGAAAGTGTCTGATAACAGTGACCTTAACTGCCATATGTGGGCAGTGAATAGACCAGAAGAAACCACTCAGCAAGCTGACCCTCAACATATGGACTCTCCGCCCAAGGAGATTTTCATTGCCATCTCGTTGGCAACCCGGGGGATTTCATTAGATTTGTTAATGAATTGCTCTATTGACTTATATCTGAGCTTGCCTCATTAGAGGAGAAGAACACAATTTTTTATCTATGTTTTCGCGAAGGGGACCAGAGCGTTCCTTCCTTTGTGGGGCGGTGGGTAATCTTCCAGGCTGTCATCGGCTTTGAACTAATTTATTGTGTCAGTTAAAGAAGGCCGTTCCGTGCTTGTGGAGGCTCGAGCCCGCTCCAAGCCTCTTGAAATCAATGTTTTCCTTGTGCGCGGGATGTTTTCTAGGCTCCTGCTTGGTTTACAAATAGTGGAACATGATGTTGTCCTGGTGTTGTGAGCCTTCAGGGTGCCGGCAGCAAGCTGATTCTGGGAGTCCCTGCAGCATTACCTGTCAGGAAGGGGCTTTTCAAGGCAGCTGTGAGCTTTGGGCAGCGGTTGCCCATCTGCCTTCCCCACCTACCACCAGTGGCTCGAGCAACGCGCCTTTGTCAACAAGCAGAGGGACTTTGTGTTGGAGCATGGCTGCCTGAAGCGCACACCCCTCTTCCCTGCCAAGTTGAGAATCCCACAGATCTTCCCATATTCGAGCCTTATTAGTAATGGCTTGATGGTTTGGGCTTCCCAGTGTTGGAAAGCTTGAGTTTTAAAGCCATAAGAGCTATCAATTAACATATTATTAGGGGTAAACCAATAAAGAACCCATTATGGCTAATAGTGAATGTGGAATCACGAGGAATTAGCAAAATGAGATTCAATAAAATGGAAACCATAAAGATAAGCTTCTGAAGATTGGATCTGGCTTTTTGAGCTGAAGTCTCAAATAAACAAATGAATGATACCCACCAACATCTCTCATTGCTTCCTCTTTCCCATGCCTGCTAAGGACAGGCGAACTTTCTGAGTGGGAGCTGGGAAGAAAGCCGGTCCACACTGCAACTCAGAGGTGGTTTATCCCACTGGGGAGGAAAGGAGGGAGAAAGCAGGTAATCTGTAGACTGTGCATCTGTTGGGCTCCATACTCCTGTAGGACCTCCTGTGATGGGATGTGGCATGGAAGTCCTCAAACTTGAGCACTGGCCGCTCTGACATGTATTCTTGACACATGGAGAACCCCAAAAGTTGGAAAAAGCAATAAAGCCTTCTATCAGTGTCACAGTGAAAACCCAGGACTCCCATAAGCCCCGCAGAAGCAGCAATGTCAGGGCAGGGATGCAGGGATGTTGCAGATGAGAGTGTATCTCCTCCGAGGGCTGGTGGGGCTGGGGTCACTGTTTATCTTCTACTGAGTCTCAGGGTGGAAATTAAGTTCTCTGGTTTAGCTAAGCCCCCTTCAAGTGCTTCATAGCAGTGTGGAGATATGCTCTGTTGTGCAGAAAGAAAAGCTCATTAGGAATATTGGTACCCGTGGGAGGCTCAAAGATAGAGGAACCCCCACATTGGGAGAAAAGGGTTCCACATCTGTTCTGGGCAAGACAAGTGTCCTTGGAAAGGGATCCTATAAGATCTGAAAATTTCTATATATGAGTATTGAATCCAGGGGGGCTATAAAGGAAGTACTAAAAGCTATAAGAGGATGAGGAAGAACGTGGCTAGATTTAGCCAAGCACACTGTCTTTATCAAGACAGGATCATTGGGGTGCTTGCCTTGAGTGCATGCATGCTTGAGGTTGACTGTGGCTTTTATAATTGAAATACCACTTGGCTGTGTCCAAGTCCACTGGGCTTTTTTTCTTTTGTTGATACATAATATATACATATGGGGTGTATCTGAGTGTTTGTTACAAGCATAGAATGTTTAATGACCAAAGTATCATTTTAAGGTATTTGGGATATCTACTACCATGAGCATTTATCGTTTCTATGTGTTGGTATCATTTCAAGTCCTCTCTTCCTGTGACTTTAAAATATACAAAATATTGTTGCTAAGTATAGTCACCCTAATCTGCTTTCAAACATTAGAACTTATTTCTTGTAGCTACGTGTGTGTTTGCATCCATTAATCAACTTCTTTTCATTGCCCATCCACCTTCTAAGTCTCCGGTATCTATTAATCATTCTATTTTCTATGTCCATGATGTCAAGTTGTCTTTTTTAATTTTAGTTTCTATTCACTTTTAATTTATGGATGCTCACATGAATTATCACGTTATTGTCTCCCACATATTCCCAGACTCTACACACCTCAAAGGAAGAAAAGCTCCTTACCTATCTTTGTTTCCTCAGATCCCAGTACATAATAGATGCTCAATAAGTGACTGTGGTATTATCGTGCACGTGACCTTGTCTGTTAGAGTTTAAACTCGATTTTAACAGAAGCCCAGAGCGATTGGAGGTTTTTGATATAGGTAGCAGTGGTTAACAGGACCTGACATGAACACACATCACTCCCAAGTATGGTGGGTTGGAGGATAAGGTTGGGGCTCCTGTTGAATGGTCGTGGTACCTGGTGCTGGACAGAGATATGCTGACTTAATAGGAAAAGTAGAGGTGGTGAGTAAACATGAATATTTTACACTCCTCCTAGTAGAAAAATTCAGACCAGTACTTCTGCTGGGAGAGCGGGTGGCTAATGGAAAGGAACATGGTCTTTGATTTCAGGAAAACCACTGGAAAGTTCTGCAGGCTCCTTTCCCCTTGGGGATTTTTCTTCTTAGATGTGTGATTTTTAAGTTGATTCCTGGCACCAAACTCCCCCAAAGATTGGCATATTAAATTTTTTTGGAAAGATTTTTGCATACATCAGAGTCTTGGCAGTAAACAGATGGCACATTCAGAGGACTTGTTTGAAGAGTTTGGTGATGACATGATGTAGTGAGGTGGGGACGGGGCTAAAGGCACCACCAAGGGATGCAGAGGCACTGGTAGGAAGGTGCTACCATCACTAAGCCTACAGGGACAAGGACAGAGAGTGGTGCTGTGGAACCTGTTGTGAGTGTTGGCCATTGAAGAGGGTGCTCCATGAAGGTTCTGTGCCCAAGGGCAGAGCCCTGCATTGCTTGGCTACAACACTGACCAGAACTCAGTGAGGCTGGAGCGACATCTCTCCTCCTCCCTGCCTCTGCTTTCCTCTTCATCCCTCCCACAGGCCAAGCCCAGCCAGAAGCCAGAGGCAAGGAGCCCGAGCGACGCAATCATCCACAGACATCAGCCTCCCAGGTCCTGAGCTGAGCGGTCAACAGCAGTGTGTGGATCTACAGGGCCCTGATCTACTCCAAGGGGAAAATCTTCCTCATTATCAAATAAACCAAATAATTAAAAAAACAAACTAAATAAATTCCATCTTTCTTCAATTAGATTTATAAGGATGGAAAAGTTTGAAAACAAATTCTATGGGTGAAGGTGTGTAGAGAAAGAGGCACCCTCATACATCATTGGTGAGACGGTGGTAACAAGGACAACCTCTAAGAAGGCATATTGACAACATCCATCAAAATCACAAGGGCACCCCCCCTTTTACAAAGAAACTCCACTTCCAGGAAGCCATCTTCCAGTTATTTTCAAACCTGGACACAATGCTATGCACACAAGGCTATTCATTACTATATTGTGTGTACTGGCAGAACATTGGCACAAACCCAAACACCCATCTGTGGGGGACTGGTTAAATAAATCATGGTTCACCCACACGATGGAATACTATGCAGCCATAAAAGAAGAATGAGGAGACTCTGTAATGATTTCTCATTAAGCATAAAAAGCAAAGTGTGGTCATTTGGATGAAAGGGTTGGAAGAGAAAATGGAGCCCTAGCAATACAATGTATTTTGGACCATGGATACACACGTGAAACTGAAGACACTGATCGGATCCAATAAGGGGATTGGGTGGCTGGGGAACAGCGTAGCAGGGAGGTTTCACTGGATGACCTTTTGGGTTTTGTATAGTAAAAGTATGTTTTACCTACTCAAAAATGAATAAAGTCAATGTGTTAAAAAAAAAATCTTATTTAAAAGCTCTTGACCATCTTTGAGCAGTGAGAAATTTGTATGAAAAACTGGGTGTGCGAAGTGAAGGAGCCTGGAATGAGAAGCTTCCAGACTCCCGGGGGACCTACTGTGAATGCTGCTCCTTAGCTGAGGCTGCTCCTGCCTAGGACGTGAGGATCTATAAAACAGTGAAATAATGGAAAGGACAGATTACTCACCCTGGAAGCTTTTTGGCTTTGAAATAGAATAGAAACAACCAAGGAATCCCTAGCCCACCCTCTCTCCTAGGATGTGTGTCATTGGAGAGGTGATGTTAAAGGTGGGAAAAGCCTCTGGGGGCTGCTACTGGGAACTTCCCCTCCCCTGTGTCCCCTTAAAACTCACTCATTCGAATCACCAAGTGGTGGTCTCTCTTTGTTTTATTCTGCCATGCCCCTTGAGCAACGACTTACATTGCAGAAGCTTCAGTCCCTCCCTGCCACTGACCTTCAAGGTTGCAATCTCCTTATCACTGGATAAGAAAGAAAAGATAGCACGTTTCATCATGGTAGCAAAAATGAGAACACTTGTCTTTCCGCTATTTCATATCCACTCTTATCGCACACCTCCATCTCCTGCCTTTCCATGCCTGTGTCCTCTTGTCAGAGGCTGTTGCATTCTTGCTGGAGAAGAGAAGCAGACACATCCTAGGAGCACCACCAAGTGTGCCGTGATGGACTATACTGAATAACCACCGTTGGAGTGCTCACTCCCCTTTGGCCACACTGGTCTTCTTGCTGTGTGTTCTTTGAGCTCAGCAAGGGGGCATCCTCTGTGATGCCTTGGTCCTGCTTGTTCCCTCTGCTTGGAATGCTCTTCCCTTTGGAAACAACATGTCACCTCCCTCAAACTCCTTCAGGCCTCTGCTTACATGTCACCCCCTTCCCCAACCAACCTAAAATGACAATCCCCCATTCCACAAAACCGATTTTACTTATTTATTTGCCCAATTATCTGCACATTATCTGGAATGTAAACCTCATAAGTGCAGGGATTTTTTTTTCCTGTATTGCTTGCTGATGAACCCTCAGTACCTGGAAGAGTGCCTGGCACATTACCAGGCTCTGTATTTGTTGAATGACTAACCAAGTGAGGTGTAGACCTTAATCTCACTATTTTTCTTGTCCCTTTACCTCTGCATCTCGATCTCTGGAAGATGAGCTCCTTCCACTGTTACAATCCCAGAACCCACCATGATGCCTGGTGGCCTGCTGATGCTCTATACATGTTTTTGACTGAATAAATGAATAAAGTCTTTTTGTTTTGCAACCTTAATCCCTGATGATTTTCACTCTGTGGATACAGGACTGGCATCAACCACACTCAAACACAGCAAAGGTCATGTAGGGTCCTTGGCTAACACTTCCTCTATTTGATGTACCTAGTTTTGGTTTTTTAAACACATTTCAGTTTAGGATGTGTGAATGAAATGATGAGCACAGTTCTAGGGATTGGGGAATTGTAGGCAGTGTCTAGTTGAAGAAATAGTGTCTGAAAGGTTGACTTCAGGGACTTATCCCATTTGCTTTTGGATTGTGAAGTTAGGTTTTTCTTTGAGAAAAGTGGTTGCTATGAAGGATCTTGTTCATATGAGAAAGAGAAGCCCCCACTTGTTGACTGTGTACCCTTGTCAGGAACTGCACTAAGCACTTAATTATAATACATAAATTAATCTAAACAGCATGACAACACCATAGGATGGTTATTGCTTTTATACTCCATATGCAGGAAAGGTAACTGAGCTTTAGAAAGATGGAGATAGACATAATTTGCTCAACATCTTAGAGCTAGAAAGTGATAAAACTGGGGCTTAAATTGAAACCTGATCATCTCTAAATCTTCTGCTTAATCTAAAATGTCTCTCTGCCGTCATCTTACTAACAGTAATGCACTGAGTAGGTTTGTAGTAAGGTGATACATTGGTCAGGGTAAGCTGACTGCTAAGCTAAAAAATAACCCCCATCCCTGACTTCAGGGATATAACACCATAATTATTTATTTCTCATTCATGACATGATCCCCAAAGGGCCTGTGTGCTCTCTCTCTCTCACTCTGTGTGTGTGTCTGTGTGAGTATATTCACTCTGCTCCATGCAGTCATTCAGAGATCCAGGCTCCTTCCTTCTAATGGCTCCCCATGCCTTAGGTCTTTGGAGTCCTATACTGAATTTTCTGCATATATCCAGCAGGTGGAGGAACTAAGAGAGAAAAGAACTGGAAGCACTGGGGAAGTTTTATAATCCAGGCCTAGAAATGGTGTGCATCACTTCTGATCACCCTCCTTTGGACAGCCCTTGTCACATGGCTGCCCCTACTACAAGGAAACTGGGAAATGTAGTCTATGTGCCCAGGAGGAAAAGAAGTATGCAATTTGGTGAACACAAAATTACCTCTGCCACAGAAGAGCATGGACAAAGATGTTCCAGAACTGAGTTGTGTAATTGGGTCTTAGTTTTCCATCAATTTTTTTTTAAAGGCAGAGTTGTGAGTCAGCCAGAGCAGAAGATAATTAAACAACGACTTATACTGTAGAATCTCACTTGATCAGGATTCTCTGTTCATGTACCATTTTTGTTAACATGATATTTTGGTTAAATGAGGGGTAACCAAGAAGTCTTTGGTTTCAAATCGTTTTGCTGAAAATCTTTGCAAGATGTGGTGTTGCACGTTCCTGCCTCAGCAGAATGTTTTTTCAGTGACTGAGGATCTCCCAGGGCTTCTGGGTTGCCATTCTGAATAAACATCAAGCCTCAAGATGCAGGCTGGAGTGTGTGAAGGGAAGAGGAGGCCACACTGAATCAGCAGTGATTGGAAAATGTCTTCTTCGATTTTTTTGATCCTAATTTTTGTTATTGTTTGTTTTTTTTAACTTCATTTTTTCTGATTACAGAAATCATTCATAATCGTAGAAATTCTGGAAAATATAGAAAAGCAAAAATTACAAAACAAAATAGCCTCTCACTTTACAACCTAGAACAGCCACGATTAACATTTTTGGTTACATTTCCTTTGTTCATCTTCATCCCTTTCTTCTCTTTTGGTACCATTGGTATATTTACGTAATTGAGTTAATATTGTAAATATAGCTTTATATCCTTTAGTTTGTCTTGTTATTAACTAGACAATGAGAATTTCTCTTTGTTATTAATACTGCTTTGAAAATATAATTTTAGACTCTTCATAATATTCCACCATGAATAACCATGGTTCTCTCAGCATTTTTTTTTTTTTTTGCAAATTGGGCTAATCTTTTTCTCCTTCAATATTATAAGTAGCAGTGCAATAGATATATTTGAACATAAACTTTTATTTGCTTCTCTAATTTTTTAAGGACACTTTTTCTGAAGCTATACAACCAGGACAATGAGCATAAATATTTTTATGTTTGCACCCTGACCAATATGAAAGGTTTTCATTGCATTCACTTGCCATGTAAAAAACTGAGTCTTTTCATTTGAGTTTATATTTCTTTGATTACTAGTAAGACTTTTTATGCTTATTAGCCACTGCATTTTCTATACCTAATCTATTCCTATCCTTTGCCTGCATTTTCCATAACAGTATTTTAAATTGATGTTTAGGGACTGTTTATTCGTTAAGGATAATATCTTTGTCATTCTTGTGGAAAATAGTTTCCCATTTGTTGCCACTGTTTTAAACTTACTGTTATCAGCCTATTAGCTTGCCATTTACCTTTTTTGCTCTACAATGAGTCGTAAAGGAACATGTTTCTGGTTAATTGAAAATTGTAATTAGTTGACTTCTGGTCAATTAACCAACAAAGATTTTTTTTTTGCTTTAACTCTGAGACATGTTGCAAAAGCAGATAAATTTGTGGACTGCAGGGTTGAACAAAGTTAAATAGGTTTCTTTATTGTAGGACTCACCAGAGCCTTTGATAGGCTAATATGCCTGTGAATCTCCAAGACAGGATATTCTACATTCTCACACTTACTTGACCAGAGAGCCTCCTTTTTGAGAAGTATCCTTAGAGAATATGCTTAGGCAGAACAGTCTTTGGAAAAGCGCTACCTTAACCCCAAACAATCATTCTAACTGTGTGTATTTCAGACACTGCAACAAGATGGTAGGGGAGATATTTTGTGGCATAAATAAATAATTAGGTAAGTATATTAACTGCTCACTCATTGTCAAGACCTTTTTTTTTTAACTTGTCATCTCATCTAAACTTCATAACAGCATTATGGGATGCCGTGTAACTACTGCCTAAGAGGTCTAGGATTGAATTCTGATTCCACTATAATCTGTGTGATCACAGGCAATGAACATAACCTCTCTGTGCCTTAGCTTCCCCATTTGTATCACTTGGATAATAATTTCACCTACCTTACAGAGTTGCAGTGAAGAAATACATTTATATGGAGAAATACATAAAATACATTTATGTGGAGAAATACATAAAAGAAATACATTTATATGACACTTAGGACAGTGTACTATATATACCATGTATTCAATTCATACTGGATGTTTTTATTCTCATATCATAGCTGAGTAAGCTGAGGCTCAGAGAGCTGAAATAACCTGAATAATATTGTACCAATAATAAGAGGGGAAGGCTGGCTTTGAACACAGATGGTCTGACTTTAGAATTTTGTTCTCTAACTTTATAATCATTTTTGCTGTTTGTCTGTGAAGAGCTTGGCATTCTGATATATCTTTCCATGCAGGCTATAAATAAAGACTGTGTCTTGTGCAGTGGGGCAGGGATGGGCTGGCTTCCTAGTAACATTCTTGCTCCATCCTCCATCGAGTGATATTGTTGAAGTAAGGCAGCTACCATGCCCAGGACTTAGGCCCCCTTGCAACTAACTGGTCGTGGCCATATGACTAATCTTACCAATTGAATGCATTACTCTGGGATAGAGTTTTATATAAAAGGATGTCCTCTTTTTTCTCTCTTTCTGCATTTGAGAAATGATGCAGATTACTAAGAAGCCCCCAGGCATGGTGGAATTACAAGACAGAAGGGTCTCCTTGGTCTCCAAATCACCACTAAGAAGAAAGATATTCTCTGATCAGGTTCACGTGCACTTGGTTAATAGGAAAGCAAAAACAACCCATTGAAATGCAAGAGTTTGTTTGTTACAGCAGCTATCATGAGATCCCCTTACTAGCATGACATTCATTTACTAGTGCAGTGACATCAGTGTAACAAAAGCATGCTTTACAGCTCTTTCTCAAAACTCTTCTGGGCAAACTCAGACACCCCAACTAGTTCTCTCGAAGTTATGGCCTAGTTGGATCATTCTATAATAGTCCTGGGTCAGACCCAAAACACAAATGCTGACAGGGCTGAGCTTGAGGTGGGAGGCTTGCTACCAAATGACCTTGCCTTTGAGAAACCTCTGGATAGAGAGAGAAAGGGAGTGGGGGAAGGACACTGGGACAGCAAGCATTTGAAGATGTTTCTGTTGCCTTTTGATCCCGTTGAGCACAGTTTGAATTTGTCATTTAATGTTTACTGCCAACGTAATAAAGAGTGTTAATAAGAGAAGGGACACCAAACAGCTGAGCATAAAAGCCAACACTGGCCATAAAGCTGCATTGACCATTAACGGTGTTTCCCTACTTGGGAGAAACACTTTTCCTGTACAAAAGATATAACTATATATCTTCCGATTTTATGGGCTGCAGATTACTCTAATTATCATAAAAAATTACTACTGCTAATAAAAATTCTATTATAAGTTACTTATAGTAATCTCTAGGGTACTACACTTAGCCGAGAAAAGGTTGTAATTACATTATACTGCAGGAAGAGTTTGTTTCTCAAAACTCCCGAAACATTGGCTGTGTCTTTTAACACCTTCACAGTTTTCCAGCCCCTTGTTCTTTCTCCCACCTCCTCCCTAGTTTTTGGTCAAAGGTCTCCTTGTTGTTTTCATTTTGCAGGATGTGGTTTGAGCCTAGAATAATGACCCATCTTGGACGCAAATGACGCAAATGAACTTTTAGAGCTACAAATATCTGGGTGGATTTCTCCTCCCCTGGGGCCCCCGGTATGTCAATGGAAGGATGTAAAAACAGGGAAGACTTGACAATCCCCGCCCAAAGGGAAATATGCTTTGCAAAATTGGTGGAAGCCACTGGGTGTTCATGCAAAACACAATAGTTAGTTTTTTGTTTGACAAGACAACAATTGGTATTTTCCCTTTTATAACTACTACTTTTTTTTTTTTTGAATTGTATCTGTGAGGGTTGATGACACTTCAATGACCTTAAAAACTCTTGCCAGTGATACCAATTCTAACTGGTGATTTTATTATCCTCCCCGCCCCCACTCCCTGCCTTTGAATTAAATATCAAAATAAGTCATTCTCTTGCCCTTCCCTGAATGATGAAGCAGTAAATAACCTCAAAGTCCAGGGGATGAAGCTAAAGTTGGGCCAGTGGTCATTCTCTTAAATAGGGCTTCCATTGCTTCTGCAAAGGGTGAATCAACATCTTAATGAATGGGCCTAGAAGATGAAATAGCCCATTTCAGTTGCTTTAAAATAAACAACTTATTTTGGCAATGACTTGTGGCACATTAATTGCTATCAGTGAGGGGGAAAGTATGTCTCAGAGCTTTTCTGGCTCATTTTTAAGAGACGCTTAGGAGCTTGGCTCTACAGGGAAACTCTGAGTGAGGATTCCTGTGGTCAGCTAGGGAGTAAAGGTGGGTGCAGGGGGCTTCTTAGGGCTCTCCAAATACTCCTTAGCCACCCCTGACCTCCTGGTAGGGGGCAGAGGGTAAGAATCATTACCCAGCTGGGTGCAGTGTCTCATGACTGTAATCCCAGCACTTTGGGAAGCCAAGGTGGTATCACAAGATCAGGAGTTCAAGACCAGCCTGGCCAACATGGTGAAACCCCATCTCTATTAAAAATACAAAAAAAAAAAAAAATTAGCCATGCATGGTGGCACATGCCTGTAATCCCAGCTACTCAGGAGGCTGAGGCAGGAGAATCGCTTGAAACCCAGGAGGCGGAGGTTGCAGTGAGCTGAGATTGCACCGTTGCACCCCAGCCTGGGCGACAGAGCGAGACTCTGTCTAAAAAAAAAAAAAAAGAAAGAAATCATTACCCATAGAGATTCATCCTAGATTAATTTGTTTCGATTTTCATAAATAGACTATAGAGGCTAATGGGGAGTTTGCTATTTCCTGCTTCTCCATACAATCTTGGGTGTTTTTCTAATTTGAGGAAAAAAGATATGTTTAGAAGAAAACTACATATGATCTCTATGTCTCTCCTCCCCTAGAATGGAGATCTCATGAGGGTAGGAATTTTGTGTTGTTTCTCAATGCATCTTGAATGACTACAATGGCACTGAAATGACATGTGTGTTTAGTAAATATTGTCAGATGAGTGAATAAATAAAGGAATTGTCAGGGACGATTGAAATAGACAAAGAAAGATGATTGGGTATCCTGTCTAGCACACTCCTCCGGGTAATTTGATTATGTAAGATTGTGGAATATCCATTGTTTTCCAGCTAGTTTACATGTCCACACCAACTTTATCTATTGATTCAAAATGCTAGTGGGTCAGATGTAGCTGCTTAGAGCTTTAAGTGCCAACCTCATAAGAACAGGGACAAAGAAAAAACGTCTTTGCCCATGAATATGGATACTCAACTTCATTTGGTCATGGAAGTGGTGTCTTGTGTTATTATTTATCTGATAACCAGCTCAAATCTATGGAAAAGGGATGGATCTTGGCCCTGGAAGCTCCTGGATTTAAGCTTCTGCCCTGCCATTCACTGGAAGAGAGCCAACCTTGGATGAGTACTCAGCTTCTTTTACAGATTTCTCATCTGTAAAATAGAACACATACACCTACTTCCTCGCACAGTGCCAAGCATGAATTAAGTCTCCAATAATTCTTGCTCTTCCTTCTCTATTTAAAAGCACTCTTCTTTCTTCCTGCTGTCATTATGCCTATGCTGTACCTCATCCCTGCCGAGATTCATGACTATCCCAAGCCACACCTTGCTGTTATTTGGCTCTTCAAATATGGAGGTATCTTCTATACAAATTCTATTTCTATTATCAGAGCTTAGTGTGACCAGGAGAAGGTACACAGCCTGAAGAGAGGCACAGAGGTTAACAACCTACTTCTGAAGCTAAAAACCCTGGGTCACTGCCCCAGGTTCTACACTTCCTACTTGAGTGCAACTAAGTCATGTATTTATAGAAGTCTCCATTTTGACATCTGCAAAATGGGAATTCCAAGAGAACCTTTTGTAATGGAAGTATATTTCATGGGCCTGGCACATAACCGTTGGTTAGTAAGTGGTAGCTGAAAGGAAAAATTAACACGATAAACAAATGTGCCTCAGAATTTGGAAATGGGAGAGCACCAGTGTCCTTTCCTCCTTTCTCATTCTCCACTCCTCATTTTTCCTTGGAAGTGAAAGGAATAAGATGTGAACTTGGCAAAGGAAGTGCTCTCAGTAGAGGCGTCCAGCTCCCTGGTGAGCTTCCCAGCACACATATTGGGAGCTGATTCAAGACCTGTCGGGAAGTGAGGCAGCTGATGAGGTGTGGTGCTATGAGATGTCATTTCTGACAGCTCTGCTTTGGAGTGAACTGAAAGCAATTTCTCCACTTTAAGCCAAGATAGTGCCTAACGAACCCCCTATTTTAGTTATCTATTGCTGTGTAACAAACCACCCCAAAACTTAGGGGTTTAAAAACAATGACCTTTTATTACTTGAGATTCTGTAGGCTAGCAATTTGGGCATGTCTTAATTCAGCAGGGATAGTTCATCTTTACTTCACATGGAGTTGGCTGAGGTGGATATTCTGGGCTGGAGATCCCAGGTTGCCTCATTCATGGGACGTTGGTGCTAGCTGTTACACAGGGCACCTTTGTTCTCCCCCATGTGACTTCTCTCTCCATGTGGTCTCCTAGCATTCGATAACCTAGACTGAGCTTCCTTTCATGGTGGCAAGAGTGTTCCAGAAGGAGAAACACAGGGTGCAAGACTTCTGAAAGCCTAACTTCAGAAGTTAAACAACGTTACTTCTGCCATATGGCAATGGTCACTGGAAGCCACAGGGCTTTCCAGATTCAAGGGAAGGGGAAAAGGGCTCCATCTCTTGATGGGAGCAATAGCTAACTCATATTACAAAAAGGCATTGAGGATGAGAAGGATTTTTGCAACTATCTTCAAAACCATCTACCAATGTCCTCCCTGTGGTCACAACAATCACATCTCTCTGGCATGCAAAATGCATTCTCTCCTCATGCACAAGTCATATGCTATTATAACATCAGGTAGAAGTCCAAGATATAGTCAGATAAATCAGGGCCAGATGCAGATGAAATTCCTCCAGAGAAATTCCTTAGAGAGCTGTAAAGTAAAAGTTTTCTGCACCTCTACACCCAACATACAAAGGTAAACATTGACAGAGTAACTGCAATAGATATTTCCTTTCAAAGAAGAGAAAAATGCAAAGCACACAGCACTCACTGGTCCATAGCAATTCTGAAATCCAGCTGGGCACATGCTTCCGAGCTCCATCCTCTGGGAGCATAGAATATTATTTAATCATGACCCAGTACTTTTCCCTAAAACAGGATCTCTAATTGTATTTTCTTCCCAGCTTTTGTATCAGCTCTCTGAGCTCTTGGCTGTGTCCTCTGAGGGCCTTCCTTCTTCATAAGAATTGGCTCATATTTGCAGTTAAGTACCTCTCCCAGCACGCTTACTGTCTATAAAAAGATAGGGGCCCAGAGACCACTTTTTACTTGGAATGTTTCGTGTCCCTTTTGATCCAAGCAGGTGGTACTTCCACCAATATAATTATCTTAAAATTTTTGTGGGTTATCCATGAATCTTAATGGTATTTATTTTATGTCCCCAAAGCTATGCTCATAGTTTTTTCTGAGACATGATTTAGGACAATGTTCTTACAATTTCCAATTTTGCAATGTTTAGTTTTATGAGGGTTTACTAGGTTTAAACAGCTTTAACTCTTTCTGAGTTCTTAACAAGGGTCTTATGGCTATGCCTTGATCTTATTTGTACCCTGGAGCCATTCCTTACTTTGAGAATTTTTTTTTTTTTTTTCAGCTGGAAAAACTCTTCTGGGCCTGCTATATTTTATGTAAATTCTTGAAAACGTATTAGTTCCTTCTTCAGCTCTCTTTTCCAATACTTTACCATAAACAGTTATAAGAAGCCAACTGGCACTTTTAACATCCTTCCTGGGGACCTTCTTAGTCAGATTCACACTATCTCAGTTATCTTTTGTTATGTAAACAAACCATTCCAAAACAGAGTCACTTAAAACAACCACCACCACCATTTACTCACTCATGATTCAGCAATCATGTTGGAGTCAGCTGGATAGCTCATCCCTATTCCACATGGTGTCATCTAGGGAGTTCATATGGAGCTGGAGGATCCAGCCTCAAGTAAGTCAAACTGACCATATTTTAAGAGAGCAAAAATGGAAGATATGGTCTACTTAAAACTTAGGCTCAGATTGGCACAACATCACCTCTGCTGCATTCCATTGGTCAAAGGAAGTCACAGGGCCATTCAAGGGGAGGGAAAATAGACTCCACTTCTTGTTAGGAAAAGCAGCATGCGCACACAAAAATCAGAGAACCTGTTTGCAGCCGTCCTTGGAGATGATCTACCATGCCTTCTTAAGCAGGCAGACTGCAGTTCGAGTAGGTATACCCTACATGTGCTGGGGAGACTGTACACGTTTTAGGCCCTTAGTAAATATCCTTACATGAATAAATAAAGGAGTTAATAAGTGACCATGTGAATGAATTAAGGAGATAAACAAATGAATGGATGAATGAATATATAAGTAATGAACGAGTGATCAGATAATTTTTTTTTTTTGAGACAGAATTTTGCTCTGTCACCCAGGCTGAAGTGTGGTGGCGTGATCTTGGCTCACTGCAGCCTCTACCTCCTGGGTTCAAGTGATTCTCCTGCCTCAGCCTCCAAAGTAGCTAGAATTACAGGTGAGTGCC
This sequence comes from Homo sapiens, assembly GCF_000001405.40. Lineage (NCBI taxonomy): Eukaryota > Metazoa > Chordata > Mammalia > Primates > Hominidae > Homo > Homo sapiens. Next base: position 54,527,806 of record NC_000016.10, read on the forward strand.
ACCATATCCTGCTAATTTTTGTATTTTTAGTAGAGACAGGGTTTCACCATGTTGGCCGGGCTGTTCTTGAACTTCTGGCCTCAAGTGATTCACCCACCTCAGTCTCCCAAAGTGCTGGGATTACAGGTGTGAGCCACCATAGCCAGCTGAATAAATTAATGGGTGAGTGAAGAGAAAGAATGAGTGAATAAACGGTGTGAAGAAGTGCCTCCCAAATAGAGTGGGAAACTCTTCCCTATTTGTGAAAAATATGAGGTGCAATATTTTCCCTAGAAACTAGGCACAATCATTCCAAGAGGCAAGGCCTCCTCCAATTCTCTTCACCTGGTCCCATTCTCTCATCTCAGAAAAGGGGAGGTCTTGGGTTTTCTGCCCTCATCTGAAATAGGCTCCATAGGTGAAATACCTCTCTAGCTCCCTAATTTGGCAAAGCTGACTCATGACAAGATCGTCATCAGGAATCTCAAACCCAGATACTGCAATAGCCAAGGAAATAATATAGATGCATGAAGTGGTCCATGTGGCCACCATGACAAACTGGAGATCAACTGTCCCTAATATTGCCATATGGACTAAAAACCCAGAGTCTTTCTAGAATTTCTCATTTACCAAGATAACTGGGAAGTCTAGGTTTTTATATGAAAACTCCCTATTTTCAAAGGTTGGCAAGAGTATTTTTCAGGATAGGCTAGCCATCCTGCTGCTATGCTTGAACAACAAAGAAGACCCAACTATAAGTGGCTTGAAACAATGAAAGTTTATTTTTTGTTCACACTTCGTGTTATCAGAGGCACTCTGGGGACTCAGCTCTGTGACCCTGTCACTCAGGGTCCTATGATGAAGATAATGTTCTCTCTCTCTCTCTGTTTTCCAAGGCAGAGAAGTGGAGACATGGTGAGTCATTCTCTGCCTCTTAAAGCATCTTCTTGAAGCAACAGATACTACCTTTGCTCACATTTCATTGGCCAAGGCACATCCTCCAGCCACTCCTAACTTTGTGGGGTCAGGGAACGGCGGCCTTACCATGTGCCAACAAGAATTGGGAGTTTCTCATGAGAAGAACTGATGACTACTGCAACAGCTAACACGCTTTCCAAAAAACATTGTTTGGACCAGAGCTGGTCAGTGACACCCCAGTCTCTGAGCCCGTGTCAGGAGGGTGAAATGTGTATCAGGGCCTTCCCTCTCCACCACCTTCTCTGGCTCCTGTCTCCTTTCCATCGTCCCCAAGCTCTACAGGTCAGGACACTTCAACTGGAAGCATCTACAAAGTAGTTCAGGGTCTCTCAACCACAACACTATATGGACATTTTAAGATGGATAATTATTTGTTGTCCTGTGCATTGCAGAAGGTTTTGCAGCATCCCTGGCCTCTATCTACCCTTTCTGATGCTGATGACTCAACGTGACAATCTAACAATGACTCCAAGCTTTGCCAGATGTCCTCTGCGGGGGGTGGGGGCAAAATCACCCCTGGTGGAGACCCACTGGGGTAGCAGAAAGACCACTGGGTTTCAAGAATTTAGGCAGGTCTAGAGCCTGACCTTGCCAGACTCTATGATCCCACAACAAAATGCTTAACAAATCTCCATTGTCTCATCTGTAAAATGGGAGTAACTATTAGTCTTTCCTGATTGGTAACATTTTTGAGAGGCTAGAATGAGATTTTGAACGGGAAGAGCCAGTGTAGCCTGTCCTATTAGGGTTTAGAGATCTGCTTATTATGGTCTCATCCAGGCAGCCTTTCATGTCCAAGGCCTTTCAGACAAAAATTGTGTTCTTAGGCCCTGTCAAATATCCATGGTTATTGATAATATTTGTGATCATAGTCATCACAGTAGCTGTGTATTGGGTGCTTTACACATGCCTGACACCACATGTCAATTTATATTCACTGTCTTGAGTGATGTTCACAAGAGCCCTGAAAGGGAAGGATTACTGTCCCTGTTTTGTCACCGTAAAAGGTGACAAAACGGGGCTTCAGAGAGGTAAAGAGATTTGCCTAAGCCAGGTAGCAAGTGGTAGAGCAAGCCAGATATGCTACCTCTTCTGGAGAGCATCTGTCTCTACCTAGTAAGAGTGTCAAGAGAACAGAGCTGCCTTAACAGATGGGGTGATGAAGTGGAAGGACGTGTTGAAGGTTCTGGGAAGTCTGCTTAGCCCTCAACGTGCAGGCCTAAACCTCCGTAGCCCAAACCTACATCGTAATTATGATTATACCAACAACAGCTTCCATCGATTGGGCATTACCTATGTGCTAGGAACGCTGCTAAGAACCCTCTGTGAATGTTCTCATTCAATCCTCATGAGAAGCCTAGGAGGCTAGTACTACTATTGTCCCATTTTACAGATGAGAACCCGGAAGCCCACAGGTGGGAAACAACTTGCCCAAAGTCAGAATAAGTGAGTGGTGGAGCCAGAATTCCAAGCTTGGTCTGTGACTCCACGTCCATCCTTAGCCTTCACACCATACAATTGCCCTGTGCTGCTCTTCTGCAGAAGTCAGAGCCCTAGGGATCTCATATGATACAGTCCCTGGTCTGCCTTCCTTCCCAGCACCCAACAATGGCAGATTCCCAGATGATTCATTTGGGGTTGCAATGACACCAGTTACAACTGCAGCAGGAAAATCCCCCAACCCTTCCCTCCCAGCACACAATCACACTTTGGATTCTCCTGACGTGGTATTCCTTGCCCTGCGAGCTCCATTCCGGCCCAGGAGGTAGTTATCAAGCATATAAACCAGGTGGTGGATAAAATTCCAGTGCTCATTCACTGAAAATTAATGGCAGCAGGCACTTACCCCACCCTGGCTGTCCGCTTCTCCTGGGTCATTGCCACTTAGCCCAGCCTAAGCCCTACCTACCCAGACAGGACTCACACTGCCACCGAGAAAAAAAAATATAATTGTATGACGCCTGTTAGGAAGGAAGGAACTGTGGGACTGTGCGGCTGCTTGGGCGATGAATAGGTTCTCTCGGCACACAAATAAACAATTTACAGTTCTGAAATCCTGTGTTTGATTTTCACACCTGCTCTCCCTCTCAAGATTGGCACTGAAGGCAGCCAACCTTGCCCTTGGAGCAGCGGTTGAAACTTGAAGTCAGCCTTTCCTCATCGACTCCTCCCCCTCCCCTTAGCTGTAGTTTTGTGTTGTTATTGGAGGGAGAGATAGAAGAGTGTGTTATAACTTATAGAGTAAATGTTGTTTGAAAAGGGAGACTTCCATTCCCTGACCCAACAAATCTCTGTTGAGGACCTACTGTGCACCAAACAAATCATCAGTGGATTCACAGGGTGACAGCACTTTGGTGTGGTGGAATGTCTAGTTGGACATGTATGGCAACCTAGTATAATGGGTGACTGGGATAAGAGACCATCCTAGTTAAAAACAGCGCTCTTCCAAATAACAGGTTCCCAGATGACATTCATGCTGATGATTTTTGTTTTTTTTTTAATTCATTACTTTCAAAGTAATATGAAAGAAAAAGTTTTCTGTTGACCAAGTCTAGGAGGTATAGTGGGCGTCCATCAGGCTTAGAGTTTGACCTTGAACAAGTGATTGTCCATCAGTTTTCCCCATCTGTATAATGGGAGGAGTAGGTCAGTATTGTTGTTATTTTTGTCCTTAAAGGAGAACCTTCCCTCACTTTTGTTTTTGCAAATGAAATTGTAGCAGGAAATCCAATATCTAAGCAGATTGAAAGGAGCAGCTTGGAGATGGGGGCTGGGATCCCAGCACTTGAGGTCTCGTTCATTTCTGAGAATCTTAGGGGAAGTTCAGAGCTTTGTGGAGCGTTGTGTGATAACCCCTGGAATAGACGATTTCTGAGTTTTCTTCCAGCCCTGATTTGAAGAGGTGAGAAGTAAAGGGGCAAATAAGTGTTTGAGATCAACTATTTGTACTGTGGAAAATGGCATGAAGTTTGCCTGTTGCCATTTCTTCTCTGTTCAAAGGGGCTCAGGTAAAAGGAGGGCTTTACTTGCTCCCAGCATCCAAAGAAGTTGGTGAAGCCCAGCTTGATGGAACAATGAAACCACAGGAGAAACAGAAATACATGTGGGCCCCCGAGACTTTCTCATGCTATCCCTTGTCTTGGCTTCTGCTTGGTGGATCCATTTTCTTTCTTTTTATGCCTCCTTCTACACTTGGTGGAAAAATGGCCACTGACAGGTCTGGGCCTCTCATCCCATCACCGGACACAGTTAGCTTTCCTTTCATGCTTCCAATACGCATATCCCAAGCAATGTCTCTGATAGGTCTAGCTTGGGTCAGGTGCCCACTTGTAGACCAAGCAACTATAACCAATGGGGCAAGGTCACATCAAAAAATGACTCCCTTGTGTGGTAAGGGAAGCCTTTCCTGGAGGGATTAGAGGGATAATGAGGCATGCAAAAGAATTAGATGTTCATGGGCCTTGTGGGGAATTTTGAAACACTAGTGCACACAGATTCTCAACCTTTGATCTACACAAAAACAGCTGGGGAGGGATGGGGAGTAGGGTGGTTAAGATCTGAACTCTTGGGCCACAATCCCAGAGGGGTTTGCTTTGGTAGGTCTGTTGAGGGCCCAGGAATCTTTCCTTTTAATATGCTCAGGGCATTCAAATTTCACTGATTCTCACACTAAGACTTGAGAAAGTCTTAGTGGAAAAGTGGAAAAATCTGAGCTTTTCTTGTGCTGAAAAAAAGGTGTTTATTCCTCAGCTCATCTTTATCCTCAGGAAACAGTCAGAAATGAGGACAAGCTAGAGCCAGTATCCAGAAAGCCACATCTGGACACCTGTAGCCCTTATGTCACTACACATCCACCTCAAATCTCTGGAAGCTCCAGAACATGCTGACGAGGAGGTTGGTGACATTCAAGGAGGAAAGGGAGGGGAGTTTGATGGCAATGGAGTCCTCGGCCTACAATGTGTGCACTTGAAAAGGCCCTGAAACACAGCCCCATGAACCAATGACATTGGCCCAGGTGTTTGTGACCAAAGAGTCAAGGGGTGGACTGTTTTTAGAGAATGAGACCAGACAGCCTATTGTGTGTCCAGTAGTCAGTGAGCAAAGATGGGTCTTCAGTGATGAATGTTGATGGGGTTAAGTGGGGGCATAGGAACTGGATCTATAGAGCATGGGTTCATAGGAATGGCCTGTGATAGCTTTATGTAGTTTTTGCTGGTTTATAAGGAGACTGAGAGACTTTGTAGCTGGCTCTCTTACTGCTCAGCATGGAGCTGTTGAAGCCAGTCTACATTCACATCAGGGGCTAGGTAGGGAAACAGGACACATATCAGGTCGTTCAATTAGGGGAATTTAATATAGTGAACCACATGTGTTGGAGAAAGGGTGGCAATCTGGGTATTAGCATGAGCAAGAAGTTTCTACTACTTTTGGAGCAGGAAGTGATGTTCAAGCCCAGGAGCTGGGGCCATGAAGCAGGAGCTGGAGCCAGCAAGGAGGTGCTACCCAGCGGGAACTGGAACCACAGTGGGAGCTGCTCAGCTGGAGCTGGGAGCATGGAAGGAAAGACTGCCCTAGAGGAGTTTGAGCCAGGTTGGAGGTGTAGCATCTGCCAGAGACACCGCCTGGGGCGGAGAAAGGAGAGAGATGCTCTGGCTTCTTTCTTTCTGTTGCTCTCCAATTCCAGTGCCTTCCATTGGCCAGACATTACTGGAAATGATCTGACACAGACTGACACTGGTCAGCCCATGCCATAGAGCAGGGGAAGGATGGGATGAATGAGGAATGAAGATGAGGGTGAACAGGCAGTTGACCTCCACATTGGGTCCTCCCTAATTTTATGAAACTTTTCTACCTTAGTATGAGTATAGGATGCTGAGATTCTATTGGCTTTAAAACATATTTAGGCTGGGCGTGTTGGCTCACAACTGTAATCCCAGCACTTTGGGAGGATCACCTGAGATCAGGAGTTCGAGACCAGCATGACCAACACGGCAAAACTCCACCTATACTAAAAACACAAAAATTAGCTGGGTGTGGTGGCGCATGCCTGTAATCCCAGCTACTTTGGAGGCTGAGGCTGGAGAATTGCTTGCTCCGGGAGGCAGAGGCTGCAGTGAGCTGAGATGGCGCCACTGCACTCCAGCCTGGGCAACAAGAGCAAAACTCCATCTCAACAAGCAAACAAACAAAATATTTAAAAATTTAAAAAAATATATGTATTTTTTAAAAAAAAAATTACAAAATTACTTTTTTTAAAATTTAATTTTTAAAAAAATATTAAAAATTTTTAATTTTTAAAAAATTAAAAATATAGTATATATACAATATTTAATTTTTTTAAATTAAAAAATATAGTATATATATAATTATATATATACATATATATGTAATTTTTTAAAAAATTAAAAATTATATATATATGTATACAGGTTACTTGCGACTCTCCTTGCTCAACTGTTGTCACAAATCCCTCTGCAATTTGTGATTCAATTTGCTTGACTCATTTGCTAAAGAAAGATTATTTCCATCATCTTGGTTTACTTTGCAGCTGCTTCATCCCAAACCCAAATTTGTATTGAAAAGACTTCCAGCTCTAAAGCAGAGGAGAGGTTGGCTCTTATGCATGGGCCATAGGCTGCCCTGGTCAGGAGCTTGTCTTTTGCTTCCTCTCTTTGAAGAAAAAAATAGGAAAAATATTTCAATTCCCCCTGTTTTTTGCCCCCGACTCCCCTTTTAAGATTTCAGCCTCACAATACTCAAGATATTTCCTGCCCCTCTGTTCTGCTCTATTACTTTTTCTTTAGGACTTACATCTATTTTATTTACAAATATTTCACTTAGTTATTTTCTGCCTTCTCAACTAGAATATACTATATGAGTTCCTTAAGGGCACAAACTTTTGACTTTCATTTTCCATTGCTGTCTCCCCAACACCTAGAAAAGTGTTTGGTATGCTATGGTACATACCAGGCACTTAACAAATAATTGTCAAATCAGTAAATAAATGAATGGAGAGAACTCTGGGCCATTGAATCCTAGTTGAGGATTACTGTGTTAGTCAATAGTTTTCTATTAGCAAACATGAGGTTCTAGGCCAACATCTGTGCTCAAAGACGAAGCTGATTGGTTGTGAATGTGAGTGATGGCCTGACAAGGTGCTGAATCTTTTTCTTCTAAGTTCATGTTGCCTAATCCTCAGTTACTTGAGATGAGATGTAGACATTTTTGGTGGTGCCGTGATATTATTCTCCACAATTATCCTGCTCAGATTCACATAATGTCTATCTCCCGAACATAAAATTCCTCAGCGATGGGAGGCTCTACAGTGATACTCATTCTCTTCTGAAAGGTCATGCATTTTATTCAGTAGATTAACTTTTTATCTCTTAATGATGTTAAGGAAAGGTCAAAGCATCTAACAGATGGGAGATGGAAAGCTTCTGGTGATGGAGATCAATGTTTCGAACATCAATCTAACTCCAGAAACTTCTTAATGATTATGGGTGGAGTTGGAGTTCATGGGACACTGCAACTAATGTGATAGCTTATTATGATAGTAAAAACAAAACTTGTGCAAAGCACTGTGTTATATCTGTCTCGAAGAAGGCTCTTGGCCTTCCTTCTGAAATCAGTGACCTCCATGGGCAGTCTATGCTTGTGGGATGATATTTATAAGACCCGATGGCTCCTACTAGGAAGAGAAGAGTTTCCATCCCTTGTTAGCAGGTAGTCAACTCTTTTGTGACAACTCTGATGTACATGATGGTTTTCTTTCCCCACACTCAGGAACAGAGGTACTCTGCTTACAAAAGGAGCTGAAGTGAGGCAGGGGGTTCCAACCTGAGGTTTCTGCTACCCACAGAGACAACCCACCCTCCCCAGGTAGGGGAAGGGAGGTACCAGGGAGCGTAGGTGCCCAGAGGGGTGAGGGTGAGGACCTCAGGGCTTCCATTCATTTATTTGATTATTTTCTTAATATCTTTCTCCCTCATTGGACTATGTAGTCCATGAGAACAGGGATTATGTCTGATATAGGGCCAGATATGTGTAAGGAGCTTAGTAAATTGTTCTTAAATGAATAAATGGACAAAGAAATAAATAAAGATCTCAATGCCAGAACTGTATTTCTCCAGCACCCATTCAGCCTTTGTCTAAGGTTAAGCCTTTGATTGCACTGAACGGCCTTGTGCGTGATCAGAGAGGCCTTCCAACCCTGTGTCCCCGCAATTCCATCAGCATCCTGTGTTTTCATATTTATGTGTCTTCCAGACAACTGGCCTTTAGTTCCTTGTGCTTCTTCTTTTCTTTTTTACCTTTTAGAAACAAAATCTTGCTCTGTCACCCAGGCCTCAGTGCAGTGGCACAATCATAGCTCACTGCAGCCTCAAACTCCTGGGCTCAAGCGATCCTCTTGCCTCAGCATCCCAAAGTGCTGGGATTACAGGCACGAGCCACCGCACCTGGCATCCCTGTGGTTCTTCTAACACCTCTATAAGAAATTGGCATGACACTGGCGCTAAGAGGAAATATTCGTCGAGACAGTCTAGGACCAGTGGAAATGTGATCTCCCACCCCCACTACCTGGGTCCCCAGCCCAGAGCTGTCTATTCTCTGGTGAAACGACCTCTCTGCCAGGAACAAGGACCAGCTCCTGGGTCCTAAAATGGACAGGAGGAAAATTCAGGTTAGAGGCTTGCGATCTGCTTTGAGCATTAAAATGAGGCTTTATGTGGATAACTTCAGAAACGGGAGGCTCAGAAAATGACTGAAGATGGATATTAGAGATGAAACAGATGGGTGCACAATGTCTCCATCAGTGGAAAATGTAGGGCAGCTGTCAGATGTGCGCTCCACAACTGACTGGCTTTTCAGAGAGAGCTGGGCCTCAGCCAGCCCAGTGACCCCTCAGAAACAGCAGGGGCTGTGGAGGGATGCAAGACCCCGAAGACCACGACTCCCCTCTCCCAATCACATTGTGAGTGCTTCTAAGACTGGGGCTCTAACTGAGACACTAGATTCTATGTAAATGTTAAATGGATGAATGAATGAGTCTTATAGGCCATTTCCACCCTGCCAAACCCCAAACAAGGATCCAAGGTAGAATAGGATAGATCCAATATTAGCACCTGCCTACCAATGTTGGCTTTCTGGTTTCTAAGGGGTTAACATTGTTCATAGGAGGTACCTGTCAACATACCACTCTCCTGTCCATCCCTTCACTATGCAGGTGGGGAAGGGGTCTGTGAGCTGTCTGCTTCCAGTAAGCTGAAGCCCTCAGCCTGATTCCACCCTTCCTGACTAAGTGATGTTGGTCAAGTGATTTAACCACTCAGAGTCTCAGTTTTCTCATCTGTAAAATGGGAGAATAATAATACTCAACTTGTGAGATTGTTGCAAGGATTAAGTGAACCATTTCAGCTAAAGCATTAGCATCATCATCATCATCATCATCTGAGGGTATAGAAACAAGGCAGGCAGGCAGCTGAAATTGGCAGGATGCCGAGAGAAGGATAAGAGTGAAGATAGAACAAGATAGGGGGTTGAGGGCTTCGGTTTTGCATCCAAGACACAGAAAAACTAATAAGATCCAGTCTCTGCACGCTGTGGAAACAGAGATGGCACAGTCCTTCCTGAGAGGTGCTTCTTGGGCTCCTGGGAAGTCAGTGGTGACAAAACAAAGTTGCAGCAGGAGTGCAATTCCCAAGAAACCACTCCTGCTCCCAGCAGTTTTTCCTGGGAGAGGAAGGTATTGCCCTGGATGCAGTTTTGATCCTTGGAAAACCCACAGTGAGATTTAGTAGTTTTTTTTTTTTTTTTTTTTTTTTGAGACAGAGTCTCGCTCTGTCACCCAGGCTGCAGTGCAGTGGCTTGATCTCGGCTCACTGCAAGCTCCACCTCCCGGGTTCACGCCATTCTCCTGCCTCAGCCTCCTGAGTAGCTGGGACTGCTAAATTAGCCGCCACCATGCCCGGCTAATTTTTTTTTGTATTTTTGTAGAGACGGGGTTTTACTGTATTAGCCAGGATGGTCTCGATCTCCTGACCTCGTGATCCACCCACCTCGGCCTCCCAAAGTGCTGGGATTACAGGCGTGAGCCACCGTGCCCGGCCGAGACTTAGTAGTTTTCCAAGTCTCCTACTAGCATATCTACAGTCTGGCCTAACATCTCAGAAAGCAGCTGCTTCTGGAACAATTGCTTAGAGTTACTGGTTTTCTGTCCTTACCTGAGCTTAGAGCATTTCCTCAAGTCTTTTGTTACTTAGCTCTTAATAAAGGAATGTCCTCTTCCAGCTGAGAGAACATTTGCTTTGTAGACATCCAGCTCAGGTTGGCTGTTCTGCCGTGGTTTCTCGAAAACATTATCAGTCCTTCACCTGGAAGAAGCAAACTGTCTATACGTACTGTCACTTTTAACCAGGGAAATCCAAGATGCGGCTGTGGATGCTTCAGAAATGACTTCCAGAGAATATTCTTTGCATGATGTTTTGGAAATAATATTCCAGAAAATAGTGGCAACTTCCTGGGAGAGGACATAGATAGGAAACCTTGGCCTCTGGGACATAACCCTTCTCTCCGAAGGCTGTAATCTCAGGGACTCTTGGTTTGTGGATGTTTCAGATTCTTCTGATCTGATTTTTTCTACCCTGCAGGGGACAGCATTGGGCAAAGAACTGCGGAATTCACATGATAAAAGAAAAAACATTTGCTTCCAATTATCCAAATTATTGTTTGCTAATTGAAGTACAAAAGGGGTATTTTTTTCTCCTCTGGTTGGTATAAGCAGCCCTTCCCTTAAATCTCTTTGATTGAACAAAAATGCTTTTGGAGTGTTTACTTTAATTCCATACATCATTTTCCTGATGAGTAGTTGTTCAGTAATGCCCTGTGCACGGAGGCAAGCTTCAACCAGAGAGCAGTTTGTCATCAAAGCTGCAGAAACTGATATATATATATATTACATATGCACCATTGTGTGTCTGTCACTCTGCCTGGATTTTTTTTTTTTTTTTGGCTTGGATATCAGTTTTGGGGACAAAAATTTATCTGCCGCTATCCTATTACCATATATTCCTTCTTATATAGGTGAACATTGCCTTAGGTCAAGTTTTCTGGAAGTAGACTCTTAGATGGAGATGTGCAGGAGAGTGTGCTCTCAGAAACACCACCTGTTGAGAGTTGTGGAATGCATGGGGGGAGCTGGGTAATATCCCAGTACCTATGTCCCCCAGGGCATCGAATGTTGCAGTTGCAACAGAGGCCACATTTAATGTGATGGGGGACATAGGTACTGGGATAATCTTTCAGAGTTGTCCCAAATTGAGACAATGAGGCTGAGCTTTTGTGCCCCAATCCTGACCAGTCTTTGGAAATGAGCTACCAGAAAAGAAATGGAACCTTGGGCGTGGTAGCTCCTTCATACCTAGGGAGGTAAGCAGCTGTGAACTTTCAGCAGCCATCACTTCAGAGAAGGATGGGGAGTGGGAGTTGGAGAGAGGGGAATGAGTATCCCAGTCCTAAGGGGGATTTCAGACAGTCTACCACGACACCCACCACGCCCACATCTAAGCAAGTGTGCTTTACATGGAAAATATAGATTGACATATGTTATTTCTGAAGATGCACATGAAAAGCCGCTGGAAACCTTTCTCAGCTCCAGCTGTTCAGATGTTGTGGTCCTCAAACTCTTTTTCAAATAGAGCTTTGCAAAGTCGATGGCATTTGCTTATTCTGGGCAGATGCAACAAAGTTATCTCTGAACTTCTGCCAGCGATCAAAGGAATCGATGATGTAGAACAGTTCCACGGGCCATCTCCTTCCTGCCCATCATCTATCATCCCAACCCTCAACCTTTTTTCTGAGTGATGATTGTACCCTAAACACATAAAATTAATCACCACTCCAGGCCAGCCAGGTGTCTTGCCTCCAGAAATTATCTCACTGCAGCAAAACAACAGCTCGGATCTGATAATGTCTCATAATTTCATTTAAAGAGCACCGTGGAGTCATATGGGAGCCACTGACAGGTTTGCAAAGTTCTGAGAAGCAAAGAGCTAGAGCTCGCTTCGTGCAAAGATCAAGTGGCAATTGTTTCAGGTAAAGCCCTGTTTCAGGTTTAAAAAAAAGGCTCACCTTGACTTAAAGCAGTACTAATTAAATCACCAGCTTCCAACAAAAGAGAATCCTTGTAGGGCAGAATCAGGTGCTCACCGAGAAGAATAGCTCTGATTTTTTCTGGAAACTTTACGGTGATGGTTTTGGAGAACTCAGGCACAGGCTAGGGAGAACCCCTTAAACTCCACACTTAGCAGCAGATCATTACATGATTCAATGAAGCTCTGATTTTGAAATTCCATATGACAAGCCCTGCTTAACTTAACAGGGGCCGATAGTGGCCTTCTCTTGTACCCTGTATGTATATTTTAACTATGCGGCCCTCTGGCAATGTCCTGTACCTTTCAATCAATCAGAAAGCCCCATTTGTCAGTTCCATGTGGAGTTCAGCGCTTCTGAGCATTTGGCAGAGAGAAAACAATCACGGAGCTAGATATAAAAATGATTGTCTTAATCTAATCATGTGGCATTTCCAATATCTAAATCCAGGATGGAAGCACATTCTTGCAATACACAGAATGATAGATCCACAAACAACAGGCGGGTTTTTACTGAGGAGCTTGGCCTCCGTTTTAGATTAGCGGCAAATCCTTATAACTTGGTTCTAATTGAGAGCTTAGCTGTTGCTATTAAATTCCTTTTCAGAAACAATACTGCCTACACGATTACCCTTACTGAGAACATTCTCCCGTTCTATCGGAAACTATCCAAATGACTGAGAATTAAGGCAAACACTTTATAAAGTAACATTCCCCAAAGACAGGTTGGAATGTTTGATTAAGAGAAGCCTCAGATAGAGTCTGTGAATAAAATAAAGCCGTTCTAAGTGTCTCAGGGCTTTGCCCTGCGTAAGTCTGCATTACAATTCCACTCCACCTTCACTCTCGGAGCCTAGTAAATATGTTCTTGCGACATTCAATTCCGAAGAGAAGGAAACTGAGTCTTAGGGAAGTGATCCGCACGCCTCTTCAAGCTCTATCATCTTATCTTTTTAAAATTTTTCAGAAAATCCAGACCTGCACACACAGCCAGTGGGTCCTGGGACAGCTTGTGCTGCATCCTGGCTGGCCTCGGTCCTTCTAATGCAGAATCCGCCCAGGAGAAAGGAACAGGTCTGTCCAGCCTCTGAGCAAACAGTAACCCAGCCTCCCAGCTGGTTAGTACGCTAGCAGCAAACAGCACCTACGATAAACAGGTGCCCTTTAAATAGGCCAGTACGGCAGGCAGCTGGATTACTGCAACTGAGGCAAAAGAAGCAACTCAGGAGACAGATCTGATAGAACAAGCAAGAGGGAAGAAAGTTCATATTATAGATACTCCTAGTTGAAAAGGTCCAACAAGTCGCCCTGTCGTCCTGAACCTCTACAGATGGCTCCTGGTGATGGCTGCGTGATAAATTGTGCATGGTGAGGTCACCAGTCCAGATTTATTTGACTGTATGTAAATATGGGACTGTAGCGTTCGGCTGCTGGCCTCGCTCAGGGCAGTAATGACTATATATTTAGCAAGAAAAAAAATGAAATGAAATAAAATCCATTCTAAATTCAAATCATCCTAAATTCCCAAATCAACATTCAGGGAAAAGAATCAATATTAGTTGTCTCAATATTCCATGATATAGTTTGTCATTTGACAATGGTCTCTGGCTTAAAGGAACCAAACATAAGCATTCGTGTGTGTTCTCAATTCAGGATTAGTGAGTGTTAACATGAGGAGTAATTTCACAGGGTTGAGCCATTCTCTCCTGGAACCAAAAATCACCAAAGGATGATGAATGCAACTCAATCCACAAGATTTTCAGTCATATGAAATTTTAATATGAATTTTCTGCCAGTGTTAAATGAAGAGACAGCAAGTTGAATAATGGTAGAATGCAATATGCTAGCAGTCCATTTTGTCTTAATTACAGAACTCTATGAAATGCGTTATTTTAAATATCCCGCAATGATTCTCTTAAGAACACTGGCATGGAGTGCGAGCCGTTTTCAGACCTTAACCATAAACATAGCTGCGAATGTTTCCTTGCTCTTTTATTTCTTCCACAAAAGAATTGTTTCTCTATCTGCTTGTTAATATTCTCACGTATGGGAGGCTCAATGAACTCAAAAATCCAGATAACTGAGTGTAGTACAAATTAGCAAATACGGGAAATGGCCGATGGAAATAGCACACATACTTCTCCCAATAAGTTTATATGCATCCTCTCATTGGGAAATGAATCTGTAGAAAGTCTGCCTGTGTCTACTCAGCCTGCTGAGTCCAGGGTAAGTTTGGATTTGAGTCCTCTCTTAGAGGATACCTATGGCATTTTGATTTATCCACAGGACCATTCAATCTTAAATGGAACACACTTAAAATAATAGAAAAACACAGTTAAGTTGGAATAATGAAAGTTGAGGACGTCAGGGAGATGAAATAAAGTTTACGAAGATATGCCCTATCATAAAAAGTTCACCCTCTCTGTAATGAAGCGTAGGAATATCAATTGACTGAAGTGACAGCTAGCTTTCAGAATATTCATGAAAAACGCAGCCTCCTCTCATAGATGTATTAAAGTATTACTTACCCCCTTTTGGGAAAGCCATGTCACCAATTCCAGGAGTGAATAGTGATGCATAAAATTGAAGGAGAAAATGTGGAGAAAAATAAGCACACATCAGAAGCAGGGTCAAGAACCTAATTTCACAGTGACACACTCGTAATTTGGCTTTGAAAATTTTTGTCAATTCTAAATTCATTTGAAAAAGCATAGCTCAGAAATGCCGGTGTCTGAATATGAGATATGCCAGTGTCTGAATATGAGATTCCAATATTTATAGTACAGTTTACAAATACATTACCCCTGTCACAGTGAAATAAGTCACATACTTACATGCTGAGTGGAGTCAGTCCAAAGGTGTAGGCATCAGGGAAAAAGATAAGGAGACAAGTAATTAGTACATTAATCTTTTTTATTATATCATTTTTCAGACATATATGATCGTAATGTAAATTAGAAATAAAGGAGGGTTCATGGAAAATAGAATTAATTTCGAGGAGGTCAATCACTCTACAGTAACTGCATTACAAGCATGGTGTAATTTACGGCAACATTTGTCCATTTTCCTGCGTGTGGCTGATTACGATGCTCTGCTCTTTGCTATCAGTTGAAAGTCAGCTTGTGCGATAACATTCTGCGTCCTAATGAAATTCATTTGCAGTACAAAAATTTGAGTGAATCCAACAAGGGCTGTTACAGGCCTTAATGGCATTCTATGGATTATTGATTTTTGATTTAGTTTCTGCTCAAGAGAAGCCCATTTTAACAGCACCATTACCTCCATAACGATTAGAGACAAAAAGTTAATTATGTAATTATAAAGCCAATAACAGACTTGTCTGGTTTACTTTGCTTTAGTCAGTTTAAACATTATCTCTCGTGTGCACATCATAACAGGCGGAGTGTGAGAAGAGAGATTAACGCCATGAAAGCAGATGTGAAATTTAATTCTCCAGGCCATCGCTGTCTGGGAAACCATTAAGTAATCACAGCATTCTCCCTCTATTAAATTCACGGCTGCCACTTCACACACAAAAGGTGGGAAAAGGTGCAGTGAGCCTTCCAGTCCTATTGGAGTGTAACACAGACCCACCCTGAGGCGCTGAGGGAGAAAACCCTGCTCAATAGGATGCCTCTGTCTATTTGAAAATGAAAAGCTTGGGAAAAATTAAGCGTATGATGTCGTTCCTAAGATAAACCAAGGGACTGTTTTCACCTTGAAAAGGAGCTAGAGCTACTGAAGGTTGGCGGGTTTGGAAATCAGAAGTCAGCCCTGGCGAAGGTCACTAGAACTTTCTAATGCCATGCCTCGTCTTGTGCCGGCTTGTAAGTGATGTTCTGAAACATAAACATTTTAATAACCATCATCCTTCCAAGAGCTTCCAAATGGACAGCCTCAAATGAAATCTCACACCTTGGTTAGCAGTGGAAGGTTGCCGCGCTCAATATTATTTGTCTTAGCATGTGTGTGTGTGTGTGTGTGTGTGTGCGTGTGTGTGTGTGTTTCTTCTCCCTCCTCTTAAGATCTTATCAAAATCATAGTTATAAACAACTACCCCTAGCTGAGAGTCTATATTTCTTCATAGGGTCTCATGACCTCATTTGGAGAATGCCTTTCTCCCGCCAAAAATCCACTTTAAAAATCTGTAGTAGGAATATTTTTTTTTTTTTTTTTTTTTTTTTTTGAGACGGAGTCTCGCTCTGTCGCCCAGGCTGGAGTGCAGTGGCGGGATCTCGGCTCACTGCAAGCTCCGCCTCCTGGGTTCACGCCATTCTCCTGCCTCAGCCTCCCAAGTAGCTGGGACTACAGGCGCCCGCCACTACGCCCGGCTAATTTTTTGTATTTTTAGTAGAGACGGGGTTTCACCGTTTTAGCCGGGATGGTCTCGATCTCCTGACCTCGTGATCCGCCCGCCTCGGCCTCCCAAAGTGCTGGGATTACAGGCATGAGCCACCGCGCCCGGCCTAAAAATCTGTAGTAGGAATATTTTATGCATCGGCTCGTTTCCAGAGAGAAGGGAGCATCCGAGGAAGATTCACTGTGGGTTATAATAGGAACCTAAAAATAGAGCTATGTTGAATGTAGCGATCATAACATGTTGCTAATAAGACTCTTGAGGTTAACAGCTCAGGTAAGCATGTAAGTTCCTGGGAACTCTTAGCGATGAAAATGATGTGGAGTGGGGAAGAGAGTAGAGGAACCGAGACACATTAAAGACACTGCGCATTCATTTGAGAATGCTGATTTCATGAAGGTTTAAACCAACTGAGTGTCCCTGGGTGCAGACATTAAAACTGCCCAGGGATCAACCTAGGAGTAAGGATCTGTCATCACTCACCAACTTAGTCCTGACACCATGGCCAGCTTTGGTGACCATCTCTGCCATCTCAAGATTGCTGTGTTTTGCTGAACGGGGAGGGCCATCCAGGAATTCAATGTCAGATTGTCAATCAAAAGGCACTTGTAGGATGTCAGTGCACTTCCTGTCCTTCAGCTTCTTGCAAGGATTTTTTTTTTTATGGAGTAGCGTGGAGTTGCTGGATTACGGCAAACAGGTTGAGTCGCAGTGCCAAGTCTGCTGAACACTGCTTATCTGAAGGGCATGTTTGCAGCACTCTGAGTTTGCAGTAGATTACAGCACCTTCCTGGAAATAAGAGACCCATGTTCTCTGGATAGATAGCTCTGGTTTTAGCATCACCTACCTATCCACAGCATCCAGTACTTTTGCAAAAGAACCCCAGAAAGATCTAGACACCAGAAAATATGCCAAGCTTGTCAAGAGGGTCTGAATCACATTTAAATATATCGTGGGCATGTTCATTTTTCCTTTGGGGACCTTTGCAAAGAAATCAAGCCTCATTAGTTTCAAAGACCAGTGTCTCGAGAGCATCTTCAGGTTTTTACCCAAATAGTGGGCAAACTCACCGGCCTCTAGCATTAGATGAGAAGAAAATAAACACCAAAGCTTATAGAACGCTTCTTTCCTCGAGGCTGCAGAAGGAAACCATTTCTCTCTTTATGGTAGAAAGCGTCCTCCATCCAAAGACTGATTCCACACCTTGGCATTTTATCCACCTAAAAATAAATAGTTGAAAAAGGAGAATATTTCTAGCATAAGGAATATGTGAAAGAATCTGCCTCCCTGGGTGCAGATATTCCTTTTTAACCTGACATCCTTTTTCACCAAAATCCACTGCTTTTAAACTCAAGATGAACAGAATCTCAAACCCACACTCCCCTTGTAGGAACCTGGCAGAGTGTCTGGCTTGTCACATCCCACTTGTCTGACGTATACCTGGATTTTCTGTTTTGTTTTGTTTTGAAAGTCTACTTCTCCAAAATGCCTAATCTTGATATTTTGACCCTCATTTGTCTCCCCAAACCAGTCCTTCATTTGCCTGCAGACACAGCCCTTCTCATCAGTCCCTTTCATTTCCCACTGACACTTGCTCTCGATGCTCTTTGCAGAAAAAAAAAAAATGTGTGCTGTGAACGCAGTTTGACATTTCCTGACATTTCATGAACTAATTACACTACAAATAATTAAGCATGTTCACATCTGTAACAAACGAAGGCAAAATGGTTGTCAGCGGGCGTGATTGATGACTTCCCTGAGATTTGATCTGATGAGATTCTCCCCATCGTGGGCAGAAGCCCGACGCCACGGTGTTTGCAATCATGCCTTCAGCCCTTTTCATGAGATCACACCGACGAGATGCTTGAAGAAAAGGATGGGAAAATTAATGACTACATTGAAATATTTGCATTTTTCCAGGGCTGGAAAAAACAATGAACAAGAGATGTGACAACCTCAATTATCTGGTGGTGCTAAGAGCTCGGAGACAGCTCCTGCTGAAGAGAGCTGTTGGGAAGCCCGGGGGTGTCAGCCTGGCTGGAAAAATGGCAGGTGACAAGGACAACATTTTTTTTACGCTACATAGGCCCACAGAAGCTCAGCTAAAAAGACAAATTGCAGGAGTAATTTCTTATGGAGGGGGAAATTTGTCAGCATTTAAGCTTGTTCTTCCACAAAGGTTGGACTGGGGTTTGAAAATAAGCTGGGAAAGCAGACAAAGGAATGCAATCTGATATCTGCCAATCGATTCAACTGCCAGTGGCTGGGTCTTCTTTGTTTAACATGGTTTGGGGCTTTCTGTGTAGGCTGCACACTGTACGGAACCGAACACTTCCTGCCCACTGGGAAGTCATTTGGAAGGGACCCCGGTCTGCTGGAGACTTAATCTGGCTTTTTCCAAAGCCAGCTCCAGCCCGTTTTCTGGGCAAATTTCCCTACTGAAGTTGCCCAAACAAATGGATTTATCATCACACACGATGCCAGCAAAGAGGCTCCAGGAGCCAGAATGCAAGCATAAAATAAAATAAATGCCTTTGGATAAGGGAGATGGCAAAGCATCTCTCTCTGTTGAGGTCTTTGCCAATGACACCCTGGCAACCCAAAATGGCAACATGGAGTTTTTGAAGATTAATTTTTAAAGTGCAAAGCACATTCCATTCTATGAAGTCCTCCCACAATTTTAATTTCTCAATGTATTTGTCTGTTGTTTTTAAATGGAATAAACAAGTCAATTTACAATCCAATTAACTGTCTGCAATTTTGGCTATAGCAATCCCTCAAGTTACAATTGGCCACACAGGGACATCTGTGTTGCCTTGATCACATAGGATGTATAGAGCTACCACTTTGTTGGATACCTACTGTGTGCTGAACACTGTGTGAGGTGCTTTACATATATTATATCTATTCTCTTCACTGCAACCCTGCAAGGTAGATACTGTTATCTCCATACAGATGAGAAAACTGAGGTTCAGAGAGGTTAAGTGACTTGCCCAAAGTCACACAGCTGTTATGTGGCAGAGAGTGGATTCAAACCTAGATCTGTTTGGCACCAAGGCTTAGGCGATCCTCTACTCCCTGCTCTTTGGGTCATCATCACTTAGATTCCGGGTAGGTCAATCAAGTTCATTCGTTCCTCTCAGGGCTGGTGCCCACGTCAATAGGATAGATGATTCATTGTCCTCTGAGAGGACCCATTGCCCTCTCCCCAGCCCCCAGCCACTCTCGGATTGAAATGAGCATCTTCTCCATTACTGGCCTCCAAACGCGTCCCGTGTCCTGCCCCCAATCCATTAGTGAGATGGAACTTTCTATCTGCACAAGAAAGAAATCAGCCTGCAGGTTTGTGGGGGTCCCTGACTCTTAAAAATCAAAATATTCCCAGCCCAGGGGCCTCAAGGCAAAAGTCAGTTATATCCCTTTATGCCTTAAAGGAATTTGGGCTTCAACTTTGCCGTTTTGTGTTTGAATTCTACAGGGAAGGTGGGTCTATGATCACACATTCTTTTTCTCTTAAAATCGGTGCTTAAATAGGCTTTCTAGCTTATTGCTCAAGGCAGTGCGGGGAAGCACAGATTAAACATAGTGGTGTGAGTCTTGGGTGAAGTACCAGGATTTGGAGGATGGATTTCAGTGTTTTTAAATTACTAGATCATAGTGTAGATTTAAAGCTTGAGCTGTAGCCTTTCTCCTCCTCTGGTATCAAAACTCGAATGTTTATCCACAATTTGCCCAGGTTTGGCGTTTAAAACAGCATCATTGTTGGTTGTAGTCACAATAAATCTGAGCATTTTTGACCTTCATTCCACAACTTGACTTCAATATCTGCTAATTCCTTTTTATAAAACAAATTGCATCAATCACGTTCGCATTTAACCAACTGCAGCTTAAATTGTTTTTGTTCTCTTTCATAAGTTCTTTCTCCAGATTAAATGCTGTTGCGCCGAACGAACTGCTCTCGGCTGAAGTGGGAAAGCATGATTCGATTAGTATAGATTCTGGAATCGGGTAAGTACTGTATCAGTGTCCTCTCTAGAAAAGAGGTGACATGTCTTGGGATATTAAGAATGGCCATTTAATGTAAAAACTCAGATAATACATGAGTTAAATGGAGAAAATGAGAGAAAGCTTTTAAGCATTCTCCCAAGACGGATTGCAGAATAATATTATTGTACACGGAAGCGGGGATGATCGGCACCGTCAGGAGGCTATTATAGAAGTGGGGTTTAAAATCATTATGGCAAAAAGCATTTCAGAGCTGCAGCGTGAGAGCGGCAACACATAATGAATTATCAATAGAGAACTGGTGATTCAGTTATATTACAATATGAACAGAAAACTTCCTGTTGCCTAATTTTAATCTGCCATGCTGATAAATGACTTGAGGATGGAGCCCCATCTCCTTTGTGAGAAGAGGGGAGGGGAGTGGGAGTTGGAGGAATGGATGCCAGAATGTTCTTTTAAATTAAGTAGTATCTGAACCAAGGATTCAGCCAATACCCTCAATTTATTAAATAACCCAAGTTTCATGAGTCGCTTGAAAGGCACCTATTTCAAAGGTGCTGAACTAGAGGCACTACAAAATCATCTTTAATTCCAACAAAACTGTATTTACAAAAGCAGCAGCCAGCCCATCACCATTTGCTGATTTGATTTTTTGAAACTGTATTCAACTTCTGTTTTTCTTGATTACTGAGGTTAGGGGCATGCCCTTGAATTTTGCTCCTCAGCTGAGTGTCTCAGTAACCTCACTCTAGCCTCTGCCCTGCTGCCTATAAATACTGCAAGATAGACCAGATTAACCCTAATTCACAGCCTAGGAAGCTGTGGTTTAGAGAGAAAGATTCAGAATTCAGGTTCTCTCTTTTTAAATGGTGGAGTTGAGATTCAAATCTAGCCTGTCTGACTCAAAATCCCAGCAACTCTCTACCTGACCAAGCTCTATCTCTTTCAATCTCTCTCTCTCTCAATCTCTCCCCACCTCTTTGTATGTGTGTATAAATCTTTCCTAGCCAGTATCACCATCCCAATGATAGAGTTTATATATATGCGTGCGTGTGTGTGTGTGTATGTGTATATATATATATATATACACACACACACACAAACACACACACACACGCATGCATATATATATATGAGATGAGGCCTCACTCTGTTGCCCAGGCTGGAGTGCAGTGGTGCTATCACAGCTCACTGTAGTCCTCTAACTCCTGAGTCAAGCCATCCTCTCGCCTCAGCCTCCCAAGTAGCTAGGACTACAGGTGGATGGCACCATGCCTGGATAATTTTTTTAAAAATAGAGATAGAGTCTTGCTATATTGCCCAGGCTGGTCTTGAATTCTTGGCCTCAAGTGATCCTTCCACCTCAGCCTCCCAAAGTGCTGGGATTACAGGCATGAGCCATAGCCCTCAGCCAGATAGGGTTCTTTATATAAAGTTCCAAAATGTTATTTGCTTACTAATTCTGGGACACATGAGTTATTTGGCTAGTTCACTTCTAAAAACTATTTGATATTTATCAAGAGGAAACGTGTTACATTAACTTACAAGACTTGAGGCACCCATTTGTACTGGCACCTGAAAAGCTTCACTTTATTTATTTTTTTTAATTTATTTTATTTATTTATTTATTTTTTTGAGATGGAGTTTCGCTCCGTCGCCCAGGCTGGAGTGCAGTGGCACGATCTCGGCTTACTGCAACCTCTGCCTCCCGGGTTCAAACAAGTCTCCTGCCTCAGCTTCCTGAGTAGCTGGGATTGCCATGCCCGGCTAATTTTTGTATTTTTAGTAGAGATGGGGTTTCACCATGTTGTCCAGCCTGGTCTCAAACTCCTGACCTCAAGTGATCCTCCTGCCTCAGCTTCCCAAAGTGCTGGCGTGAGCCACCGTGCCCTAACAGAAAGGTTCACTTTAAAAGGCACTCCCCACCAGTGTAAGAATGCTATTTTCATGATGGTTCATGAAAGGACCAAAACTTGGTAGGAATGGTTGGCCCCAGGGATGAGTACTGGTTAACTAGGGACAAAAAGGAACTTACTTTTCACTGCATACCCTGTTGTGCTTTTGCATTTTGTACCACAGGTATAAAATCACTTTTTTATTTTTTTTGAGGCAGGCTCTTGCTCTGTCTCCCCGCTGGAGTGCAGTGAAATTAGCTATTTACAAAACAAAACAAAAGTTTGGGGACGGCATGGATTGACAGACTTCTCATGCCCTGTTCACATCTGACCTGAAACACTCCTCCTAGGAAATAAATCATAACCATGGCCATTGTCAATGTCAGCAAAAGCAAAACATGGGAGACAACCAGCAAGAAAAGAATAGGCTGGTACGTTGCAGAACGTTATGCAGCTATCAAGAAGATCAACTAGGTCCATAGGCATTGGTGTGGAAAGATCCTGAAGATAAATTGCTCACTTTTTTAAAAGTCAAGAGTTATGATAGTGTGTATTGTGTGATCTCAATTATTTTGAAAGGATATATACATAATTATACGTGTATATATGTATATTCACATGTGTTTATCTATATATATGTTTTGCATGGTGGTATGTACACAGAAAAATATTAGAGGCCTAATAAGAATCTGGTGAAACTGGTAATCACTAGAGGGAGGGACTGGGAGTCTCAGATGGAAGAAAGTCTGAAATGTTCTCTACACCCTTTAATATTTTTCAAATTTTTACTATGAGCAGGTGTCATTTTATTATAAAATTTTAAGCCTCTGGTAATTTTATTTCATAATTATACCTTTCCATATTATCTAAGTGTTGTAGAATAAACATATCTAATTTATATTCTAAAATGGTATTTTAAAATGTTATAGTCTGTAACAACTAATGAAGAAGTACCTTGTACAGATTTTTTAAAATAACAACTCTAGGCTGGGCACAGTGGCTCATGCCTGCAATCCCAACACTTTGGGAGGCCCAGGCAGGAGAATTGCTTGAGGCCAGGAGTTTCAGACCAGCCTGGACAACGTCGCAAGATCTCATCGCTACAAAAAGCAATTAGCTGGGCATAGTGGTGCACACCTGTAGTTCCAGTTACTCGGGAGGCTGAGGCAGGAGGATCAATTGAGCCTGGAAGGTTGAGTCTGCTGGGAGCCATGATCATGCCACTGCACTGCAGCCTGGTCATCAGAGTGAGACCCTGTCTCAAAAGAGAGAAACAATAGCTCTATTGAGATACACTTCATGTATCATAAAAGTAACCTATTTAAAGTGTACAATTCAGTAGTTGTTACTATTTTAGGAGAGTTATGCAATCACGGCAATTTGATTTTAGAATGGTTTCGTCCCCTCAAAAAGAAATCTGGTACTCATTAGCAGTCACCCCAGTTCCCTGATCCTTCTCCCTTCTATAGATTTGTGTATTCTGGATGTTTCGTATAAATGGAATCACACAATATATGGTCTTTTGTGACTGGCTTATTTCACTTAGCATAATGCCTTCAAGGTTCGTCCATGATGTAGCACGCTTCAGTGCTTCATTCCTTTTTGTGGCTGCATAATATTCCATTGCATGGTTAGATCCGATTTTATTTATCCATTTATTGGTGGATGAACATCTGGTGGTTGTTTTCACTTTTTCACTGTTACGGATAATGCTGCTATGAACATGTTTTTCGGTGGAACTCCTGGGTCCTGTGGTAACTCTACATTTAACAGTTTGAGGAACCACCAAATTGTTTTCCAAAGCAGCTGCATCATCTTACAATCCAAATCCCAGTTTATTCAGACGCTAGTTGGTACTTGTTATGATCTTTTTGATTCAGATGCATTTACAAAAATAATTTAAATAATACATGAGTCCATTCTTACTGTAAAAGAGTCAGAGCAAACCATAATTCCACAGAGTTAAATAGAAAAATTCTCTTTTTCACCGTTCTCTCCATCTTGTTTCCCTCCCCAGAGGTAAGTGTGGTTTAGTGTGCATTCCTCCAGGAATTTTTTTGCACGTTGCTTCATATTTGTGCACAGGTAAATATAAGTCTCTCCTGTTTTTACATATGTGTGATCATACTACATGTACTGTTTTATGATTTTCCCTTTCCATTGTATACCGGATCTTGAAGATTGTTCAATATAATGTATAATACTTTTCAAATCATTTATGTTTTTTTTAATGCCCCTTTTTATCTCACTCAGAACACAGATTCTAGATTTGTTCAACAGAGGCTACTTGGCTTATTTTACATTATAGCAGATTGTCTAGAGGCCTGTACCCTCCTTTAAACACTTCTTTGTACCCTGGCTATTGTCCAATATTTAAAAAATTTAGTGACGATCATGGGGAAAGAGTTACTGAGAGAAAATCATGACTCTGCCATTTATAAGTTCAGTGGCTCTGAGTCTCTGTGCCTCAGTTTCCTCCTTTGTAAAATGGGGCTTAAAAATAACTCCTACTTCATAGGGCTGTTGGGAGGATTAAATGAGATAAGGGTAGAGCTTTTGGCTGTGTCTGGCATCCAGTAATGACTCCATACTGTTAGCTATATACACAGTCTAGAAACACAGGCCAGCAGAGAAGTCAGCTTCTTTAGTGCAATTCTTTCTGCCGTTAGGCTGTCTGGCTACTAAATCAGTTCCACGTGTGTTCGAGAGGGGCCCCCAGCCCAGGGAGTTAAGATCTCAGCCCTGGGGAGTTGGGTAGGGCCACAACCCTTAAGCCTTACTCTTTTGATTGAAATAAAATTGCAAAATGAATAGTAATCACAACAGCAGATCGTTACCCATTGGGTCCAAGCTGGGCCATCACGAAGGATATTGACATAGCCACAAAAATGAGCCCAGGTCCAGAGGCCAAGCCCCTGGAAGAAGCCAGTCTGAGGGAAAGAGTGAAAATTGCCATCACAATTGAAAACATCATGGCTTGCATTAAGATCCCACAATTTCTGATGCATTGCTGCTACTATTGTTCTAGAACAAAGGAGAAGATTGGTGTGTGCATCAAATTGAGTGTCTGCTGTTGAAAAAAAATGGTCAACTGGTCCTCTGTTGACACTTCTCATGCCTGGGACTTAACTGACCCTCACTTATTTTATTTTGGGCAGACTCATATATGAACAGTGATTATTGGGCCCTGTAAAGTGATCAATAAATATTTGTTGAATTGTGTAGAATCAAACGGACTTTTATTTACTCTTTAATTCCCAAAGCTAAGTGCTGGGTCCTTCGTAAACATCCCTTTGATATGCTAAAGAGACTGCAACGTTTAATGAGCTGTTAGTTTTAAACTGGACACATCAACTTGGAAAGTTTTGGATTTGCTGATGATTAATGGGCAAGAACTGGTTGGTAAATATCAGCCATGACTTTGGGGCTTGGTTGAAGAAGAGAAGAAACTGAATACAGCTCTGGCAGTCTGGACCCTTTCTTCTCTTGTGACTGATCTGAATGCAGGGTCTTGTGCACATTTGAGAGACGAATCTTCTAATGACTCATTCTGGTACTGTTGCTTCTCCTCTTGTCTTCTGTCTTCTCAGGGAAGATTCTGCTTAGCCTGATAATGCAAACCCTTTTAGGATCCCATGGGGAGCCATAAATCCACATGATTCCTACACTTTTTCATCCCTATTTCAAAACAGAATTAAATTTTATTGTTATTGTTTGATTTAAAATGGTCCTAATTCGTTTCGTTGGCTATCATGCATTAAAAATCAAAACCACTTTCCTGCTGTTTAAAAAAATACCAAGAGGAAAGAAGAAAGTTAGTGGCAAGATTGAGTTTCAATTGTTATATTTATTTGTTTGCTGTAAGATAATCAGGCTATCAATTTCACAGAACAGTGAAGACATATGTCTAAAGATGCAAGAAGAATGAGCTGAGTCATATAAATCTCATTATACATCTTAGGCAGCCTATGGAAAGAGAACGTAGTCCTCTAACAAATAGGATAGGCTAGGTTATGCTAAAGTAACAACCACAAAATCTCAGCAAAAGTTTATTTCATACTAATGCTACTTATCTAATTCATTTCAGCCAGGGACTCTGCTCATTGTAATTACTTAGAGACCTAGGCTACTTTAATTACCACAGTAGTATGAAGGGAACAAGAATTGCACTGGCTCTGAAATTTTTCTGCCCAGAAATCACTTCTGTTCACATTTTATTCGCCAAAATAAGTCACCTAGCCATGCTAACTTCAAAGGAGGCAGAGAAATGTAGTCTTTTGTTGTGTGAGCAAGGAGGACAGCTGAAAGTATTTGGTGAACAGCTAAAATGACTATCATAAATCCCAAATCTACAGAACTCAACACAGAAAAAGTCTGTGATTCCTCCAGGCAAAATGCAACCTGTATCCAGGAAAGCTGGAAGTAGGTCTCAGCCTTGTGAGCATAACTCCATGCAACTACTTTCCTATGCCAATCCCCATTTCCTCTCCTTCCTTCTCCTTCTCGGGTTTTTCATTCTCTCACCCCATCTATTCCTGAGTGTGCAAAGCACTTTTCAGCCTGGTGATCTTAACAGCCACGGGTTAGGGTGTACAAGGGAAAGGGAGCTCTGACTCACAGCAATCTGAAGTGTCTCCTACTTCAGAAATCAACAGTGTAAATATTCCAAAGCTCTTCACTGCCTCTGTGCTCCTAAAAGTTAAAACGACACACTCTAAAATCTATATCTGGCAAAGGACTGGTATTGGAATATATGAAGAACTCCTCCAACTCAAAATCAAATAGACAAGACAACCTAATGTTTTTTAAAGGACAAAAGGATTGAACAGATAGTTCACAGAAGATATGTGAATGCCCATAAACACATGAAAAAGTGCCCAACATCATTAGTTGTCAGAAAAATCTTAATTTAATGTAAATTAAAACCACACTGAGATACTACTACACAACTGCCAGAAGAGTTAAAACTAAAAAACTGACAACACTAAATGTTGGCCAGGATGTGGAGCAACTGGAACTCTCATACGTTGTTGGTGGAAAGGCAAAGTGGCCCAATCACTTTGGGGAAAGGCGCAGTGCTTTTCTTTTTTAATATATCTGAACATAACAGCCACCCTATGTCCCAGCATTCCCATCCTAGGTATTCACCCAAGAGAAATACAAGCAGATGGCCTCCAAAAGAATTGTGCAAGAATATTCATAGCAGTTTAATTCTTAATAGCCAAAAATCTGGAAATAGCCCAGGTTTTCATAAAGAGGAGAATGGATAAACAAACTGAGTTATGGTCATATAATGGAATTTGGGAATAAAAAGGAACAAACTTGATACATGTAATAACATGGATGCATCTCAAAAATATTATGTGGAATAAAAAAGCCTTACACTAAAGAGGACATACTGTATGAGTGCAAATTTTGGGAAGTTCTAAACAGGCTAAATTAATCCATGATGGACAAAAAAATCATTGGAAAAGTACTTGCTCCTGTGGTTTGGAGACAGGAATTGACCAAGAAGAGGCATGAGGAAACTTGATGGGCAGATGGTAATTATCTCTTGATAAGGGGTGTGCACTACAAAGGTATATGGATTTTTCAAAACTCATGGAGTGACAGGTTTAAGATTTATGCATGTTATGGATATAAATTTTTATCTTAAAAAAAAGCTGTAAACAAACACTAAACCCTAATGAATAATACGCAGGCTGATATGTTTAGGGTTAAAGTCAACTAATGTCTGCAACTTATTTTGAAATGTACACACACATAAATACAATGAAATAATGGATGATGGAGGATGGATGTGTGATAAAGCAAGTACATATTCTCCTTGACTTACAGTGGTTCCACTTGTGATTTTTCAACTCTTTGATGGCATGAAAGTGATCTGCATTCAGTGGAAAGCGTAACTTCATATTGTAAGTTGAGAGCTTTATGTCAGTTTTGACTTCTTTTTTGACGTATGATGGGTTTATCCAGATGTAGCGCCATCATAAGTCAAGGAGCATCTGTACAACAAAATATTAACTTCAGAATCTAGGTGCTAGGTTAAGTAGACATTCTCATATAATTCCTTCAACTGTTATGTGTGGAAGAAAGAAATCCCCATAGGTTCTGGAGCCCAATCATCCTGGACTGAGGCCAAGCTCTCTCACTTGCTGTGTGATCTTAGACAGGTTTCTAAACACATCTGGTTCTTGGTTTTCTTGATATCACCAACCTCCTGGGGTGGTTGTGAGCATTAAGCATATAAGAACCCTCATCTCCTAATACATGCCCAGGTCATCTCAGCTATTATTATTTTAACGTTATTCCTTTTGCTTCCTTTATCTGATATTCTGAGGATGAATCATTTAAGAACAGCTCTCCTGTTGTCATTCCGAAGCCCCAAATCAGAAAGATGAACCGAGATATCCCCTGTTCACCTACCAAGGTGCCTGCCCAAAACACAGGAAGTATCCAGGAAGGGTGGGTGGGGCAGAATTGATGGGGCTGCCCGGCTTATAACATCGTGGCAAACAACCTCTGAACACCTCTGGTCACTCACTGATGAGGGACTCATGTGATAATCTCGGTATAATCCAAACAAGAATTGGCTCTCTTAGCATTTCCAAGACATGAGTGCTCCAGATCTTGCAGGGAAAGGAATACCCAAACTGATGTTCCTCCATTCTTTTTCTTTTTGGAGAGGTTAGTAACCGATTCTATAGATTTCTTTAGATATATTTAGAGACAGGGTCTCCATCAGTCATCCAGGCTAGAGTGCAGAGGCATGATCACGGCTCACTGCAGCCTCCACCTCCTCAACTCAAGTGATCCTCCCACCTTGGCCTCCCAAGTAGCTGGGATACACAGGCATGTGAAACTATGTGAGGATAACTTTAAAAAAAATTTATAGAGATGCTGTCTTGCTTTGTTGCTCAGGCTGGCCTTGAATATCTGGTCTAGAGCAATCCTCCTGCCTCAGTCTCCCAAAGTGCTGGAGTACAGGTGTGAGCCACTGTGTGCAACCTAGATTTCTGATTAAAGCCCTGGTTCTCACCAGGGGAAATTTTGTTACCCATACCCCTCACTCCTCCCCAACCACTGGCAATGTCTGAAGACATTTTCAGTTGTCATGACTGAGGGAGCAGGTTTGCTCCCAGCATCTAGTTTGCAGAGGCCAGGGATGCTGTTAAACATCCTACAATGCTCAGAGCTGCCCCCCTGCCCCCCCAAAAAAAAGAATGACCTGGCCCACAATGTCAATAGGGCTGCAGTTAAGAAACCCTGGAGTAGATTGTAAAGGAAAGCTGGGCAGAGTGGCCACGTCAACATTACTTATTTGACAGTCCTTTCCTGAGCTTTCTCTGTGCCAGAGCTTGAGCTCACTTGGAAAGGGAGAGCCACAGACCCTTTCTCAATGGCAGCCATGAAGATGGGGAAGGCCACCACCAGGACATTTCTCTCCCAAGCCTCCTCCCTCCCTCCCTCCCTCTCTGCATGCTAGAAACACAATGCTGCTTTAAGATGTTCCTGGGGCAAACATCCAGAACTCTGTTTCTCTTTCACTGTTTCCAAAGCTGAAATGAGGATGCCCAAGAATGTCTTATTGATTCATGTAATAGATTTATTTAATACGCCCATTACCCTGAGGCCCAGGGGAGAGAGGGTCCAGGGGCAGCTTAGGACAATGCACATGGCCATAAAAACCACAACTACATTAAATGTAATCAAATGGCTAAAATGTGTCCCAGACCCACATTAGAGGAAGCGTGTCATAACCCTTCTGTCACAACATCAAATTTAAAAGGGGTCTCCAGAAATGGAGACTGTGACCCAGGCCAGCCGGCCATGCAGCCGCTTCCTGTGAGCTGTGATTGGAAGACCCAGAAAAGGCCTCTCTGGTCCTAATCTCTGCCACCAAGCCAAGTCATGATGCCTGGAATCCTACCATTAGATTTGTTCTTTTGGGTAAAGCATTGTTCTCTCTACTCAGTCCTC
Source organism: Homo sapiens (assembly GCF_000001405.40). Lineage (NCBI taxonomy): Eukaryota > Metazoa > Chordata > Mammalia > Primates > Hominidae > Homo > Homo sapiens. Next base: position 54,558,151 of record NC_000016.10, read on the forward strand.
TTTTAAAGTATAAAATCATTAGAAAAAAAATGTGATTCATCAACAAATTCCCGAGGATGTGTTAAGCAGTGGTTAAATGCAGTGACTTCATTTATTATTAGTATTATTTTAGAGACAAGGTTTCTCTCTGTTGCCCAGGCTGAAGTGCAGTGGTTCAATCATAGCTCATTGCAGCCTCAAACTCCTGGGCTCAGGGGATCCTCTGGACTCAGGGAGTTCCTGAGACTACAGGCATGTGCCACCACACCTGACCAATCACTTTTTTAAAATTTTTTTGTAGAGACAAGGTTTCTCTATGTTGCCCAGGCTGGTCTTGAACTCCTGACCTCAAGTGATCCTCCTACCTCAGCCTCCCAGAGTGCTAGGATTACAGGTGTGAGCCACTGCCCCTAGCTGCAATGACTTTAAAGCCAGCTGGATTCCTCAGGTTGAGCCTGGGCTCTGTCATTCTGTAGCTGTGTAGCTTGGAATGAACCTCTCTGAGCCTCAGTTTCCTCATCTGTAAAATGGGGATGGTAATAATCCCTTCTGGCAGGTTTGCTGTGAGAATTAAATGCAAATAAAGCAAAGAAAGCAGTAAGTACAGTGCCAAACTCACAGGAAACTCTCAGTAGGATTATGAGTGTGCTAATAAGAGTGTTGATCAATGGTGGTGACTACGGAGGTGAATGAGTCTTTTTTACACTCGAATTGGAGGTCTAGCTTCACTCTAACTTGAGGTAGGAAGTTGTCAGTGATCTGGGAGATGTATAAACAGCAGTGTATTAGTCCGTTCTCTCACTGCTGTAAAGATACTACCCGAGTAGTATCGTACCCGAGTATGGATAGTTTATAAAGGAAAGAGGTTTAACCTGTTCACAGTTCCGCATGGCTGGGGAGGCCTCAGGAAACTTACAATCATGGCTGAAGGGGAAAAGGCACTTCTTACATGGCAGAAGGTGAGAGTGTGCGAGTGTGTGTCAGTGCAGGAAAAACTACCGTTTATAAAACCATCAGATCTCGCGAGAATTCACTCCCTGTCAGGGGAAAAGCATAGGGGAAACTACCCCCATGATCCAATCACTTCCCACCAGGTCTCTGCCTAAACACCTGGGGATTACAATGCGAGATGAAATTTGGGTGGGGATACAAAGCCTAATTATATCAAGCGGGGAGAAAGGCTATCAATTCAGAGGGGCAGTGTGAAGCCAAAAAGCCTTCCCAGAGGAAACTGCATTTGAACTGAGCCTTAGAGGATATGTGTGTGGCTTGGAAGGATAGGAGTGCAGGATTAAAAATCTGCCAAGATCAGGGCCCCCTGTGAGCAGAGGCCAGGGCAGGATGGCCACATTCAAGGTGCAGGGTGTTCAATAGAGGAGCGCAAAGGGCTGGAGGCAAGCTTCACATTGCTCCCAGACAGACCATGCTCTTTCAGGCTGGCAGCTGCCCATATGGGGCACTTTTTTCTAATCTGCACAGAGGCACCCTATGAGCCTTTAATCTACTTCCTGCCTGCTGAAAAAACAGCAGGGAAGTTTCTCCATATGGAACTCAGGATGGACCTGGGAAGGTTGCCTGAGGTTAGACGTGGAAGGGCCTCCAGACATGGACTTAAGTTAAGTCTAGGACCTCATGCATTAAAATGGGCCCGATTTCAATGAATGACTATTACCATCCCCATTTTACAGATGAGGAAACCAAGGCTCAGAGAGGTTTAATGACACTGAGTTCAAATCACTGCCCTGTCACTCATGAGCTGCATAACCTTGAACAAATCACTGCACCTCTCTGGGCTTTGACTACTTATTCACTAAATGGTATATAATTCCTGGTTCTTGGGAGATTTAAGGATTAAATGAGATAATCCAGGGCTTGTAGACAGCCCCGGACATGGTGACATGGTGCTGGGCACAGCACAGGTGCTGCCCAGAAGTTATCTTTAATGTTTCATGATCTAATAACAATAACCCCCATTCTGCTAAGACATGTTGATCAGGTATATTACACATTAGCAGGTATGCTAATCAGACAACTGACCTCAAGAAACAGAAGGGGAAGTGCTCTGAGTGGGACTAATAGAGTGAGTGGGATGGGGTGAGGGAGCACAGAAGGAAATGTGCGGTGGCCAGGAGGCGACGTGACGGTGCTGAGCCCACTCTTCCGGGGTGGGCCAAGCTCTGTGGTCTCCAGGGAGGATGATGCAGGGCATAGCTGGCCTTGGGACTGGGGCACAAACTCTAGGGCACAGAGAAGGTGTCTGTTCATGGTCTGCAGACAGGCAGGGACACTGGCTGCCTTGTTTACCACTGGTTTCCCAAGGCCCAGAGTTGACAAAGTGCTCCATAAATATTTGTGAATGAGTGATATGGTCTGGCCGTGTCCCCACCCAAACCTAATCTTGAATTATAGCCCCCATATATCCCCCACAGGTTGTAGGAGGGACCTGGTGGGAGGTAATTGAATCATGGGAGTGGGTTTTTCCTGTGCTGCTCTCACGATAGTGAATAAATCTCATGAGATCTGATGGTTTTATAAAGGACAGTTCTGTGCACACACTGTCTTGCCTGCCACCATGTAAGACATGCCACCTTTGCTCCTCCTTTGCCTTCCTTCATGATTGTGATGCCTCCCCAGACATGTGGAACTGTTGAGTCCATTAAACCTCTTTTTCTTTATAAATTGCTCAATCTTGGGTATGTCTTTATTAGCAGCGTGAGAACAGACTAATAGAGTGAGTGAATACGAGGATAGTATAAAAGACATATGGCAAGAGACTGCCATAAAGAGCCCCCAAACCAGATTCAGACTGCAGCCATTGTGTGGGCCTCAGGGTGCTGGTGCACAGCTGTGATGGGTGAGGTCATAAATACATGCACGTGCATGCACATACACTCTCAGACACATACATGCTCATAGAGAGACATGCATAGCCCCATGATCACACGGCACATGCAGGCATACATGCAAAGATGCTTCCCCCACATACACACATGTGTGCATGCACATTTGCAGGTATATACACATCCCTCCACACTTACACCACACACACACATACACATATTCACAGGTATACACACATTCCCTCCTCTTCTTACACACAGACACATACATCCAGAGATCTGTACACATTCACACACAGATATGCATTCACAAGTGTGCAGGCATTTGTATTAACATAGTCATATTCATAGATATAGTCAAATTTTCCCTATCTTCATATATGCAGATACATACATGCATTCACAGATCAACATACGTGTCCACATCTTCACACATACAAGTACACACCTTCCCCCACATTCACACACGTAGATGCATACATTCATAGATGGACACGTTTCCCATGTTCACAAACCCAGCCACACATTGGCAAGTATACACACATTTACACAAACACACTGACATTCATAGATATCTTCAAATCTTCTCCATCCACACACACACACAGACACACATTCACAGATATACACATGTTCTCACACTCACACAATCACACACATTCATACACATTCATCTCACATATACATACCTTCACAGATAAACACACATTCCCCCCATAGACACATTGTAAGTCTACATATATTCATAACACACTAATATTCATAGATAGATTCAAATTTCCCCATCTACATTCAGAGACACACACATATTCTCCCATATTCACACACAAGACATGCATCTATAGATGTACACACATCTCCTACATCCATGCCCACACATATTCACAGATATATACCCACTGGGACACAGACCCAGACACGCATACACAGATATACACACATTCCTCCTCATTCACAGTCACGCATGTTCACAGATAAACACATAGGTCCTCACATTCACACCCCATATACCTGCCCTGTTCTCAGCTGTTGAACAAATTCAAAGCCCTCAGTGCCTCCCAGGCTTGTCTGGAGAACCTCAGAGCTTTCTCCAGAGTGATATCTCAAGTCATATGTATCATCCATAACTATACAAGTGGGCATGCTGGTGCATTCTCCTGCCCTGCTCCAGAATGTGCTCCTGTTCCCCCAAGGGCCATGGAGAAGCCTAGGAGGCCCTGGGTGTGTGTCGGCTGTCATGTTTTTCTTTTTATCCCCTTGGCAAGCTTTTGATCGATGGCATTGGATCAAAACATATCCTCTTCCAATATTCTGCTTCTTGTGGACTGACGTTCATGATCCTCCCCCTTCAAATAAGAACCCGGTACACCCAGTCCTCTCTCCATTCACCTTAGGACTCCAAAATCCAGACAAGAAACCACCTTTTTGCACTCAATTAAAACAAGCTGCTTTAACCATAAATTAAGTTATAATGCCTGTGCCCACCAGAGGAGCCAGCAAGGTACCCCTTGCCCTTGTCATAAATTAACTC